>NW_025791821.1:0-300000 GCF_000001405.40 Homo sapiens | reverse complement strand
AAATTGTAAACACTATTTCTCAGCAATTCATAGATTATCATACTAGGAATTGAAATGTACTTAGAACTCAATGATACCGCCAATATTAAAGATTAAATCTGTGAGTAGCAAGAAAAGTGATATTACAATAGGAGTTTACAGACAAATATTTCTCTAATAACTTGAAAATTAATGTACTAGATATTTCAATAAAGAATTAGAAAAGAAACAACAGAATCAATTCTGAAAAACTAAAGTGTGGGAATAATGATGTAGACAAAATTAGTAAAACATACAAAGCTAACCTTTGCTTGTTGGAGAAATATAATAAATGATGCAACCGTCAGTCAAGTTTAGAAAAAAAGGGAGAAAACATAGATAAAACTAAGAATTTAAAAGGTACACAACCATAGATACAGCATAGATTAAGAAGCTAATAAGGAAATATCATTAACACCTTAACCTACAAATTTGAAAACTTAGATCAAATAGACAGATATTTATAATCTGTCTATATATATAGACATATATATCGCTTTCTATATATATTTTCATATTTATACATAATTTTTATATTTGTATCTTACATTTATATATATAATATATAAACATAAGCTATGTATATAGCTTAGTAAAATTGATACAAGAAGACATATATAATCTGTATAGTCTCATAAATGTTCAAGGAAATAAAGGATTCTTCCTAGAGATAAAACGCTAGGCTCAGATTTTTTTCCCCAGGCAGAGCATTTCAATATATATGAAGAATTCTATAGAATAAAAAAGGGAAAATCCTAAACTCATTGTGTGAAGCAAGCAGAACTTTGACGCCAACAAGCCATAAACTGAGTGTAGAAAAAGATATGAAAATTAAGGCCATTCTCATTCCTGAAGCAAATCGTAAAATCCCAAATGTAACAAGATTTATGTGGATTCTTTGAGGGTTAGAAGGAAATTTCCTTCTGCCAGATCCTGCTACTCTGGGACAACCCACACACAAATTTATGTTTTGAGATTTTCTGTAATACCCATGCAATATGGAACTGGCTTGACAATCTGTGTGATAGCCAGCCTGTGGCCATGACTTCTCAGGGACACAAATCTTTTCTGTTTGCCTCCTTGTTCTGCTCAGCTCCAAGAGAACTTTGACCAAAGTTCCTTGAGCTTGGAAATAGGAATGGGTTTGCTTCTGTTTCACCCTTACTGTGAAGATACAGTCCGGTGGAATCCAGATCCACTGGGAGAGAGTCGGCTATTAAACTCTTTTCATGAGTAGTCCCTAGGCCTTGACTGGAGTCTTTCTTGAGATATGAGGCTAATAGTTCCTTCTTGGTCCACCACTTTTTGATATAATTAATGCTTCTTCTATTGGGAATTTTTAATTGTTTGGGAAGTGACATGGTTTGGTGTGTCTCCATTCAAATCTCAGCTTCAATTGTATCTCCCAGAATTCCCTCGTGTTGCGGGTGGGACCCAGGGGGAGGTAATTGAATCATGGGGGTCGGTCTTTCTCATGCTATTCTTGTGACAGTGAAGAAGTCTCACGGGATCTGATGGGTTTTTCAGGGGTTTCTGCCTCAGGTTCTTCCTCATTCTCTCTTGGCATTGCCATGTAAGAAGTGCCTTTATTCGTATACCATGATTCTGAGGCCTCCACAGCCATGTGGAACTGTCAGTCCAATTAAACCTCCTTTTATTCCCAGTTTCAGGTATCTCTTCTTCAGCAGCGTGAAAATGAACTAAGACAGGAGGTTTGGTCCAAATAACCTTGGCTTCCATGACAGAAGATAGAAGTTGCTGAAATGTTTAATCTTTTCTGTGGCAACCTTTTGCAGTGGGTCTTATTTTTCTCATTTTTTTTTCTTGTTCTCTTCACCTTTGTTTCTCACAGGGTACTCTCGCTCTGTAGACCAGGCTGGAGCGCAGTGGCAGGATCTCAGCTCAACACATCCTCCGCCTCCCAGGTTCAGCCTCTGCAGTAGCTGGGATTACAAGCATGCATCACCACGCTCAGCTAATGTTTTGTATTTTTAGTAGAAGCCAGGCTTCACCATGTTGGCCAGGCTGCTCTCCTACTACAGATCTCAGGTGACCCGCCCGACTCAGCTTCCCAAAATCCAAAGTGCTGGGAATACAGGTGTGAGCCACCGAGCCCAGCCAACTCCAGTACTTTTTACCTAAGCCAGTGGACGAGTGGAGTTGCCTTTATTTTTTTTTTTTTCTTTTTTCAGTCATGGTCTCGCTGTGTCATCCAGGCTGGAGTGCAGTAGTCTGATCTTGGCTTACTATACAATCTCTGCCACCCATGTTCAGGTGGTTCTCCTGCCTCAGCCTCCCAAGTAGCTGGGACCACAGGAAAGTGCCACTAGGTCTGGCTAATTTTTGTATTTTTGGTAGAGACAGCTTTTTGCCATGTTGCCCATGCTGGTCTCCAACTCCTGACCTCAAGTGACCCACCAACCTCGGCCTCCCAAAATGTAGAAATTACAACAAGAGCCACGAAGCCTGGCCTGGAGTTGTGGCTTTTTGACATAAGAAATCTGTGGAGGGAAAAGCTTGGTTTGTGGGAGCACCTGAGCTCAGTTTGGCTCAAAGGTTTGGGATACCTATTATTGAGTGGCAGTGATGGTATGTTGTTAATGTACAATATGTTCCTGTATATAGCATACGTCTATGCTCATCAGATATTTTCAGGTAAAAAAAAGATAGTCTTTCCAGTAGTTTGAGCCATTATAGCAATTTCCACCAGGGGATTTCAAAGTCCAATTCCAGTTGTGGGCAACAGTGATTAACATAATGGTAATTAATGAGAAGAGATTTTGAGACGTCCAGCCACGTTTCCATGTCAGTGCCTTGTTTGCAGTATTATGAAGAAAGAGTGCATTGGACTAGATACTAAGAAAAACATTGAATTATTTTTCTTGCCTCTATAACATCAAAGGACAATTAGAGATATAGAAACTATGGAACATTTCACAGCATGGCTTGACATTTCACTGAACTTTTATCCTTTTAACCATGTACAAAGTTTGTTACCTATGCAAAGGTAGGACTGCAAAAGGAAGACAGAGGTGGAGTCAGAGGTCACAATCCACAGCAAGGTGACACTCTTGTTGATCGCACCTTGAAAGCCAAATTAGAGCGAGAATTAACTTTCCGGTTGCCGTAAGAGAACAAGGAGAATGAAGCTACCAGCAGTTAACAGTATTGGATTAATTGAAATGAAGGTGGACAGAGTTTTTTGGCTTTCCATCAAATTGAGTAAAGAAAAGGTAACCGCTTATCTAATTTCACACACATACAATTATGGATTAATTAAAAGATTACACAACCCATATATTATGGGTTTCTCATTTAAGTGTATATATACATGGGCAAACTCACAGTGTGCCAGTATGTGTCTATATCCAAATATATACAAATCCATGTCCAACAGTTAGCAAGTGAGAAATTCTCTTCCATTTCACCATTCCCTTTCCTAGAATTTTTTCATAAATATAATTTTTCCATATATTTGAAGCCTACTCTCTGGAGGCATGTAATGCATGCATGCAGTAAACCTGTGCGATATCACAATGTTGGTGTCAGAGAAAACTATAACACCGATGTTATAAAAGATTAATTGTGAGGAGAAAGTTATGCTTCGCATTACTACAAATACACAAGTATGATTTCATCCAAAGCTGAAATCAGTCAATATAATTTGTTTTTAATGTTTTATTTAAAATCCTTAATTTCAACAGGATTACTCAAGAAAAATAACGTTATTGGTATTAAATAATGTTGATGTATTCCCTTTAATTGTTGATTATTTAAAATGTCAGTAAAATAGTAAATGGCACTGTACAATGTAGTTTCATGAAGCATTCTTTATAGTTTTCATAAAATTGATAGTCTCCATGGAATATTTTAAGACTGAGGAAGTTCCATATATCATTTGATTGTACTTTCACTTTATTACTTGCTTGCATGTCATAACTGATGGAAATAAAACTATGTATATTTACAAATATGAAAAACATGGACTTTTGTTTACGTTTTCTAGTGAGACACAGTTACCAATAATTTTATCTATATAGGAAAATTTTTACAAACCCAAAGTTCTAATGTTTCTTTTCTTTGAAGTTTCGTATTTCAGTCTAGGTATGTAATGGAATTGGCTGTGATCATTCTTTGATTTCACTGTTATTTGTGAGTTTCTGATATGCTTTTAGGAATGTATAGAGCTTAACGCTTGCTTTCTTCTTCTTCCTCTACCTTTGGACCTGTATATGCGACGTCTGCAGTAATGTGCAGTGCTATCTGACATACGGTTGCTGAAAGATACAAGCATATATAGAATTCTTCGTTTCAGTGAATCTTTAGGAACAGACAAGTAACCTGAGAGATAATTACGGTATGAATGTAAGCAAGCAGTTTATCATAGAGGTACAATAAGGGTGAAAATAAATTTAAAAATACATGCCTCATCCAAAACATGAGGTAGTAAAAATGAAAAATTTAAGTTGGCATAAAGAACACTTTAAAAGTTCTGATTCTTTCTGGTGAGAGCAAGGAGCTCAGAAACCATGAGAAAGTCCTTCAAAGCTGCATGTTGGATTTGCAGGTCAGGATGGAAAGCCTGGGTCTGGGGGAGGGTGCTAAGGTCCTGGTCAGGTTGAGGTCCTTCTGGGGCTCAGGTGTGTCTCAGCGGGAAAGCTGGGAAGGGGAAACGCATGCTTCACCCCGGCTAGAATGCCACCTCAGCCCACCTAGATGAAATTGCCCCTTCACAGCCCTGTTTCTCCTTCTTGGACAGGCAGGTGGAGGAACTCGGCCACCCTGAATACAAGGGGTAGGAAGAAGTTTGCCTTTCATCACAACATTTACTTCGGAAACAAAGTGATGACTAAGGAGTATTGCGTTGGCATCCTCCCTGAGGAGTACAGGGGGTAGTACCTCGGGAGCTGGGCCTGGCGTGCGCCTTCCTGACTCGTCTCCCTCCAGGATACAGGGCGACTGGCTCCACTGCAGTCCAGTGGTTCTAGGGTCATGCAGGTGAAAGCCCGAGTTTCCCGCAGGTCACTGCCTGAGCTTCTTCAGCTGGTTGTCTGACTGTGAGGGCCCAGGTTACGGCACGATTGCTGAGGTGGGGCAGCTATGGGGCATCATGGCAAAGGACCTTCTTCGACATTCCTTGGCATCGGAGGAATTGGCTTTGAACCAGAACCTGACCTGTCACGACCAATTTGCCCAGTCCACCAGATCATCAGCCAGGGCCTGTGGCTCTATATTCTGCAGCACTACCCAAGGGAGTTAGGCCCTCAGAGAGGGAACAGAGAAGAGGCCAGGGAAGCAGCCCAGGGCTGGGGGTTGACAGGCCTGTGGGTCCTGGAGTTAGGACACACATAGAGAAGCCAAGGCTCAGGGAGGAGACTGCAGTAAGGAAACTCAGGCCATCATGGGCTGGTGGAGAAATGCCCATCAGGGAACTGTGGTACCCACATTTCACGATGGGGGAACCGTAATCTGCTTAATAGGCACAAGTAGCTAAGGTCAATGGGTGGGAAGCCAGGGTCAAGAGATAGCTGCCTCATCATCCCTTGCTAGCTACTTCCCTGTCCTGAGGCTTGCTTCTACCTGGGGTTCAGTTTGGGCTCAACCAGGGATCTCTCACCCTCCACACAGATGCCCACCTGAGGCCTCTCTAGGTCTGCGTCCTCCCAGAATGACTCTCCCAGGCCTGCTAAGTACCGTTTGGATGACACCACGCTCCACTGACATACTTGGTTCCCTCCGCCATCCTCATTCACCCAGCAACTCCCCACCCCAAAAAAGGCAGGCCACCGCACAGGGAATCTGGAGGACCACACAGGGCTCACAGGGGAGGAAATGTGAAGAGATGGCAAAACAGAACAGGACATTCCGTGTGTTTCCAGAAGGCAATCTGGCTGGATATTAAGGCCCACCTCAGTATTGGTGAGGACACCCAGTGTCTCTTGGCCCTGAGCTTGTGCACACAAACACGCACATTGTCTAAACGGCATTGACATCACTACTACCTGAGTCATCCTCAGATTCTATACAACCCCTGTAAAAATATCAATGACACATTCTTCTTAGAAAAACAATCTGGGAATCCCAAATTTGCTATGAAATGGCAGAAGATCCTGAAAACCCAGAGCAATCCAGTAAAAAGCACAAAGCTGGAGCCACCACACTACCTAACTTCATGATATACTACTACAAAACTTTTTGTACCAAAATACAATAGCACTGGCAGAAAAGCAGAGACTAGAGCTTAGGAAAAACAACAGGAGCCCAGAACTAAGTCACTGCATTTGCAGCTCACAGCCTTTTCCCAAAGAAGCAAGAACGCCCAATGCAAAATCAAGTATCTTCTATAAACTAGGTTGGGGAAATCTGAATAGCCACACAAAGGATTTTACAAGTGGATTATTTATCACCAAACTCCAGTGTCAGATGTGAAACGATAAAAATAGCAGAAGAGATCACAAGGAAGAAGCTCCATGGCGTCCGTGTGTGCAATGATGGTCTCAAAGTGACTGCAAGAACACAGTAAACACCATCAAAAATAGAGAATGGAATCATATCAAACTAAAGTGCTTCACCACACCATAGAAAACTCAACATACAGAAGGGGCATCCTACAGGATGGGAGCAATGATTGGATCACCATACATCTGTTCATGGGGGAATAGTCACAGTACATAAGGAACTCCCAACAACTCAATAGCATGAAAACAAATGGGCGAAGGCTGCGAAGACTCATTTGTGAAACTGAGACATACAGTTGCCCAGAAGACACACTAAAAATTCCTCATTATCCCCAATCCATCACGAAAATGCAAATCAAAAACACAATGAGATTTCTTCTCACTTCAGTCAGAATGCATATTATCCGAAAGACAAACAAACAAAAAAAAAAAAGAAAGAAAAGAAAACCCTAATCTCTGGTGAGGAGGCAGAGAAAACGAATTCCCTGCTCACTTTTGGGGAGAATGTAAATTAGTGCTGGCATTAAAGAAGCTTTATGGCTCTTATTTAAGTATAAACAGCCTTCAGAAATCTACAAGTAGAACCACCCACTATATGATCCAGCAAATCAGAATACCCGGGCACGCCCGCCAGTACACAGATCAGTATGTTGAAGCGGTGCGCGCACCCATGCAATTATTGCTGCACTCATTACATTTTTGCTGTAGCCAAAATGCGGAAGCAACCTGAGAGTCCCTCCATTGATAAGTGGATTAAAAAATGGGGCAAAAACGCATATGCGCAACGGAAATATGCGCTGCAATAAGAAATCAGGAAATCCTGCCAGTTGTGAGAATGTGTGGGAATCTGCTGAATGTGTGCATGCCATTCTGTTAAGTGACATAAGCCAGGTATCAGAAAGGAAAGTAGCACATGATCTCATTCTTATATGAAATCAAAAAAGCGGACTTCACAGAAGTAGTGACTCCAATGACTGCGGTGAAGAGGGTGCACTGACGAGATGCTGGATGAAGAACTCATACTTCTAGTTATAAAGGAGGAATAGGTTAAAAATATTTTCTTCAGCATGCTCACTATAACTAGTGGTAACATATTCTTTCTCTAAAAATATTCGAATACAGTGCAGGTCAAGTTTTTTCACAACAAAAATGACAACTATGTGAGGTCACACATATGTTGATTGGCTGGATGTATCCAATGCATAATGTATATGACCTGTTGAACATCACGCCTTAAGTTGTAAATATGTATCATTTCATATGACATTTTTTAAACAAACATACAATTTTTAAAATGCCTTAACAAAATAAATGCAAATAAAATATTTTATTATAAAGCAGTGCTTTTCTTTTCTAGCAAAGTCTTTTTCATGACACAGGAAAGAATGCAAGCCGTTTCGTAACTTGAGAAATAAATACATATGTGTACATGTATATATATACGTATATACATGTATATACGTATATAAATGTGCATATATACGTATATACATGTATATACGTATATATGTGTGTACATAGGTATTCTTATATAGGTATATATATATATATATATATATATATGAAAATCCCAATGAATGCTGATGATGAGTTGAAAGATAGAAATTCCAGGCACAGAGGCTATAGTCCATGAATTGAAACCTTCAGTGCATGTTTCAAAACAAGACGTGAGGAGGAGGAAGAAAAAAGCAAAAAACACAAAGCCATGGCAGGGCCATGGGTCACACCTGTCATCCCAGCACTTTGATAAGCTGAGGTGGGAGGATTGCCTGCACTCAGGAGTTCCAGATGAGCCTGGGGCAACATGGACCCACATTCAAAAAGTAAGTATTTAGTTAATTAATACATAGCTTGGAGGGGTGGCATGCACCTGTACTGCCAGGTGTGTGAGAGTCTGAGTTGACAGGATCACATGGGTGTGTGGTGCCTGGGCTGCAGTGGGCTGAGATCGTGGGGCTGCTGTCCAACCTAGAAGACAGAGTAAGACCCATTCTCGGAAAACAAACAAAAAAACAGTCACATTAGGTAAATTAAAACTATGTAGTGTGAGGAGAATCAAAATAAACGAAACATCATTAGAGCCTACGCGATGTGATGAAGGAAACCAGCTTTCACATAATAACAGCCCCGGCTGGGGAGAACAATGAGAAAGGGCAGAGAGAACCCTGTAAATAATACCACGCCAAATTCCCCAAATGAGTTAAAACACATAAAAGTACGAAGAGTGCTTCTTTTCAATTCAATGCCCTTGAATTCAGAATTAGAAAGTAAACCCAGATAGAGAATAGAAACATAGACGATACAGATGGAGAGAGTGTGGTGGGGAAGCAAGGGAAGGATGAAAGGAGGGGTGTAAAGGAAGGAAAAGAAAAAAGGAAGGGAGAGAGAGTGACAGATGTTCAAAGACACAGATACAAAGTCTACAATGGTTGTAGAGATAGGCATGTGCAAATTGCCGCAGGGAGTGTGGAAAAATATCGGAACCACGGAGACATAGGTGGAGTCAGAGAAAATATACAAACCCGCACAGAGAAATAAACATACGCAACCACAAACACACACGTGCTACTTTAAACACGAAAAGACACCAAGTCCCTGTCGGTACAAATCACAGATGTGCTTCCGAGTTACTGAGGCACGGTGCAAATTTGTCAGTGCCCTTAGCATCTGTGGCCCACGTGCACGGATATTCAGTGGAAGAAGCATTACACAGCCTGTATAATTCAGCACGATCTGTGATAATACCAGAAGAAGGGATCTCATGTGAAATCACTAGACTGAATTGCACGTAGGATTCAAGCAAGAAGCCCAGTCTGCTGCATCGACTCCGTGGGGTGGCAATATGGCTGAGCCACCAACCCATGGCACGCCCATCCATCGTAGACAGCTCCTGGTTTGCTACCTGCCTTGGAAAAACCTCCTCCCCTACCACCACTTTAAAAAAGGCTAGCTCCAAAACTAGCCCTGGCATCTATTTACGGTCATTTTCTTATCTATTTACCTCCTAGAAAAATCATTGCAAGACCCTTTCCTCAACATTTTCCTATGCCTTAAATTTGGGGCAACACGTTTTAAGACGACCTTGTTATAGGCAAGTCCCCAGACGTTTCCTAATCTGAGTTGCCCAGAGTGCACACACCAATCTGTTGCCCCATTGCCGCTATAGGGATACCGTACTGGACCACAGTGTCTTTGACATGCACACAGTAGGATAGAGGGCAGCTTGAGGGGGCCAAAGTGTTCCGACTGTTTTCAGAATAATTTGCTTAGAACACCTGTTTCTCCTGTGTTTGTGGGTCAGGGGGACGGTAGTCAGAGGAGGACAAGACTCCCGCTCCAGAGCTTCAGAGGTCTGCATAGGAGCAGGGACAAAACCGGGCGATAGATTTTCAAAGCTCAACTGCTTTGACACCGAGCAGGAGGGGTAGAATGCATATTGCAGGCACCACAACAGATTCAGGAACTTTGACTGTCAAACCCTCTTCCCTGAAACAACATAGCTCTTCTCACAGAAGCTGTGCTGACCAGAGTCTATACGGGACAGCAATGTTAGCACTCTAGTAGCGTGTGGTCAACATGGATGCTCGTGTTGGAACTGTTTCATCTGGGAACAGGAAAGAAAGTTCTGCCTCCGACACTGAAATCCTCCTGCCCCATCCTTGACAGAGGCAACCCCTTGTCTTGTGCAGACACACGTGTTCCTGGGAAGCAGCCTCCCACTCGCGAATGAAAGCTGTATGTTTTGTCCTCCTGTGTGAGGCTTGCAAAACATATTCCGCAACTATATTCGCTTTACGTTCTAAACCTTAGGCAAACTATGCTGAAGAGGCCACAGAAAATTTAGGGGCCCTGGGTCCAGATACAATCTGCAGTGCCAATCACGAGGGAGAATAGAGCCTCACTAGACTTTGCAAGAGCACAAAATGCACTCGTACTGTTGTTAGCTACATACGTTATTGGCTCCTCACCTAACACAGAATCTTGGAGAAAAGCTTAAAACAACTAAAGATGTAAACATCAACAAGAGTGTCCATATCCTGGGTCATCAAGTGACAAGAGAGTCCATGGATGGATTCTCCAACAATCTTATATTCCACTAATCCACCCCCTTTCCCCTCACTTCTGTAAGTTTCTGTTTTCCCTTAGTCATCTCTGCCAAAAGCGTATCCTGAATGCCTTCCCACATGCCTCTATCACCTTTCCCACAGTCCCTCCATACACCTTACATGCCCATTTCTTCTCACGTTGATGTTTCAGAAGTCCTGAGAGGCTGATTGTCCCAGAAAAGGATCATGCATTCACCTTTAAAAGAACATGTGGATTCAACACGAAAGCGAACTTTAAGATTTCCATCATCCTGTGCTTAGCTACTGTGTATGATGATACCCAAAATGAAGGATTTTGGAGGTCCCAGCAAACTGGGCCCTGGAAACCCAGTAACCCCTTTCCTTGAACTATCTCTGCTTCCATAGGACGAAGTCAGCCTCCAACTAAGCTGTCTTTTGCTTTTACCTCTCCCACTCTGTCCTGTAGGAAGAATCCCAACACATCCCACACCCATTCACTCTACAACTTTAGAGGCCCAGCTCCAACGCAGACTGGTTATTTCCATGAAGAGAATAAAGCACGTGGATTGATCAATTCATTATGACACCCGAATAAAGTGGATAAACATACACACACACACACACACACACACACAAACACAAAGACACACACACACACACAGACACAGAGTCACACATCCTTGAGAATGTTTATTTTTCATTCCATACAATCCACATTTACCCCCTCTTCCTGAATTTTTGTGACTCGATCTCTTTTTCCTTTAGTTCCTGTGCATAAGACCATGCTGAGTACTGCCGTCCTGCATATGGCTGTAACTTTTTAGGAGTTCTGCTGTATTAGGTAAAATCTGATGCTCCATCATATTCAACTCAACAACTGGGAGTCCCCTAGAGAAACACAAACTCATGTTAAAACGCATTTTCTCTGAGCCATACTTTGAAATGTTTCAATTGTGGGGCCCGCTGAGAAAAGGATATCCCTTCCCCATTTGTGATCCCTTAAACTTCCTCCTACCACGTGTTACAAACTGTTCTGCGCAATCCCTGCCCCATTCCCAGTATTGTCTGTGAGGGGAGTCAGCTAACAAGATGCACTGGGCCCTAAAAGCACACACAAGTCTGATGGGGCAACAGCTTAAGGAAATCCATCAATCTAAACAGTCCTTTGTGGTTTGGGGCAAGGATGACCAGGACGCACATTCAGGGAGCCCAATCTCATGGGGTTGGCGGGATGACTGCCGGTGGGGTTGACAGCCGTGGAATCAAGTGCCACAGACTGAACTGAATGATTTTCAGCTTTACTTCTCATTGATTCTGGAAATGGACGATTCTTCACTGGGCTTAAGACTCCACAGCTATCACCCGCTTTGCAGTGCAGTCTCTAACGTGCCTTTTCAGCCCAATGCCATGAACGTCCTGGATTCTGTCACTCTCTGTCTTCCTCTCAAGGAATTTCTACATGTACGAAAGGAGCCTCAATTTCTACATTTCTGAAATGAGCACCCAGGCTCCCTGAATAGGCAGGTGTGTCAACCCCCTTATACTGGGCATCAAACAGCTCCAGTGCCAACTAACGGCTCACCTGACGTCTCTGTTCCCTCTTCAGGTGGCTTCATCCTCTTGTAGTATTGCAGGGGATTGCGCCACAGGTCCTTACATAGGATCTGTCAGGGGACTCAATCGGGAAAGGCCTCATCAGGGCTCAGAAAGGTGACCCAAGCAGCTGGGAACACACGGGGTCATTCCTCATGTTTCCCAGTGAGGACTCACCTCAGCAATCTTGTTAGATCCTGCGAAGTTGTGGTCAGAGAACCAGTTGAAGAAGTTAAGGCTGCTGTTGTGGTGTCTGCGGCGATAGGCCTCCACTTCATAATCCGGATACCACTCAATTGGAGTGGAATGAGAAGCCCTGTATTCTACAGAGACAGGAGTTTTTGTGGGAAGGGGGCTGGATCCCGTTGGCAATGATCCACCCACCATCTTCCTTCCACTACCCATCCTGGGAGCCACCTGTCACCTGTGATGTTCACCAGATATTCCTTGGTAATCACTTTATTCTGGAAGTAGGGGTTACTCCGAAAGAACAACATGATCTTGCAGAGATGAACAGGATGCTTCTCTTCTTCCACCTGTCAGGACAAGGTGGAGAAAGCTTAGATAGGTTTTCGGGTGAGGTGCTCACTCTTGCTTACAGGAATGAATTATTTCCCTTACCCTCCCCCGCTAAACCCTCTAGCCCCAGTCTTCCTGGCCTCACCTCCAGGCTGACCATGTAGCTCAGCATGTCTTCATCTTCGTCAGTGATCAGGGCTGACATCTGGGGGTGGTTTGCAATCTGATTTAGGTCAAAGAGACTTTACACACGATGGAAGGGAAAGCGAGGAGCAACAGGGAAGAAGGCCTAAGAGCACCCAGAGGCTGGGGTAGGGGATTTCTCAGATCTGCTTCCATGTATGATCTCCTTTCGCCTCCCCCTCCCCGTAAACTAAGGCCTCCTGTGTTCACAGAGGGTGTATGATTCTGAGGCTGACTGCACTGACATGGGGAGGCGCGATTTGCAGAGACTTGCTGGTGTCTGAGGAGTGGCAGAATCTGCTTATAGCCGAAGACGCCCAGTCCCAGATCGGACTAGCAAGGGGCAGCAATCACACTCCCTTAAAAATAGCTTCATTCACTGAAAAACCTCTTCCGCTCTGAACTCGCTTCTGCTCTTCAAAAAGATGCCCCAAACGTCTGCTGCTCGGCATCACCAAGGGTTTCTCTGCCGCATGCAGGACAATAGTACCCACGCCTGCTCCGGCTTTCCACAGCCACATTGGTCCGTGGCAACTCCCCTTTGTTCCCCAAAGAGTCACATCGACGCCGAGCTGCCCATCGGTCACTTACACTTCCCCGAGAGCACCTCTCCACTAGAAAGGCCGAAGAAACACTGAGAAGGATACAACATTGGCCCAGAAGCCAGGGACGCTCTGGATGACGGCGCCTCTGCGGTCTAGGTGGGGCTTGCGCCTCCGCTCCATCTTTTCCCGCTGCCGAGAAAAGGCCTTCCTGGCTTGGGCATTAACCGGCTCCAGCTCCACCTGAACGGCCAGCAGCTCCTCCAGTGCAGACTCTGGGGTCATGGGCCCAGGGCCAGGCACAGCCTGCTGTGCCCGCTGGGCCTCCTCCCGCCGCTCCACGAGGCCCTCCTCCTCCGCCACCACCTCCACCTCCGCCACCACCTCCACCTCCGCCATTATGTCATCCAACAGCAGCACCGCCTCCTCCCCCAAAGCCGCCTGCTCACTCTCCACCCCGGCCGCCCCCTCCTGTACAGCCTCCATCCTGAAGGCGGTGCCCTCCTTGGCACTCGCACACACCAAGGCCTGTGCTGCCCGACCCACGCCACAGAAACCCTGCCGCAGCCTCTCTGGCACCCGGTAGGTCAGCGAGCCCTCAGGGCGCATGCGCCGGGCTTCCAGGCGCCCCCTAAGGGACTGCGCGCGAAGGGCCGGGGGGCCGCACCCAGGCCGACTTCCTCCCGTCGTGGCCAGTCAATGGGAGGGCGGTGGGCGTCTCCCTGGGCGGCACAGCCACTGGCGGGCCTGCATCTCCAGCCCCCCCAACCCCCGCCTTCCCTGCCCAAGCCTCCTCCGAGAAGCCCTTGGAGCTTGTGCCGGGTAGCTAGGCATCCGGGCACACGCGGGCTGCGTGGCCTTTGGAATTGTGGGCATGGCAGCCCTGTGCCCTGACATCCTCAGTGTGGCAAGCCATGAACATCTCTATGTGTCATGAACACAGGAAACATCTCTCTTCGTTAGGCAGGCCAGGTAGATGGTACGGAGGTAATACAGCAGATGCAGAGAACTCTCTCTGGTTGCTGGGGCTAGGGCGGCAGGGGTGTCCTGGGGGAAGTGATCGGGGCGGGCACGTGGGAGGAAAGTCGCCTGCCGGTGCTGAGGTGGAATTGATCTGCTGTAGAGGCCAGAGCCCCGGCACACACTCTCACAGGTCGAGGCAAATAGAGGCTCCGAGTACCATGCTTCCTCCCTGAGGATGCTGTACTCCAAGGAGCATTCCAAAGGGCCTCTTGTCCTATGCCCTGGGCACACCAGAGGCCAGCCGCCAGGGTTGGCCATTGTCGGCCTGCGCGCACGCTGTTGTGCGCTGCCTTGACGACCCAGAGGCTCCCGCACCCGCAGCAGCGGTTGCGGTGCCTGTTGGTGGGGCTCTGCAAGCCCAGGGCCGGGGCCTCTGGCTCCCGAGCTCCTGTGCGCAGTTGAGCCTGCTGGGGACCGGAGCCCTTTGGCCAGTGCGGGATCTGCGGGTCCAGCGGAGCTCCTCAGGAAACCTGGGTCCACGTAGGTGTGGGACCAGGTTCACAGCAGGGCGACGCCCGTGGGTCTTGCAGGGAGCGGGTCTGCTGGGGAGCGGGCCCCCAGAGCCTACGGGTGCGGGGCATGGGCTGGGCTGGGCTGGGCTGCGCAGGCCCAGGGTCTGTGGGAGCACCCAGGAGAAAACCGTGTTCAGGCTGGAGGCAATGCTGGAGAGGACGGCCGGGGTACAGAGCAAGGAGGCGGCCTTGGAAGAGGAGGCGGTGCTGAAGGTGGAAGACATCATGGCTGAGGTGGAGGTGGTGGTTGAGGTGGAGCCCGACGTGGGGTGGCAGAAGGAGGGCCAGCGGGCACAGCCTGGCCCTGGACCGAGCACACCGGGGCCGTCAATGGACTCGCTGGAGGTCCTTCACTTGGAGCTGGGCTCCGTGAATGCCCCAGGCCACAGAGCATCTCCGCCTTGTGAGCCAGAGCCATATCCTTGCGGCTGCCGATTTGGGATGGCGGGCAGCAGGGGATAGTCATCGGGCCTCGGGGGGTATGGGGGCTGTTTGCGGGGAGGAGCCAGGTGGGAGGCACGTGGGGTCAGCCAGGAGGCAGGGGATGGGGGACAGCGTGGGAGCCGAGGCCACGTTCCCGCAGCTGTGAGGGCAGCTCGCTTGTAGCAGCCCTGGGAGCACGTGGTAGGGAAGGGGAGCCAGGGCCAGCACTGACAAGGGAGAATCGCGGCGCCAAGGTCCCTTTGCGCACAGCCCAAATTCGAAGGACGCGTTTCCCTGGGAACGTCCCTGGAGGACGGGGAATCTGTATGCCATTACCAGCCATTGAACCACCCCTGCTCTCGGTGCCTGTTTCCAGCAGGCTCACCCCAGAAACGCAAGGTGCTTAAGACGGGTTCGCGGCGCATGGGGCTGCCGACCACCTGACGGCGGGCACCAGCTCCGCAGATGCGCATTCATCCAACTGCAGGCGCTGCACTCAAAGGCGTGTAGGCCCTGAGCCTGTATAACTTCCTCTGGACCCACGCAATTCCCTTGGAGAGCGCCAGGCACGACCCTGCTGTGGCTTCTAACTACAAGGCTTCCCTCAGGTGGACAGGCCCACCCCTCAGGGAGACTAGGATAAGAGGACACCACACACCCGGACATCAGCGGAGCATGTCCAGCACCCAGCACACAAAGGCCTCCTGCATCTCAGAAACTCAGAGAAGCAGCCGCCTCACACCACCCCCGGCCCCTCCCGTCCCTCAGCTGCAACCACCTGCCCACTTTTTCTGCCTCCCGTCTCTGGTCAGCCCAGGCCGTCTTGGCCGGGGTCCACCCACTCCAAAAACCACCACAGTTGTGGCGTTGCCTCCTCGCCAGACAGAGATAGAGGGCCAACAATGAAGGGTGACTGGCCAAATGTCTGGGAGATGGCCCTGTTCCACATTGTCTGTGTTCTTGCGAAATTGCAAGGCGTCACGAGGCTTGCCCACCCAATCCTCTGGAGAGTTCTTGCGCAGAGGTAGATTGTTTGGCACACGAGATGTCGGCGTGGGTCGGAAAGCATGCGGAAGTCCTGCTTTGCTACGTGATGGATTTGCAGGTCAGGCTGGGGAGCCTGGGTCTGTGGGAGGAGTCCAGTGTCTGAGTCAGTTTGAGGTCCCCCTGGGGACCAGGGTTGTCTCAGTGGGAGAGCTGGGAAGGGGAAACTCATGGTTCACTACAGCTAGTAGGCCACCTCAGCCCGGCTAGTTGAGATGGTCCCATTGAATCCATCCTCTTTCTCCTTGATCCGGCAGGTGGAGGAACTCAGCCATCCCGGTTACCGGTGGCAGGATGATTTCCTTTCATCCCAACCTTTATTTCCACAGTGAAATCATCATGAAGGAGCACTGTGTTGGCATCCTCGGTAAGGAATGCCTCCCAGCATGGTAGGGGAGCTGGTGTGTGGGAGGGTGGGACTGGCATGAACCTTCCTGACTCCTCTCCCTGCAGGCTACAGGGTGTCTCATTCCACTGCAGTCCAGCGGTTCTGGGATCACGAAGGTCAAGCCTCCAGCTGCAGGCAGTACACCTCCTACCTGAGCTCATTCAGCTGTTTGGCTGAACATGACTGCCCGGGTTTTGGCAGGATTGCTGAGGTGGGGTTCGCCGTGGGGCATCATGGGAAAGGACCTAGCTGGTCATTCCTTGGTCTCTGGGGAATTGGCTTTGAACTGTCACCTGAACTGTCCTGGACCCACTTCTGCAGTCCCCTAGATCATCAGCCAGGGCCTATGGCTCAATCCATTGCAGTTCTATCCCATGGAGAGAGGGTCAGCCCTAGAGGCGGAACAGAGAGGAGGCCAGGCGAGCAGCCTAGGGCTGGGAAGGGCTGGGAACTGAGAGGCCTTTTGACCTGGATCTGGGCCCCACATGGAGAACCCAAGGATCCGGGAGGAGACTGCAGTGAGCAATCCCAGGCAATCCGTGGGTTGGGGGAGAGAGGCCCATCAGGGACATGTAACACCCACATTTCAGGATCGGGGCACCTTAAGCCACTATGATGCATATGTGGCTAAAGTCAGTGGGTGACAAGCAGGGCTTAAGGGATAGCTGTCTCATCATTACTCGCCAGCTCCCTGCCCTGCGGTAAGACCTGCTACCACCTGGGGCTCATTTTGAGATCAACCAGGGCC
Source organism: Homo sapiens (assembly GCF_000001405.40). Lineage (NCBI taxonomy): Eukaryota > Metazoa > Chordata > Mammalia > Primates > Hominidae > Homo > Homo sapiens. Next base: position 282,482 of record NW_025791821.1, on the reverse strand, counting down.
CCCTTTTTCTCCACGAGGATGTCCACCTGAGGCCCACCTAGGTCTGTGTCCTTTCACAGTGTTTCTCCCAGGCCAGTCATGTTTTGTTTCCATGACCCCGGCTGCCTTGACATGTGTAATCCTCTCTGCCATCCTCACTCCCGCTGCCCTGCCTTCCCATATAAGTTAGTCCACCTCACACGGAATCTGGAGGACCACACTGGGCTCCAGTGTGAGGCAATGTTTTATTTTCTTCAGGTACATGTATTTTAGGGCTACCTCCAGGGCTGGGAATGTGAAGAGATTGCCAAATGGCTGGGGACCTTCAGTGTGTGTCCAGGGAGGGAACCCGGCTGGGAATTAAGGCCCACCTGAGTAATGGTATGGACATCCAGTGTCAGTTATCTTGATAAAGGCCTGCTTTCTTACATCACCTACTATTAATATAAAAGTTAATTCCTTAGAATATTGAAAAAACAAATCTATGTATGAAGAAATATAATTTGTTCATAATTGTATGGAAAAAGCTGCCGACCGATCCATTTTCCATTACAATTCTTATGGGAGACTTGAAGGGTTTAGCAAGTTTTAAGATGCATTTCTATTCGTCTACTCCTGCCAGTTTTTATGATCATTTTTGTAATACAAGGACATGGCCTCTGGAAAGTTTTTGAGGGACTTTCAGCTTCTTTTAGGGTAGATACTTGTAAATTTTGAATTGTTTTCCCCTGCAGTTCTTTTGAGGTTACTCTTTGTACTTTCTTTGGGGGGTGTTAAATTTGTTTTCTTCTTTTGCCCTTGTGGAACTTTCGTTTTCAAGGAATTGTGTGTGTGTGTGTGTGTGTGTGTGTGTGTGTGTGTGTGTGTGTTAGATATGGGAGTTAGCCTGTGAGCATGTTTTCGAATATGGATTTTTTTTTTACTTATCAATTTTGGGGTGTGTGTGTGTGTGTGTGTGTGTGTGTGTGTGTTTGTTTCTTTTCAGTTGGAGTCTCACTGTGTCATCCAGGCTGCAGTCAAGTGGCAAACTCTCAGATCACTGCAACCTCTCCCTCCAGCTTCAAAGGATTCCTCTGCCTGCTGATGCTGCTTTTCCCCCACATGAGGAGAACATGCAGACAGTTATAAAAAATTCTGTGCCTGGGTAGGTATGAAAATATAATTTCAATGAATGGTAAATTTCACAAATACAGTTTCACATTTGTATTTTGCAACATTTTGAAAATTTTAGTTGCTGACACATGAAATTCTGTGTTGACTTTCATGTTAAATGTACACTTTTGAATCAATTTCAACAGTGACAACTAGCGAAGGCCAAGCGTTAGTTCAGGAAGCTGAAAGCAGTCGTTCTGTAAAAAAAACCATATTTATTGAAGGTATATTTAGAGAGATTTTAGAAGGCTTCAGTCAATATTTTTGTTTCTGTTGCTCTGGTGTTTTATCATACAGGGACCAGACTGTAGCATCAGTAGCTATAGTTACAAGGCTACCAAAGACTCAGTGCTATAGAAATTATTATTGTGGAAATTGGCAGCCTGGCTGTCTGTTTGAGGAGACTAGAGGACTTAGGAGTTTCCACCCAAAGTACAAGGGCCTGGTTTAGTGGGTGGCCTTCTTTTGCTGAAGTAGATAAGATCCAGGAGAAGGGTGGATTCACTGTAGTAGCCAGGGCTTTGAGACTGGTAAAGCTTATTTGTCTCCTAGTGCCATTGCCAGATATTGGTCTGTGCATAAAGGCACTTCCCGGACTCGCTGACTCCTGTAAATTCAAATGTAGAATTTAGATTTAAATCCCTATTCCAACTTCTTAAACTTAGATCTAATAGGTGGGTAATAAAATATGTATTCAGAAGAAAGGGAGACGTCAGGTAGGTATATAAGCAAATCATCCTGGTCAAATACCTTCAAAAATATTACTACAAAAAATTACTGAAGATTAAACCTTAAAAAAGTTATTTTAATTGGAGAAACAGAAAAAGGTTGGAGTCATTTTAAACCCTGAGGTGTAAAGGTACTGTTATTAGATTACAGGAATTATATACAATGAATAATTTGTGGGAAGAGCAGCATACTATCTCTTTAGTATGGCTAGAGATTCATAAGCCGTGTAAGAAAACTCAGAGATTGAGAAGAAAATGTTTTCAGGGATTTTGTTCTGTTATGAAAGACTTTTAAAATGGTTTCCTACTGATCAATGATTCACTTATATTTATCACTGAGGCATATGCTATATACCCTTCTATATAGGGATGAAGTTATAGTTTCTATCATGTAGATACAAAAACATGTGACTCTGTACCACATTTGCATTAGAGCCTTTGGCATGATTAATGAAGCAAACGGTGGAACTGTCTACGTCAGGTTACAGGTGGGCACAGCTGGAAGCTTCCGTCCCTTGCACTTTAACATTTCTGCATTCTCATCTGTCTCTCCTGGAAAGAAAACGGACTATAACTATCCTAAAGGACATATGTTACATGAAGACACTAAGTATTGAGATAAGACCATGAGTTGTCTTATCAGTGTCTTGGCATTACATTTATATGTATAACTTATACAAAAAATCCAGTTTATTTTATCACGATTACATATTACATCCCACATTTATGTATTTTATTATCTTTCCAGTGACTGTTTTGTTTTGTTTTGTTTTGTTTTGTTTTGAAATCTCGTTCCACTCTGTCACTCAGTCTGGAATGCAGTGGCCTGATCTCAGCTCACTGCAACCTCCATCTCTTGGGTTCAAGGATTTTAAAAATTAGTAAAGAATTTTCAATTGAGTTAGCAGAAGTAAAAATAAACTTAAGTGGAAATAGAACAACAAAATTGTAAACACTATTTCTCAGCAATTCATAGATTATCATACTAGGAATTGAAATGTACTTAGAACTCAATGATACCGCCAATATTAAAGATTAAATCTGTGAGTAGCAAGAAAAGTGATATTACAATAGGAGTTTACAGACAAATATTTCTCTAATAACTTGAAAATTAATGTACTAGATATTTCAATAAAGAATTAGAAAAGAAACAACAGAATCAATTCTGAAAAACTAAAGTGTGGGAATAATGATGTAGACAAAATTAGTAAAACATACAAAGCTAACCTTTGCTTGTTGGAGAAATATAATAAATGATGCAACCGTCAGTCAAGTTTAGAAAAAAAGGGAGAAAACATAGATAAAACTAAGAATTTAAAAGGTACACAACCATAGATACAGCATAGATTAAGAAGCTAATAAGGAAATATCGTTAACACCTTAACCTACAAATTTGAAAACTTAGATCAAATAGACAGATATTTATAATCTGTCTATATATATAGACATATATATCGCTTTCTATATATATTTTCATATTTATACATAATTTTTATATTTGTATCTTACATTTATATATATAATATATAAACATAAGCTATGTATATAGCTTAGTAAAATTGATACAAGAAGACATATATAATCTGTATAGTCTCATAAATGTTCAAGGAAATAAAGGATTCTTCCTAGAGATAAAACGCTAGGCTCAGATTTTTTTCCCCAGGCAGAGCATTTCAATATATATGAAGAATTCTATAGAATAAAAAAGGGAAAATCCTAAACTCATTGTGTGAAGCAAGCAGAACTTTGACGCCAACAAGCCATAAACTGAGTGTAGAAAAAGATATGAAAATTAAGGCCATTCTCATTCCTGAAGCAAATCGTAAAATCCCAAATGTAACAAGATTTATGTGGATTCTTTGAGGGTTAGAAGGAAATTTCCTTCTGCCAGATCCTGCTACTCTGGGACAACCCACACACAAATTTATGTTTTGAGATTTTCTGTAATACCCATGCAATATGGAACTGGCTTGACAATCTGTGTGATAGCCAGCCTGTGGCCATGACTTCTCAGGGACACAAATCTTTTCTGTTTGCCTCCTTGTTCTGCTCAGCTCCAAGAGAACTTTGACCAAAGTTCCTTGAGCTTGGAAATAGGAATGGGTTTGCTTCTGTTTCACCCTTACTGTGAAGATACAGTCCGGTGGAATCCAGATCCACTGGGAGAGAGTCGGCTATTAAACTCTTTTCATGAGTAGTCCCTAGGCCTTGACTGGAGTCTTTCTTGAGATATGAGGCTAATAGTTCCTTCTTGGTCCACCACTTTTTGATATAATTAATGCTTCTTCTATTGGGAATTTTTAATTGTTTGGGAAGTGACATGGTTTGGTGTGTCTCCATTCAAATCTCAGCTTCAATTGTATCTCCCAGAATTCCCTCGTGTTGCGGGTGGGACCCAGGGGGAGGTAATTGAATCATGGGGGTCGGTCTTTCTCATGCTATTCTTGTGACAGTGAAGAAGTCTCACGGGATCTGATGGGTTTTTCAGGGGTTTCTGCCTCAGGTTCTTCCTCATTCTCTCTTGGCATTGCCATGTAAGAAGTGCCTTTATTCGTATACCATGATTCTGAGGCCTCCACAGCCATGTGGAACTGTCAGTCCAATTAAACCTCCTTTTATTCCCAGTTTCAGGTATCTCTTCTTCAGCAGCGTGAAAATGAACTAAGACAGGAGGTTTGGTCCAAATAACCTTGGCTTCCATGATAGAAGATAGAAGTTGCTGAAATGTTTAATCTTTTCTGTGGCAACCTTTTGCAGTGGGTCTTATTTTTCTCATTTTTTTTTCTTGTTCTCTTCACCTTTGTTTCTCACAGGGTACTCTCGCTCTGTAGACCAGGCTGGAGCGCAGTGGCAGGATCTCAGCTCAACACATCCTCCGCCTCCCAGGTTCAGCCTCTGCAGTAGCTGGGATTACAAGCATGCATCACCACGCTCAGCTAATGTTTTGTATTTTTAGTAGAAGCCAGGCTTCACCATGTTGGCCAGGCTGCTCTCCTACTACAGATCTCAGGTGACCCGCCCGACTCAGCTTCCCAAAATCCAAAGTGCTGGGAATACAGGTGTGAGCCACCGAGCCCAGCCAACTCCAGTATTTTTTACCTAAGCCAGTGGACGAGTGGAGTTGCCTTTATTTTTTTTTTCATGGTCTCGCTGTGTCATCCAGGCTGGAGTGCAGTAGTCTGATCTCGGCTTACTATACAATCTCTGCCACCCATGTTCAGGTGGTTCTCCTACCTCAGCCTCCCAAGTAGCTGGGACCACAGGAAAGTGCCACTAGGTCTGGCTAATTTTTGTATTTTTGGTAGAGACAGCTTTTTGCCATGTTGCCCATGCTAGTCTCCAACTCCTGACCTCAAGTGACCCACCAACCTCGGCCTCCCAAAATGTAGAAATTACAACAAGAGCCACGAAGCCTGGCCTGGAGTTGTGGCTTTTTGACATAAGAAATCTGTGGAGGGAAAAGCTTGGTTTGTGGGAGCACCTGAGCTCAGTTTGGCTCAAAGGTTTGGGATACCTATTATTGAGTGGCAGTGATGGTATGTTGTTAATGTACAATATCTTCCTGTATATAGCATACGTCTATGCTCATCAGATATTTTCAGGTAAAAAAAGATAGTCTTTCCAGTAGTTTGAGCCATTATAGCAATTTCCACCAGGGGATTTCAAAGTCCAATTCCAGTTGTGGGCAACAGTGATTAACATAATGGTAATTAATGAGAAGAGATTTTGAGACGTCCAGCCACGTTTCCATGTCAGTGCCTTGTTTGCAGTATTATGAAGAAAGAGTGCATTGGACTAGATACTAAGAAAAACATTGAATTATTTTTCTTGCCTCTATAACATCAAAGGACAATTAGAGATATAGAAACTATGGAACATTTCACAGCATGGCTTGACATTTCACTGAACTTTTATCCTTTTAACCATGTACAAAGTTTGTTACCTATGCAAAGGTAGGACTGCAAAAGGAAGACAGAGGTGGAGTCAGAGGTCACAATCCACAGCAAGGTGACACTCTTGTTGATCGCACCTTGAAAGCCAAATTAGAGCGAGAATTAACTTTCCGGTTGCCGTAAGAGAACAAGGAGAATGAAGCTACCAGCAGTTAACAGTATTGGATTAATTGAAATGAAGGTGGACAGAGTTTTTTGGCTTTCCATCAAATTGAGTAAAGAAAAGGTAACCGCTTATCTAATTTCACACACATACAATTATGGATTAATTAAAAGATTACACAACCCATATATTATGGGTTTCTCATTTAAGTGTATATATACATGGGCAAACTCACAGTGTGCCAGTATGTGTCTATATCCAAATATATACAAATCCATGTCCAACAGTTAGCAAGTGAGAAATTCTCTTCCATTTCACCATTCCCTTTCCTAGAATTTTTTCATAAATATAATTTTTCCATATATTTGAAGCCTACTCTCTGGAGGCATGTAATGCATGCATGCAGTAAACCTGTGCGATATCACAATGTTGGTGTCAGAGAAAACTATAACACCGATGTTATAAAAGATTAATTGTGAGGAGAAAGTTATGCTTCGCATTACTACAAATACACAAGTATGATTTCATCCAAAGCTGAAATCAGTCAATATAATTTGTTTTTAATGTTTTATTTAAAATCCTTAATTTCAACAGGATTACTCAAGAAAAATAACGTTATTGGTATTAAATAATGTTGATGTATTCCCTTTAATTGTTGATTATTTAAAATGTCAGTAAAATAGTAAATGGCACTGTACAATGTAGTTTCATGAAGCATTCTTTATAGTTTTCATAAAATTGATAGTCTCCATGGAATATTTTAAGACTGAGGAAGTTCCATATATCATTTGATTGTACTTTCACTTTATTACTTGCTTGCATGTCATAACTGATGGAAATAAAACTATGTATATTTACAAATATGAAAAACATGGACTTTTGTTTACGTTTTCTAGTGAGACACAGTTACCAATAATTTTATCTATATAGGAAAATTTTTACAAACCCAAAGTTCTAATGTTTCTTTTCTTTGAAGTTTCGTATTTCAGTCTAGGTATGTAATGGAATTGGCTGTGATCATTCTTTGATTTCACTGTTATTTGTGAGTTTCTGATATGCTTTTAGGAATGTATAGAGCTTAACGCTTGCTTTCTTCTTCTTCCTCTACCTTTGGACCTGTATATGCGATGTCTGCAGTAATGTGCAGTGCTATCTGACATACGGTTGCTGAAAGATACAAGCATATATAGAATTCTTCGTTTCAGTGAATCTTTAGGAACAGACAAGTAACCTGAGAGATAATTACGGTATGAATGTAAGCAAGCAGTTTATCATAGAGGTACAATAAGGGTGAAAATAAATTTAAAAATACATGCCTCATCCAAAACATGAGGTAGTAAAAATGAAAAATTTAAGTTGGCATAAAGAACACTTTAAAAGTTCTGATTCTTTCTGGTGAGAGCAAGGAGCTCAGAAACCATGAGAAAGTCCTTCAAAGCTGCATGTTGGATTTGCAGGTCAGGATGGAAAGCCTGGGTCTGGGGGAGGGTGCTAAGGTCCCGGTCAGGTTGAGGTCCTTCTGGGGCTCAGGTGTGTCTCAGCGGGAAAGCTGGGAAGGGGAAACGCATGCTTCACCCCGGCTAGAATGCCACCTCAGCCCACCTAGATGAAATTGCCCCTTCACAGCCCTGTTTCTCCTTCTTGGACAGGCAGGTGGAGGAACTCGGCCACCCTGAATACAAGGGGTAGGAAGAAGTTTGCCTTTCATCACAACATTTACTTCGGAAACAAAGTGATGACTAAGGAGTATTGCGTTGGCATCCTCCCTGAGGAGTAGAGGGGGTAGTACCTCGGGAGCTGGGCCTGGCGTGCGCCTTCCTGACTCGTCTCCCTCCAGGATACAGGGCGACTGGCTCCACTGCAGTCCAGTGGTTCTAGGGTCATGCAGGTGAAAGCCCGAGTTTCCCGCAGGTCACTGCCTGAGCTTCTTCAGCTGGTTGTCTGACTGTGAGGGCCCAGGTTACGGCACGATTGCTGAGGTGGGGCAGCTATGGGGCATCATGGCAAAGGACCTTCTTCGACATTCCTTGGCATCGGAGGAATTGGCTTTGAACCAGAACCTGACCTGTCACGACCAATTTGCCCAGTCCACCAGATCATCAGCCAGGGCCTGTGGCTCTATATTCTGCAGCACTACCCAAGGGAGTTAGGCCCTCAGAGAGGGAACAGAGAAGAGGCCAGGGAAGCAGCCCAGGGCTGGGGGTTGACAGGCCTGTGGGTCCTGGAGTTAGGACACACATAGAGAAGCCAAGGCTCAGGGAGGAGACTGCAGTAAGGAAACTCAGGCCATCATGGGCTGGTGGAGAAATGCCCATCAGGGAACTGTGGTACCCACATTTCACGATGGGGGAACCGTAATCTGCTTAATAGGCACAAGTAGCTAAGGTCAATGGGTGGGAAGCCAGGGTCAAGAGATAGCTGCCTCATCATCCCTTGCTAGCTACTTCCCTGTCCTGAGGCTTGCTTCTACCTGGGGTTCAGTTTGGGCTCAACCAGGGATCTCTCACCCTCCACACAGATGCCCACCTGAGGCCTCTCTAGGTCTGCGTCCTCCCAGAATGACTCTCCCAGGCCTGCTAAGTACCGTTTGGATGACACCACGCTCCACTGACATACTTGGTTCCCTCCGCCATCCTCATTCACCCAGCAACTCCCCACCCCAAAAAAGGCAGGCCACCGCACAGGGAATCTGGAGGACCACACAGGGCTCACAGGGGAGGAAATGTGAAGAGATGGCAAAACAGAACAGGACATTCCGTGTGTTTCCAGAAGGCAATCTGGCTGGATATTAAGGCCCACCTCAGTATTGGTGAGGACACCCAGTGTCTCTTGGCCCTGAGCTTGTGCACACAAACACGCACATTGTCTAAACGGCATTGACATCACTACTACCTGAGTCATCCTCAGATTCTATACAACCCCTGTAAAAATATCAATGACACATTCTTCTTAGAAAAACAATCTGGGAATCCCAAATTTGCTATGAAATGGCAGAAGATCCTGAAAACCCAGAGCAATCCAGTAAAAAGCACAAAGCTGGAGCCACCACACTACCTAACTTCATGATATACTACTACAAAACTTTTTGTACCAAAATACAATAGCACTGGCAGAAAAGCAGAGACTAGAGCTTAGGAAAAACAACAGGAGCCCAGAACTAAGTCACTGCATTTGCAGCTCACAGCCTTTTCCCAAAGAAGCAAGAACGCCCAATGCAAAATCAAGTATCTTCTATAAACTAGGTTGGGGAAATCTGAATAGCCACACAAAGGATTTTACAAGTGGATTATTTATCACCAAACTCCAGTGTCAGATGTGAAACGATAAAAATAGCAGAAGAGATCACAAGGAAGAAGCTCCATGGCGTCCATGTGTGCAATGATGGTCTCAAAGTGACTGCAAGAACACAGTAAACACTATCAAAAATAGAGAATGGAATCATATCAAACTAAAGTGCTTCACCACACCATAGAAAACTCAACATACAGAAGGGGCATCCTACAGGATGGGAGCAATGATTGGATCACCATACATCTGTTCATGGGGGAATAGTCACAGTACATAAGGAACTCCCAACAACTCAATAGCATGAAAACAAATGGGCGAAGGCTGCGAAGACTCATTTGTGAAACTGAGACATACAGTTGCCCAGAAGACACACTAAAAATTCCTCATTATCCCCAATCCATCACGAAAATGCAAATCAAAAACACAATGAGATTTCTTCTCACTTCAGTCAGAATGCATATTATCCGAAAGACAAACAAACAAAAAAAAAAAAAGAAAGAAAAGAAAACCCTAATCTCTGGTGAGGAGGCAGAGAAAACGAATTCCCTGCTCACTTTTGGGGAGAATGTAAATTAGTGCTGGCATTAAAGAAGCTTTATGGCTCTTATTTAAGTATAAACAGCCTTCAGAAATCTACAAGTAGAACCACCCACTATATGATCCAGCAAATCAGAATACCCGGGCACGCCCGCCAGTACACAGATCAGTATGTTGAAGCGGTGCGCGCACCCATGCAATTATTGCTGCACTCATTACATTTTTGCTGTAGCCAAAATGCGGAAGCAACCTGAGAGTCCCTCCATTGATAAGTGGATTAAAAAATGGGGCAAAAACGCATATGCGCAACGGAAATATGCGCTGCAATAAGAAATCAGGAAATCCTGCCAGTTGTGAGAATGTGTGGGAATCTGCTGAATGTGTGCATGCCATTCTGTTAAGTGACATAAGCCAGGTATCAGAAAGGAAAGTAGCACATGATCTCATTCTTATATGAAATCAAAAAAGCGGACTTCACAGAAGTAGTGACTCCAATGACTGCGGTGAAGAGGGTGCACTGACGAGATGCTGGATGAAGAACTCATACTTCTAGTTATAAAGGAGGAATAGGTTAAAAATATTTTCTTCAGCATGCTCACTATAACTAGTGGTAACATATTCTTTCTCTAAAAATATTCGAATACAGTGCAGGTCAAGTTTTTTCACAACAAAAATGACAACTATGTGAGGTCACACATATGTTGATTGGCTGGATGTATCCAATGCATAATGTATATGACCTGTTGAACATCACGCCTTAAGTTGTAAATATGTATCATTTCATATGACATTTTTTAAACAAACATACAATTTTTAAAATGCCTTAACAAAATAAATGCAAATAAAATATTTTATTATAAAGCAGTGCTTTTCTTTTCTAGCAAAGTCTTTTTCATGACACAGGAAAGAATGCAAGCCGTTTCGTAACTTGAGAAATAAATACATATGTGTACATGTATATATATACGTATATACATGTATATACGTATATAAATGTGCATATATACGTATATACATGTATATACGTATATAAATGTGCATATATACGTATATACATGTATATACGTATATATGTGTGTACATAGGTATTCTTATATAGGTATATATATATATGAAAATCCCAATGAATGCTGATGATGAGTTGAAAGATAGAAATTCCAGGCACAGAGGCTATAGTCCATGAATTGAAACCTTCAGTGCATGTTTCAAAACAAGACGTGAGGAGGAGGAAGAAAAAAGCAAAAAACACAAAGCCATGGCAGGGCCATGGGTCACACCTGTCATCCCAGCACTTTGATAAGCTGAGGTGGGAGGATTGCCTGCACTCAGGAGTTCCAGATGAGCCTGGGGCAACATGGACCCACATTCAAAAAGTAAGTATTTAGTTAATTAATACATAGCTTGGAGGGGTGGCATGCACCTGTACTGCCAGGTGTGTGAGAGTCTGAGTTGACAGGATCACATGGGTGTGTGGTGCCTGGGCTGCAGTGGGCTGAGATCGTGGGGCTGCTGTCCAACCTAGAAGACAGAGTAAGACCCATTCTCGGAAAACAAACAAAAAAACAGTCACATTAGGTAAATTAAAACTATGTAGTGTGAGGAGAATCAAAATAAACGAAACATCATTAGAGCCTACGCGATGTGATGAAGGAAACCAGCTTTCACATAATAACAGCCCCGGCTGGGGAGAACAATGAGAAAGGGCAGAGAGAACCCTGTAAATAATACCACGCCAAATTCCCCAAATGAGTTAAAACACATAAAAGTACGAAGAGTGCTTCTTTTCAATTCAATGCCCTTGAATTCAGAATTAGAAAGTAAACCCAGATAGAGAATAGAAACATAGACGATACAGATGGAGAGAGTGTGGTGGGGAAGCAAGGGAAGGATGAAAGGAGGGGTGTAAAGGAAGGAAAAGAAAAAAGGAAGGGAGAGAGAGTGACAGATGTTCAAAGACACAGATACAAAGTCTACAATGGTTGTAGAGATAGGCATGTGCAAATTGCCGCAGGGAGTGTGGAAAAATATCGGAACCACGGAGACATAGGTGGAGTCAGAGAAAATATACAAACCCGCACAGAGAAATAAACATACGCAACCACAAACACACACGTGCTACTTTAAACACGAAAAGACACCAAGTCCCTGTCGGTACAAATCACAGATGTGCTTCCGAGTTACTGAGGCACGGTGCAAATTTGTCAGTGCCCTTAGCATCTGTGGCCCACGTGCACGGATATTCAGTGGAAGAAGCATTACACAGCCTGTATAATTCAGCACGATCTGTGATAATACCAGAAGAAGGGATCTCATGTGAAATCACTAGACTGAATTGCACGTAGGATTCAAGCAAGAAGCCCAGTCTGCTGCATCGACTCCGTGGGGTGGCAATATGGCTGAGCCACCAACCCATGGCACGCCCATCCATCGTAGACAGCTCCTGGTTTGCTACCTGCCTTGGAAAAACCTCCTCCCCTACCACCACTTTAAAAAAGGCTAGCTCCAAAACTAGCCCTGGCATCTATTTACGGTCATTTTCTTATCTATTTACCTCCTAGAAAAATCATTGCAAGACCCTTTCCTCAACATTTTCCTATGCCTTAAATTTGGGGCAACACGTTTTAAGACGACCTCGTTATAGGCAAGTCCCCAGACGTTTCCTAATCTGAGTTGCCCAGAGTGCACACACCAATCTGTTGCCCCATTGCCGCTATAGGGATACCGTACTGGACCACAGTGTCTTTGACATGCACACAGTAGGATAGAGGGCAGCTTGAGGGGGCCAAAGTGTTCCGACTGTTTTCAGAATAATTTGCTTAGAACACCTGTTTCTCCTGTGTTTGTGGGTCAGGGGGACGGTAGTCAGAGGAGGACAAGACTCCCGCTCCAGAGCTTCAGAGGTCTGCATAGGAGCAGGGACAAAACCGGGCGATAGATTTTCAAAGCTCAACTGCTTTGACACCGAGCAGGAGGTGTAGAATGCATATTGCAGGCACCACAACAGATTCAGGAACTTTGACTGTCAAACCCTCTTCCCTGAAACAACATAGCTCTTCTCACAGAAGCTGTGCTGACTGGAGTCTATACGGGACAGCAATGTTAGCACTCTAGTAGCGTGTGGTCAACATGGATGCTCGTGTTGGAACTGTTTCATCTGGGAACAGGAAAGAAAGTTCTGCCTCCGACACTGAAATCCTCCTGCCCCATCCTTGACAGAGGCAACCCCTTGTCTTGTGCAGACACACGTGTTCCTGGGAAGCAGCCTCCCACTCGCGAATGAAAGCTGTATGTTTTGTCCTCCTGTGTGAGGCTTGCAAAACATATTCCGCAACTATATTCACTTTACGTTCTAAACCTTAGGCAAACTATGCTGAAGAGGCCACAGAAAATTTAGGGGCCCTGGGTCCAGATACAATCTGCAGTGCCAATCACGAGGGAGAATAGAGCCTCACTAGACTTTGCAAGAGCACAAAATGCACTCGTACTGTTGTTAGCTACATACGTTATTGGCTCCTCACCTAACACAGAATCTTGGAGAAAAGCTTAAAACAACTAAAGATGTAAACATCAACAAGAGTGTCCATATCCTGGGTCATCAAGTGACAAGAGAGTCCATGGATGGATTCTCCAACAATCTTATATTCCACTAATCCACCCCCTTTCCCCTCACTTCTGTAAGTTTCTGTTTTCCCTTAGTCATGTCTGCCAAAAGCGTATCCTGAATGCCTTCCCACATGCCTCTGTCACCTTTCCCACAGTCCCTCCATACACCTTACATGCCCATTTCTTCTCACGTTGATGTTTCAGAAGTCCTGAGAGGCTGATTGTCCCAGAAAAGGATCATGCATTCACCTTTAAAAGAACATGTGGATTCAACACGAAAGCGAACTTTAAGATTTCCATCATCCTGTGCTTAGCTACTGTGTATGATGATACCCAAAATGAAGGATTTTGGAGGTCCCAGCAAACTGGGCCCTGGAAACCCAGTAACCCCTTTCCTTGAACTATCTCTGCTTCCATAGGACGAAGTCAGCCTCCAACTAAGCTGTCTTTTGCTTTTACCTCTCCCACTCTGTCCTGTAGGAAGAATCCCAACACATCCCACACCCATTCACTCTACAACTTTAGAGGCCCAGCTCCAACGCAGACTGGTTATTTCCATGAAGAGAATAAAGCACGTGGATTGATCAATTCATTATGACACCCGAATAAAGTGGATAAACATACACACACAGACACACACACACACACAAACACAAAGACACACACACACACACACAGACACAGAGTCACACATCCTTGAGAATGTTTATTTTTCATTCCATACAATCCACATTTACCCCCTCTTCCTGAATTTTTGTGACTCGATCTCTTTTTCCTTTAGTTCCTGTGCATAAGACCATGCTGAGTACTGCCGTCCTGCATATGGCTGTAACTTTTTAGGAGTTCTGCTGTATTAGGTAAAATCTGATGCTCCATCATATTCAACTCAACAACTGGGAGTCCCCTAGAGAAACACAAACTCATGTTAAAACGCATTTTCTCTGAGCCATACTTTGAAATGTTTCAATTGTGGGGCCCGCTGAGAAAAGGATATCCCTTCCCCATTTGTGATCCCTTAAACTTCCTCCTACCACGTGTTACAAACTGTTCTGCGCAATCCCTGCCCCATTCCCAGTATTGTCTGTGAGGGGAGTCAGCTAACAAGATGCACTGGACCCTAAAAGCACACACAAGTCTGATGGGGCAACAGCTTAAGGAAATCCATCAATCTAAACAGTCCTTTGTGGTTTGGGGCAAGGATGACCAGGACGCACATTCAGGGAGCCCAATCTCATGGGGTTGGCGGGATGACTGCCGGTGGGGTTGACAGCCGTGGAATCAAGTGCCACAGACTGAACTGAATGATTTTCAGCTTTACTTCTCATTGATTCTGGAAATGGACGATTCTTCACTGGGCTTAAGACTCCACAGCTATCACCCGCTTTGCAGTGCAGTCTCTAACGTGCCTTTTCAGCCCAATGCCATGAACGTCCTGGATTCTGTCACTCTCTGTCTTCCTCTCAAGGAATTTCTACATGTACGAAAGGAGCCTCAATTTCTACATTTCTGAAATGAGCACCCAGGCTCCCTGAATAGGCAGGTGTGTCAACCCCCTTATACTGGGCATCAAACAGCTCCAGTGCCAACTAACGGCTCACCTGACGTCTCTGTTCCCTCTTCAGGTGGCTTCATCCTCTTGTAGTATTGCAGGGGATTGCGCCACAGGTCCTTACATAGGATCTGTCAGGGGACTCAATCGGGAAAGGCCTCATCAGGGCTCAGAAAGGTGACCCAAGCAGCTGGGAACACATGGGGTCATTCCTCATGTTTCCCAGTGAGGACTCACCTCAGCAATCTTGTTAGATCCTGCGAAGTTGTGGTCAGAGAACCAGTTGAAGAAGTTAAGGCTGCTGTTGTGGTGTCTGCGGCGATAGGCCTCCACTTCATAATCCGGATACCACTCAATTGGAGTGGAATGAGAAGCCCTGTATTCTACAGAGACAGGAGTTTTTGTGGGAAGGGGGCTGGATCCCGTTGGCAATGATCCACCCACCATCTTCCTTCCACTACCCATCCTGGGAGCCACCTGTCACCTGTGATGTTCACCAGATATTCCTTGGTAATCACTTTATTCTGGAAGTAGGGGTTACTCCGAAAGAACAACATGATCTTGCAGAGATGAACAGGATGCTTCTCTTCTTCCACCTGTCAGGACAAGGTGGAGAAAGCTTAGATAGGTTTTCGGGTGAGGTGCTCACTCTTGCTTACAGGAATGAATTATTTCCCTTACCCTCCCCCGCTAAACCCTCTAGCCCCAGTCTTCCTGGCCTCACCTCCAGGCTGACCATGTAGCTCAGCATGTCTTCATCTTCGTCAGTGATCAGGGCTGACATCTGGGGGTGGTTTGCAATCTGATTTAGGTCAAAGAGACTTTACACACGATGGAAGGGAAAGCGAGGAGCAACAGGGAAGAAGGCCTAAGAGCACCCAGAGGCTGGGGTAGGGGATTTCTCAGATCTGCTTCCATGTATGATCTCCTTTCGCCTCCCCCTCCCCGTAAACTAAGGCCTCCTGTGTTCACAGAGGGTGTATGATTCTGAGGCTGACTGCACTGACATGGGGAGGCGCGATTTGCAGAGACTTGCTGGTGTCTGAGGAGTGGCAGAATCTGCTTATAGCCGAAGACGCCCAGTCCCAGATCGGACTAGCAAGGGGCAGCAATCACACTCCCTTAAAAATAGCTTTATTCACTGAAAAACCTCTTCCGCTCTGAACTCGCTTCTGCTCTTCAAAAAGATGCCCCAAACGTCTGCTGCTCGGCATCACCAAGGGTTTCTCTGCCGCATGCAGGACAATAGTACCCACGCCTGCTCCGGCTTTCCACAGCCACACTGGTCCGTGGCAACTCCCCTTTGTTCCCCAAAGAGTCACATCGACGCCGAGCTGCCCATCGGTCACTTACACTTCCCCGAGAGCACCTCTCCACTAGAAAGGCCGAAGAAACACTGAGAAGGATACAACATTGGCCCAGAAGCCAGGGACGCTCTGGATGACGGCGCCTCTGCGGTCTAGGTGGGGCTTGCGCCTCCGCTCCATCTTTTCCCGCTGCCGAGAAAAGGCCTTCCTGGCTTGGGCATTAACCGGCTCCAGCTCCACCTGAACGGCCAGCAGCTCCTCCAGTGCAGACTCTGGGGTCATGGGCCCAGGGCCAGGCACAGCCTGCTGTGCCCGCTGGGCCTCCTCCCGCCGCTCCACGAGGCCCTCCTCCTCCGCCACCACCTCCACCTCCGCCATTATGTCATCCAACAGCAGCACCGCCTCCTCCCCCAAAGCCGCCTGCTCACTCTCCACCCCGGCCGCCCCCTCCTGCACAGCCTCCATCCTGAAGGCGGTGCCCTCCTTGGCACTCGCACACACCAAGGCCTGTGCTGCCCGACCCACGCCACAGAAACCCTGCCGCAGCCTCTCTGGCACCCGGTAGGTCAGCGAGCCCTCAGGGCGCATGCGCCGGGCTTCCAGGCGCCCCCTAAGGGACTGCGCGCGAAGGGCCGGGGGGCCGCACCCAGGCCGACTTCCTCCCGTCGTGGCCAATCAATGGGAGGGCGGTGGGCGTCTCCCTGGGCGGCACAGCCACTGGCGGGCCTGCATCTCCAGCCCCCCCACCCCCCCGCCTTCCCTGCCCAAGCCTCCTCCGAGAAGCCCTTGGAGCTTGTGCCGGGTAGCTAGGCATCCGGGCACACGCGGGCTGCGTGGCCTTTGGAATTGTGGGCATGGCAGCCCTGTGCCCTGACATCCTCAGTGTGGCAAGCCATGAACATCTCTATGTGTCATGAACACAGGAAACATCTCTCTTCGTTAGGCAGGCCAGGTAGATGGTACGGAGGTAATACAGAAGATGCAGAGAACTCTCTCTGGTTGCTGGGGCTAGGGCGGCAGGGGTGTCCTGGGGGAAGTGATCGGGGCGGGCACGTGGGAGGAAAGTCGCCTGCCGGTGCTGAGGTGGAATTGATCTGCTGTAGAGGCCAGAGCCCCGGCACACACTCTCACAGGTCGAGGCAAATAGAGGCTCCGAGTACCATGCTTCCTCCCTGAGGATGCTGTACTCCAAGGAGCATTCCAAAGGGCCTCTTGTCCTATGCCCTGGGCACACCAGAGGCCAGCCGCCAGGGTTGGCCATTGTCGGCCTGCGCGCACGCTGTTGTGCGCTGCCTTGACGACCCAGAGGCTCCCGCACCCGCAGCAGCGGTTGCGGTGCCTGTTGGTGGGGCTCTGCAAGCCCAGGGCCGGGGCCTCTGGCTCCCGAGCTCCTGTGCGCAGTTGAGCCTGCTGGGGACCGGAGCCCTTTGGCCAGTGCGGGATCTGCGGGTCCAGCGGAGCTCCTCAGGAAACCTGGGTCCACGTAGGTGTGGGACCAGGTTCACAGCAGGGCGACGCCCGTGGGTCTTGCAGGGAGCGGGTCTGCTGGGGAGCGGGCCCCCAGAGCCTACGGGTGCGGGGCATGGGCTGGGCTGGGCTGGGCTGCGCAGGCCCAGGGTCTGTGGGAGCACCCAGGAGAAAACCGTGTTCAGGCTGGAGGCAATGCTGGAGAGGACGGCCGGGGTACAGAGCAAGGAGGCGGCCTTGGAAGAGGAGGCGGTGCTGAAGGTGGAAGACATCATGGCTGAGGTGGAGGTGGTGGTTGAGGTGGAGCCCGACGTGGGGTGGCAGAAGGAGGGCCAGCGGGCACAGCCTGGCCCTGGACCGAGCACACCGGGGCCGTCAATGGACTCGCTGGAGGTCCTTCACTTGGAGCTGGGCTCCGTGAATGCCCTAGGCCACAGAGCATCTCCGCCTTGTGAGCCAGAGCCATATCCTTGCGGCTGCCGATTTGGGACGGCGGGCAGCAGGGGATAGTCATCGGGCCTCGGGGGGTATGGGGGCTGTTTGCGGGGAGGAGCCAGGTGGGAGGCACGTGGGGTCAGCCAGGAGGCAGGGGATGGGGGACAGCGTGGGAGCCGAGGCCACGTTCCCGCAGCTGTGAGGGCAGCTCGCTTGTAGCAGCCCTGGGAGCACGTGGTAGGGAAGGGGAGCCAGGGCCAGCACTGACAAGGGAGAATCGCGGCGCCAAGGTCCCTTTGCGCACAGCCCAAATTCGAAGGACGCGTTTCCCTGGGAACGTCCCTGGAGGACGGGGAATCTGTATGCCATTACCAGCCATTGAACCACCCCTGCTCTCGGTGCCTGTTTCCAGCAGGCTCACCCCAGAAACACAAGGTGCTTAAGACGGGTTCGCGGCGCATGGGGCTGCCGACCACCTGACGGCGGGCACCAGCTCCGCAGATGCGCATTCATCCAACTGCAGGCGCTGCACTCAAAGGCGTGTAGGCCCTGAGCCTGTATAACTTCCTCTGGACCCACGCAATTCCCTTGGAGAGCGCCAGGCACGACCCTGCTGTGGCTTCTAACTACAAGGCTTCCCTCAGGTGGACAGGCCCACCCCTCAGGGAGACTAGGATAAGAGGACACCACACACCCGGACATCAGCGGAGCATGTCCAGCACCCAGCACACAAAGGCCTCCTGCATCTCAGAAACTCAGAGAAGCAGCCGCCTCACACCACCCCCGGCCCCTCCCGTCCCTCAGCTGCAACCACCTGCCCACTTTTTCTGCCTCCCGTCTCTGGTCAGCCCAGGCCGTCTTGGCCGGGGTCCACCCACTCCAAAAACCACCACAGTTGTGGCGTTGCCTCCTCGCCAGACAGAGATAGAGGGCCAACAATGAAGGGTGACTGGCCAAATGTCTGGGAGATGGCCCTGTTCCACATTGTCTGTGTTCTTGCGAAATTGCAAGGCGTCACGAGGCTTGCCCACCCAATCCTCTGGAGAGTTCTTGCGCAGAGGTAGATTGTTTGGCACACGAGATGTCGGCGTGGGTCGGAAAGCATGCGGAAGTCCTGCTTTGCTACGTGATGGATTTGCAGGTCAGGCTGGGGAGCCTGGGTCTGTGGGAGGAGTCCAGTGTCTGAGTCAGTTTGAGGTCCCCCTGGGGACCAGGGTTGTCTCAGTGGGAGAGCTGGGAAGGGGAAACTCATGGTTCACTACAGCTAGTAGGCCACCTCAGCCCGGCTAGTTGAGATGGTCCCATTGAATCCATCCTCTTTCTCCTTGATCCGGCAGGTGGAGGAACTCAGCCATCCCGGTTACCGGTGGCAGGATGATTTCCTTTCATCCCAACCTTTATTTCCACAGTGAAATCATCATGAAGGAGCACTGTGTTGGCATCCTCGGTAAGGAATGCCTCCCAGCATGGTAGGGGAGCTGGTGTGTGGGAGGGTGGGACTGGCATGAACCTTCCTGACTCCTCTCCCTGCAGGCTACAGGGTGTCTCATTCCACTGCAGTCCAGCGGTTCTGGGATCACGAAGGTCAAGCCTCCAGCTGCAGGCAGTACACCTCCTACCTGAGCTCATTCAGCTGTTTGGCTGAACATGACTGCCCGGGTTTTGGCAGGATTGCTGAGGTGGGGTTCGCCGTGGGGCATCATGGGAAAGGACCTAGCTGGTCATTCCTTGGTCTCTGGGGAATTGGCTTTGAACTGTCACCTGAACTGTCCTGGACCCACTTCTGCAGTCCCCTAGATCATCAGCCAGGGCCTATGGCTCAATCCATTGCAGTTCTATCCCATGGAGAGAGGGTCAGCCCTAGAGGCGGAACAGAGAGGAGGCCAGGCGAGCAGCCTAGGGCTGGGAAGGGCTGGGAACTGAGAGGCCTTTTGACCTGGATCTGGGCCCCACATGGAGAACCCAAGGATCCGGGAGGAGACTGCAGTGAGCAATCCCAGGCAATCCGTGGGCTGGGGGAGAGAGGCCCATCAGGGACATGTAACACCCACATTTCAGGATCGGGGCACCTTAAGCCACTATGATGCATATGTGGCTAAAGTCAGTGGGTGACAAGCAGGGCTTAAGGGATAGCTGTCTCATCATTACTCGCCAGCTCCCTGCCCTGCGGTAAGACCTGCTACCACCTGGGGCTCATTTTGAGATCAACCAGGGCCCCCTTTTTCTCCACGAGGATGTCCACCTGAGGCCCACCTAGGTCTGTGTCCTTTCACAGTGTTTCTCCCAGGCCAGTCATGTTTTGTTTCCATGACCCCGGCTGCCTTGACATGTGTAATCCTCTCTGCCATCCTCACTCCCGCTGCCCTGCCTTCCCATATAAGTTAGTCCACCTCACACGGAATCTGGAGGACCACACTGGGCTCCAGTGTGAGGCAATGTTTTATTTTCTTCAGGTACATGTATTTTAGGGCTACCTCCAGGGCTGGGAATGTGAAGAGATTGCCAAATGGCTGGGGACCTTCAGTGTGTGTCCAGGGAGGGAACCCGGCTGGGAATTAAGGCCCACCTGAGTAATGGTATGGACATCCAGTGTCAGTTATCTTGATAAAGGCCTGCTTTCTTACATCACCTACTATTAATATAAAAGTTAATTCCTTAGAATATTGAAAAAACAAATCTATGTATGAAGAAATATAATTTGTTCATAATTGTATGGAAAAAACTGCCGACTGATCCATTTTCCATTACAATTCTTATGGGAGACTTGAAGTGTTCGGCAAGTTTTAAGATGCATTTCTATTCGTCTACTCCTGCCAGTTTTTATGATCATTTTTGTAATACAAGGACATGGCCTCTGGAAAGTTTTTGAGGGACTTTCAGCTTCTTTTAGGGTAGATACTTGTAAATTTTGAATTGTTTTCCCCTGCGGTTCTTTTGAGGTTACTCTTTGTACTTTCTTTGGGGGGTGTTAAATTTGTTTTCTTGTTTTGCCCTTGTGGAACTTTCGTTTTCAAGGAATTGTGTGTGTGTGTGTGTGTGTGTGTGTGTGTGTGTGTGTGTTAGATATGGGAGTTAGCCTGTGAGCATGTTTTCGAATATGGATTTTTTTTTTACTTATCAATTTTGGGGGTGTGTGTTTGTGTGTGTGTGTGTGTGTGTGTTTGTTTCTTTTCAGTTGGAGTCTCACTGTGTCATCCAGGCTGCAGTCAAGTGGCAAACTCTCAGATCACTGCAACCTCTCCCTCCAGCTTCAAAGGATTCCTCTGCCTGCTGATGCTGCTTTTCCCCCACATGAGGAGAACATGCAGACAGTTATAAAAAATTCTGTGCCTGGGTAGGTATGAAAATATAATTTCAATGAATGGTAAATTTCACAAATACAGTTTCACATTTGTATTTTGCAACATTTTGAAAATTTTAGTTGCTGACACATGAAATTCTGTGTTGACTTTCATGTTAAAGGTACACTTTTGAATCAATTTCAACAGTGACAACTAGCGAAGGCCAAGCGTTAGTTCAGGAAGCTGAAAGCAGTCGTTCTGTAAAAAAAACCATATTTATTGAAGGTATATTTAGAGAGATTTTAGAAGGCTTCAGTCAATATTTTTGTTTCTGTTGCTCTGGTGTTTTATCATACAGGGACCAGACTGTAGCATCAGTAGCTATAGTTACAAGGCTACCAAAGACTCAGTGCTATAGAAATTATTATTGTGGAAATTGGCAGCCTGGCTGTCTGTTTGAGGAGACTAGAGGACTTAGGAGTTTCCACCCAAAGTACAAGGGCCTGGTTTAGTGGGTGGCCTTCTTTTGCTGAAGTAGATAAGATCCAGGAGAAGGGTGGATTCACTGTAGTAGCCAGGGCTTTGAGACTGGTAAAGCTTATTTGTCTCCTAGTGCCATTGCCAGATATTGGTCTGTGCATAAAGGCACTTCCCGGACTCGCTGACTCCTGTAAATTCAAATGTAGAATTTAGATTTAAATCCCTATTCCAACTTCTTAAACTTAGATCTAATAGGTGGGTAATAAAATATGTATTCAGAAGAAAGGGAGACGTCAGGTAGGTATATAAGCAAATCATCCTGGTCAAATACCTTCAAAAATATTACTACAAAAAATTACTGAAGATTAAACCTTAAAAAAGTTATTTTAATTGGAGAAACAGAAAAAGGTTGGAGTCATTTTAAACCCTGAGGTGTAAAGGTACTGTTATTAGATTACAGGAATTATATACAATGAATAATTTGTGGGAAGAGCAGCATACTATCTCTTTAGTATGGCTAGAGATTCATAAGCCGTGTAAGAAAACTCAGAGATTGAGAAGAAAATGTTTTCAGGGATTTTGTTCTGTTATGAAAGACTTTTAAAATGGTTTCCTACTGATCAATGATTCACTTATATTTATCACTGAGGCATATGCTATATACCCTTCTATATAGGGATGAAGTTATAGTTTCTATCATGTAGATACAAAAACATGTGACTCTGTACCACATTTGCATTAGAGCCTTTGGCATGATTAATGAAGCAAACGGTGGAACTGTCTACGTCAGGTTACAGGTGGGCACAGCTGGAAGCTTCCGTCCCTTGCACTTTAACATTTCTGCATTCTCATCTGTCTCTCCTGGAAAGAAAACGGACTATAACTATCCTAAAGGACATATGTTACATGAAGACACTAAGTATTGAGATAAGACCATGAGTTGTCTTATCAGTGTCTTGGCATTACATTTATATGTATAACTTATACAAAAAATCCAGTTTATTTTATCACGATTACATATTACATCCCACATTTATGTATTTTATTATCTTTCCAGTGACTGTTTTGTTTTGTTTTGTTTTGTTTTGTTTTGAAATCTCGTTCCACTCTGTCACTCAGTCTGGAATGCAGTGGCCTGATCTCAGCTCACTGCAACCTCCATCTCTTGGGTTCAAGGATTTTAAAAATTAGTAAAGAATTTTCAATTGAGTTAGCAGAAGTAAAAATAAACTTAAGTGGAAATAGAACAACAAAATTGTAAACACTATTTCTCAGCAATTCATAGATTATCATACTAGGAATTGAAATGTACTTAGAACTCAATGATACCGCCAATATTAAAGATTAAATCTGTGAGTAGCAAGAAAAGTGATATTACAATAGGAGTTTACAGACAAATATTTCTCTAATAACTTGAAAATTAATGTACTAGATATTTCAATAAAGAATTAGAAAAGAAACAACAGAATCAATTCTGAAAAACTAAAGTGTGGGAATAATGATGTAGACAAAATTAGTAAAACATACAAAGCTAACCTTTGCTTGTTGGAGAAATATAATAAATGATGCAACCGTCAGTCAAGTTTAGAAAAAAAGGGAGAAAACATAGATAAAACTAAGAATT
Organism: Homo sapiens; assembly: GCF_000001405.40. Lineage (NCBI taxonomy): Eukaryota > Metazoa > Chordata > Mammalia > Primates > Hominidae > Homo > Homo sapiens. The sequence continues at coordinate 258,996 of NW_025791821.1, read as the reverse complement.
TAAAAGGTACACAACCATAGATACAGCATAGATTAAGAAGCTAATAAGGAAATATCGTTAACACCTTAACCTACAAATTTGAAAACTTAGATCAAATAGACAGATATTTATAATCTGTCTATATATATAGACATATATATCGCTTTCTATATATATTTTCATATTTATACATAATTTTTATATTTGTATCTTACATTTATATATATAATATATAAACATAAGCTATGTATATAGCTTAGTAAAATTGATACAAGAAGACATATATAATCTGTATAGTCTCATAAATGTTCAAGGAAATAAAGGATTCTTCCTAGAGATAAAACGCTAGGCTCAGATTTTTTTCCCCAGGCAGAGCATTTCAATATATATGAAGAATTCTATAGAATAAAAAAGGGAAAATCCTAAACTCATTGTGTGAAGCAAGCAGAACTTTGACGCCAACAAGCCATAAACTGAGTGTAGAAAAAGATATGAAAATTAAGGCCATTCTCATTCCTGAAGCAAATCGTAAAATCCCAAATGTAACAAGATTTATGTGGATTCTTTGAGGGTTAGAAGGAAATTTCCTTCTGCCAGATCCTGCTACTCTGGGACAACCCACACACAAATTTATGTTTTGAGATTTTCTGTAATACCCATGCAATATGGAACTGGCTTGACAATCTGTGTGATAGCCAGCCTGTGGCCATGACTTCTCAGGGACACAAATCTTTTCTGTTTGCCTCCTTGTTCTGCTCAGCTCCAAGAGAACTTTGACCAAAGTTCCTTGAGCTTGGAAATAGGAATGGGTTTGCTTCTGTTTCACCCTTACTGTGAAGATACAGTCCGGTGGAATCCAGATCCACTGGGAGAGAGTCGGCTATTAAACTCTTTTCATGAGTAGTCCCTAGGCCTTGACTGGAGTCTTTCTTGAGATATGAGGCTAATAGTTCCTTCTTGGTCCACCACTTTTTGATATAATTAATGCTTCTTCTATTGGGAATTTTTAATTGTTTGGGAAGTGACATGGTTTGGTGTGTCTCCATTCAAATCTCAGCTTCAATTGTATCTCCCAGAATTCCCTCGTGTTGCGGGTGGGACCCAGGGGGAGGTAATTGAATCATGGGGGTCGGTCTTTCTCATGCTATTCTTGTGACAGTGAAGAAGTCTCACGGGATCTGATGGGTTTTTCAGGGGTTTCTGCCTCAGGTTCTTCCTCATTCTCTCTTGGCATTGCCATGTAAGAAGTGCCTTTATTCGTATACCATGATTCTGAGGCCTCCACAGCCATGTGGAACTGTCAGTCCAATTAAACCTCCTTTTATTCCCAGTTTCAGGTATGTCTTCTTCAGCAGCGTGAAAATGAACTAAGACAGGAGGTTTGGTCCAAATAACCTTGGCTTCCATGACAGAAGATAGAAGTTGCTGAAATGTTTAATCTTTTCTGTGGCAACCTTTTGCAGTGGGTCTTATTTTTCTCATTTTTTTTTTCTTGTTCTCTTCACCTTTGTTTCTCACAGGGTACTCTCGCTCTGTAGACCAGGCTGGAGCGCAGTGGCAGGATCTCAGCTCAACACATCCTCCGCCTCCCAGGTTCAGCCTCTGCAGTAGCTGGGATTACAAGCATGCATCACCACGCTCAGCTAATGTTTTGTATTTTTAGTAGAAGCCAGGCTTCACCATGTTGGCCAGGCTGCTCTCCTACTACAGATCTCAGGTGACCCGCCCGACTCAGCTTCCCAAAATCCAAAGTGCTGGGAATACAGGTGTGAGCCACCGAGCCCAGCCAACTCCAGTACTTTTTACCTAAGCCAGTGGACGAGTGGAGTTGCCTTTATTTTTTTTTTTCTTTTTTCAGTCATGGTCTCGCTGTGTCATCCAGGCTGGAGTGCAGTAGTCTGATCTTGGCTTACTATACAATCTCTGCCACCCATGTTCAGGTGGTTCTCCTGCCTCAGCCTCCCAAGTAGCTGGGACCACAGGAAAGTGCCACTAGGTCTGGCTAATTTTTGTATTTTTGGTAGAGACAGCTTTTTGCCATGTTGCCCATGCTGGTCTCCAACTCCTGACCTCAAGTGACCCACCAACCTCGGCCTCCCAAAATGTAGAAATTACAACAAGAGCCACGAAGCCTGGCCTGGAGTTGTGGCTTTTTGACATAAGAAATCTGTGGAGGGAAAAGCTTGGTTTGTGGGAGCACCTGAGCTCAGTTTGGCTCAAAGGTTTGGGATACCTATTATTGAGTGGCAGTGATGGTATGTTGTTAATGTACAATATGTTCCTGTATATAGCATACGTCTATGCTCATCAGATATTTTCAGGTAAAAAAAAGATAGTCTTTCCAGTAGTTTGAGCCATTATAGCAATTTCCACCAGGGGATTTCAAAGTCCAATTCCAGTTGTGGGCAACAGTGATTAACATAATGGTAATTAATGAGAAGAGATTTTGAGACGTCCAGCCACGTTTCCATGTCAGTGCCTTGTTTGCAGTATTATGAAGAAAGCGTGCATTGGACTAGATACTAAGAAAAACATTGAATTATTTTTCTTGCCTCTATAACATCAAAGGACAATTAGAGATATAGAAACTATGGAACATTTCACAGCATGGCTTGACATTTCACTGAACTTTTATCCTTTTAACCATGTACAAAGTTTGTTACCTATGCAAAGGTAGGACTGCAAAAGGAAGACAGAGGTGGAGTCAGAGGTCACAATCCACAGCAAGGTGACACTCTTGTTGATCGCACCTTGAAAGCCAAATTAGAGCGAGAATTAACTTTCCGGTTGCCGTAAGAGAACAAGGAGAATGAAGCTACCAGCAGTTAACAGTATTGGATTAATTGAAATGAAGGTGGACAGAGTTTTTTGGCTTTCCATCAAATTGAGTAAAGAAAAGGTAACCGCTTATCTAATTTCACACACATACAATTATGGATTAATTAAAAGATTACACAACCCATATATTATGGGTTTCTCATATAAGTGTATATATACATGGGCAAACTCACAGTGTGCCAGTATGTGTCTATATCCAAATATATACAAATCCATGTCCAACAGTTAGCAAGTGAGAAATTCTCTTCCATTTCACCATTCCCTTTCCTAGAATTTTTTCATAAATATAATTTTTCCATATATTTGAAGCCTACTCTCTGGAGGCATGTAATGCATGCATGCAGTAAACCTGTGCGATATCACAATGTTGGTGTCAGAGAAAACTATAACACCGATGTTATAAAAGATTAATTGTGAGGAGAAAGTTATGCTTCGCATTACTACAAATACACAAGTATGATTTCATCCAAAGCTGAAATCAGTCAATATAATTTGTTTTTAATGTTTTATTTAAAATCCTTAATTTCAACAGGATTACTCAAGAAAAATAACGTTATTGGTATTAAATAATGTTGACGTATTCCCTTTAATTGTTGATTATTTAAAATGTCAGTAAAATAGTAAATGGCACTGTACAATGTAGTTTCATGAAGCATTCTTTATAGTTTTCATAAAATTGATAGTCTCCATGGAATATTTTAAGACTGAGGAAGTTCCATATATCATTTGATTGTACTTTCACTTTATTACTTGCTTGCATGTCATAACTGATGGAAATAAAACTATGTATATTTACAAATATGAAAAACATGGATTTTTGTTTACGTTTTCTAGTGAGACACAGTTACCAATAATTTTATCTATATAGGAAAATTTTTACAAACCCAAAGTTCTAATGTTTCTTTTCTTTGAAGTTTCGTATTTCAGTCTAGGTATGTAATGGAATTGGCTGTGATCATTCTTTGATTTCACTGTTATTTGTGAGTTTCTGATATGCTTTTAGGAATGAATAGAGTTTAACGCTTGCTTTCTTCTTCTTCCTCTACCTTTGGACCTGTATATGCGATGTCTGCAGTAATGTGCAGTGCTATCTGACATACGGTTGCTGAAAGATACAAGCATATATAGAATTCTTCGTTTCAGTGAATCTTTAGGAACAGACAAGTAACCTGAGAGATAATTACGGTATGAATGTAAGCAAGCAGTTTATCATAGAGGTACAATAAGGGTGAAAATAAATTTAAAAATACATGCCTCATCCAAAACATGAGGTAGTAAAAATGAAAAATTTAAGTTGGCATAAAGAACACTTTAAAAGTTCTGATTCTTTCTGGTGAGAGCAAGGAGCTCAGAAACCATGAGAAAGTCCTTCAAAGCTGCATGTTGGATTTGCAGGTCAGGATGGAAAGCCTGGGTCTGGGGGAGGGTGCTAAGGTCCTGGTCAGGTTGAGGTCCTTCTGGGGCTCAGGTGTGTCTCAGCGGGAAAGCTGGGAAGGGGAAACGCATGCTTCACCCCGGCTAGAATGCCACCTCAGCCCACCTAGATGAAATTGCCCCTTCACAGCCCTGTTTCTCCTTCTTGGACAGGCAGGTGGAGGAACTCGGCCACCCTGAATACAAGGGGTAGGAAGAAGTTTGCCTTTCATCACAACATTTACTTCGGAAACAAAGTGATGACTAAGGAGTATTGCGTTGGCATCCTCCCTGAGGAGTAGAGGGGGTAGTACCTCGGGAGCTGGGCCTGGCGTGCGCCTTCCTGACTCGTCTCCCTCCAGGATACAGGGCGACTGGCTCCACTGCAGTCCAGTGGTTCTAGGGTCATGCAGGTGAAAGCCCGAGTTTCCCGCAGGTCACTGCCTGAGCTTCTTCAGCTGGTTGTCTGACTGTGAGGGCCCAGGTTACGGCACGATTGCTGAGGTGGGGCAGCTATGGGGCATCATGGCAAAGGACCTTCTTCGACATTCCTTGGCATCGGAGGAATTGGCTTTGAACCAGAACCTGACCTGTCACGACCAATTTGCCCAGTCCACCAGATCATCAGCCAGGGCCTGTGGCTCTATATTCTGCAGCACTACCCAAGGGAGTTAGGCCCTCAGAGAGGGAACAGAGAAGAGGCCAGGGAAGCAGCCCAGGGCTGGGGGTTGACAGGCCTGTGGGTCCTGGAGTTAGGACACACATAGAGAAGCCAAGGCTCAGGGAGGAGACTGCAGTAAGGAAACTCAGGCCATCATGGGCTGGTGGAGAAATGCCCATCAGGGAACTGTGGTACCCACATTTCACGATGGGGGAACCGTAATCTGCTTAATAGGCATAAGTAGCTAAGGTCAATGGGTGGGAAGCCAGGGTCAAGAGATAGCTGCCTCATCATCCCTTGCTAGCTACTTCCCTGTCCTGAGGCTTGCTTCTACCTGGGGTTCAGTTTGGGCTCAACCAGGGATCTCTCACCCTCCACACAGATGCCCACCTGAGGCCTCTCTAGGTCTGCGTCCTCCCAGAATGACTCTCCCAGGCCTGCTAAGTACCGTTTGGATGACACCACGCTCCACTGACATGCTTGGTTCCCTCCGCCATCCTCATTCACCCAGCAACTCCCCACCCCAAAAAAGGCAGGCCACCGCACAGGGAATCTGGAGGACCACACAGGGCTCACAGGGGAGGAAATGTGAAGAGATGGCAAAACAGAACAGGACATTCCGTGTGTTTCCAGAAGGCAATCTGGCTGGATATTAAGGCCCACCTCAGTATTGGTGAGGACACCCAGTGTCTCTTGGCCCTGAGCTTGTGCACACAAACACGCACATTGTCTAAACGGCATTGACATCACTACTACCTGAGTCATCCTCAGATTCTATACAACCCCTGTAAAAATATCAATGACACATTCTTCTTAGAAAAACAATCTGGGAATCCCAAATTTGCTATGAAATGGCAGAAGATCCTGAAAACCCAGAGCAATCCAGTAAAAAGCACAAAGCTGGAGCCACCACACTACCTAACTTCATGATATACTACTACAAAACTTTTTGTACCAAAATACAATAGCACTGGCAGAAAAGCAGAGACTAGAGCTTAGGAAAAACAACAGGAGCCCAGAACTAAGTCACTGCATTTGCAGCTCACAGCCTTTTCCCAAAGAAGCAAGAACGCCCAATGCAAAATCAAGTATCTTCTATAAACTAGGTTGGGGAAATCTGAATAGCCACACAAAGGATTTTACAAGTGGATTATTTATCACCAAACTCCAGTGTCAGATGTGAAACGATAAAAATAGCAGAAGAGATCACAAGGAAGAAGCTCCATGGCGTCCGTGTGTGCAATGATGGTCTCAAAGTGACTGCAAGAACACAGTAAACACCATCAAAAATAGAGAATGGAATCATATCAAACTAAAGTGCTTCACCACACCATAGAAAACTCAACATACAGAAGGGGCATCCTACAGGATGGGAGCAATGATTGGATCACCATACATCTGTTCATGGGGGAATAGTCACAGTACATAAGGAACTCCCAACAACTCAATAGCATGAAAACAAATGGGCGAAGGCTGCGAAGACTCATTTGTGAAACTGAGACATACAGTTGCCCAGAAGACACACTAAAAATTCCTCATTATCCCCAATCCATCACGAAAATGCAAATCAAAAACACAATGAGATTTCTTCTCACTTCAGTCAGAATGCATATTATCCGAAAGACAAACAAACAAAAAAAAAAAAGAAAGAAAAGAAAACCCTAATCTCTGGTGAGGAGGCAGAGAAAACGAATTCCCTGCTCACTTTTGGGGAGAATGTAAATTAGTGCTGGCATTAAAGAAGCTTTATGGCTCTTATTTAAGTATAAACAGCCTTCAGAAATCTACAAGTAGAACCACCCACTATATGATCCAGCAAATCAGAATACCCGGGCACGCCCGCCAGTACACAGATCAGTATGTTGAAGCGGTGCGCGCACCCATGCAATTATTGCTGCACTCATTACATTTTTGCTGTAGCCAAAATGCGGAAGCAACCTGAGTGTCCCTCCATTGATAAGTGGATTAAAAAATGGGGCAAAAACGCATATGCGCAACGGAAATATGCGCTGCAATAAGAAATCAGGAAATCCTGCCAGTTGTGAGAATGTGTGGGAATCTGCTGAATGTGTGCATGCCATTCTGTTAAGTGACATAAGCCAGGTATCAGAAAGGAAAATAGCACATGATCTCATTCTTATATGAAATCAAAAAAGCGGACTTCACAGAAGTAGTGACTCCAATGACTGCGGTGAAGAGGGTGCACTGACGAGATGCTGGATGAAGAACTCATACTTCTAGTTATAAAGGAGGAATAGGTTAAAAATATTTTCTTCAGCATGCTCACTATAACTAGTGGTAACATATTCTTTCTCTAAAAATATTCGAATACAGTGCAGGTCAAGTTTTTTCACAACAAAAATGACAACTATGTGAGGTCACACATATGTTGATTGGCTGGATGTATCCAATGCATAATGTATATGACCTGTTGAACATCACGCCTTAAGTTGTAAATATGTATCATTTCATATGACATTTTTTAAACAAACATACAATTTTTAAAATGCCTTAACAAAATAAATGCAAATAAAATATTTTATTATAAAGCAGTGCTTTTCTTTTCTAGCAAAGTCTTTTTCATGACACAGGAAAGAATGCAAGCCGTTTCGTAACTTGAGAAATAAATACATATGTGTACATGTATATATATACGTATATACATGTATATACGTATATAAATGTGCATATATACGTATATACATGTATATACGTATATATGTGTGTACATAGGTATTCTTATATAGGTGTATATATATATGAAAATCCCAATGAATGCTGATGATGAGTTGAAAGATAGAAATTCCAGGCACAGAGACTATAGTCCATGAATTGAAACCTTCAGTGCATGTTTCAAAACAAGACGTGAGGAGGAGGAAGAAAAAAGCAAAAAACACAAAGCCATGGCAGGGCCATGGGTCACACCTGTCATCCCAGCACTTTGATAAGCTGAGGTGGGAGGATTGCCTGCACTCAGGAGTTCCAGATGAGCCTGGGGCAACATGGACCCACATTCAAAAAGTAAGTATTTAGTTAATTAATACATAGCTTGGAGGGGTGGCATGCACCTGTACTGCCAGGTGTGTGAGAGTCTGAGTTGACAGGATCACATGGGTGTGTGGTGCCTGGGCTGCAGTGGGCTGAGATCGTGGGGCTGCTGTCCAACCTAGAAGACAGAGTAAGACCCATTCTCGGAAAACAAACAAAAAAAGAGTCACATTAGGTAAATTAAAACTATGTAGTGTGAGGAGAATCAAAATAAACGAAACATCATTAGAGCCTACGCGATGTGATGAAGGAAACCAGCTTTCACATAATAACAGCCCCGGCTGGGGAGAACAATGAGAAAGGGCAGAGAGAACCCTGTAAATAATACCACGCCAAATTCCCCAAATGAGTTAAAACACATAAAAGTACGAAGAGTGCTTCTTTTCAATTCAATGCCCTTGAATTCAGAATTAGAAAGTAAACCCAGATAGAGAATAGAAACATAGACGATACAGATGGAGAGAGTGTGGTGGGGAAGCAAGGGAAGGATGAAAGGGGTGTAAAGGAAGGAAAAGAAAAAAGGAAGGGAGAGAGAGTGACAGATGTTCAAAGACACAGATACAAAGTCTACAATGGTTGTAGAGATAGGCATGTGCAAATTGTCGCAGGGAGTGTGGAAAAATATCGGAACCACGGAGACACAGGTGGAGTCAGAGAAAATATACAAACCCGCACAGAGAAATAAACATACGCAACCACAAACACACACGTGCTACTTTAAACACGAAAAGACACCAAGTCCCTGTCGGTACAAATCACAGATGTGCTTCCGAGTTACTGAGGCACGGTGCAAATTTGTCAGTGCCCTTAGCATCTGTGGCCCACGTGCACGGATATTCAGTGGAAGAAGCATTACACAGCCTGTATAATTCAGCACGATCTGTGATAATACCAGAAGAAGGGATCTCATGTGAAATCACTAGACTGAATTGCACGTAGGATTCAAGGAAGAAGCCCAGTCTGCTGCATTCACTCGGTGGGGTGGCAATATGGCTGAGCCACCAACCCGTGGCACGCCCATCCATCGTAGACAGTTCCTGGTTTGCTACCTGCCTTGGAAAAAGCTCCTCCCCTACCACCACTTTAAAACAGGCTAGCTCCAAAACTAGCCCTGGCATCTATTTACGGTCATTTTCTTATCTATTTACCTCCTAGAAAAATCATTGCAAGACCCTTTCCTCAACATTTTCCTATGCCTTAAATTTGGGGCAACACGTTTTAAGACGACCTCGTTATAGGCAAGTCCCCAGACGTTTCCTAATCTGAGTTGCCCAGAGTGCACACACCAATCTGTTGCCCCATTGCCGCTATAGGGATACCGTACTGGACCACAGTGTCTTTGACATGCACACAGTAGGATACAGGGCAGCTTGAGGGGGCCAAAGGGTTCCGACTGTTTTCAGAATAATTTGCTTAGAACACCTGTTTCTCCTGTGTTTGTGGGTCAGGGGGACGGTAGTCAGAGGAGGACAAGACTCCCGCTCCAGAGCTTCAGAGGTCTGCATAGGAGCAGGGACAAAACCGGGCGATAGATTTTCAAAGCTCAACTGCTTTGACACCGAGCAGGAGGGGTAGAATGCATATTGCAGGCACCACAACAGATTCAGGAACTTTGACTGTCAAACCCTCTTCCCTGAAACAACATAGCTCTTCTCACAGAAGCTGTGCTGACCAGAGTCTATACGGGACAGCAATGTTAGCACTCTAGTAGCGTGTGGTCAACATGGATGCTCGTGTTGGAACTGTTTCATCTGGGAACAGGAAAGAAAGTTCTGCCTCCGACACTGAAATCCTCCTGCCCCATCCTTGACAGAGGCAACCCCTTGTCTTGTGCAGACACACGTGTTCCTGGGAAGCAGCCTCCCACTCGCGAATGAAAGCTGTATGTTTTGTCCTCCTGTGTGAGGCTTGCAAAACATATTCCGCAACTATATTCGCTTTACGTTCTAAACCTTAGGCAAACTATGCTGAAGAGGCCACAGAAAATTTAGGGGCCCTGGGCTCCAGATACAATCTGCAGTGCCAATCACGAGGGAGAATAGAGCCTCACTAGACTTTGCAAGAGCACAAAATGCACTCGTACTGTTGTTAGCTACATACGTTATTGGCTCCTCACCTAACACAGAATCTTGGAGAAAAGCTTAAAACAACTAAAGATGTAAACATCAACAAGAGTGTCCATATCCTGGGTCATCAAGTGACAAGAGAGTCCATGGATGGATTCTCCAACAATCTTATATTCCACTAATCCACCCCCTTTCCCCTCACTTCTGTAAGTTTCTGTTTTCCCTTAGTCATCTCTGCCAAAAGCGTATCCTGAATGCCTTCCCACATGCCTCTGTCACCTTTCCCACAGTCCCTCCATACACCTTACATGCCCATTTCTTCTCACGTTGATGTTTCAGAAGTCCTGAGAGGCTGATTGTCCCAGAAAAGGATCATGCATTCACCTTTAAAAGAACATGTGGATTCAACACGAAAGCGAACTTTAAGATTTCCATCATCCTGTGCTTAGCTACTGTGTATGATGATACCCAAAATGAAGGATTTTGGAGGTCCCAGCAAACTGGGCCCTGGAAACCCAGTAACCCCTTTCCTTGAACTATCTCTGCTTCCACAGGACGAAGTCAGCCTCCAACTAAGCTGTCTTTTGCTTTTACCTCTCCCACTCTGTCCTGTAGGAAGAATCCCAACACATCCCACACCCATTCACTCTACAACTTTAGAGGCCCAGCTCCAACGCAGACTGGTTATTTCCATGAAGAGAATAAAGCACGTGGATTGATCAATTCATTATGACACCCGAATAAAGTGGATAAACATACACACACACACACACACAAACACAAAGACACACACACACACACAGACACAGAGTCACACATCCTTGAGAATGTTTATTTTTCATTCCATACAATCCACATTTACCCCCTCTTCCTGAATTTTTGTGACTCGATCTCTTTTTCCTTTAGTTCCTGTGCATAAGACCATGCTGAGTACTGCCGTCCTGCATATGGCTGTAACTTTTTAGGAGTTCTGCTGTATTAGGTAAAATCTGATGCTCCATCATATTCAACTCAACAACTGGGAGTCCCCTAGAGAAACACAAACTCATGTTAAAACGCATTTTCTCTGAGCCATACTTTGAAATGTTTCAATTGTGGGGCCCGCTGAGAAAAGGATATCCCTTCCCCATTTGTGATCCCTTAAACTTCCTCCTACCACGTGTTACAAACTGTTCTGCGCAATCCCTGCCCCATTCCCAGTATTGTCTGTGAGGGGAGTCAGCTAACAAGATGCACTGGGCCCTAAAAGCACACACAAGTCTGATGGGGCAACAGCTTAAGGAAATCCATCAATCTAAACAGTCCTTTGTGGTTTGGGGCAAGGATGACCAGGACGCACATTCAGGGAGCCCAATCTCATGGGGTTGGTGGGATGACTGCCGGTGGGGTTGACAGCCGTGGAATCAAGTGCCACAGACTGAACTGAATGATTTTCAGCTTTACTTCTCATTGATTCTGGAAATGGACGATTCTTCACTGGGCTTAAGACTCCACAGCTATCACCCGCTTTGCAGTGCAGTCTCTAACGTGCCTTTTCAGCCCAATGCCATGAACGTCCTGGATTCTGTCACTCTCTGTCTTCCTCTCAAGGAATTTCTACATGTACGAAAGGAGCCTCAATTTCTACATTTCTGAAATGAGCACCCAGGCTCCCTGAATAGGCAGGTGTGTCAACCCCCTTATACTGGGCATCAAACAGCTCCAGTGCCAACTAACGGCTCACCTGACGTCTCTGTTCCCTCTTCAGGTGGCTTCATCCTCTTGTAGTATTGCAGGGGATTGCGCCACAGGTCCTTACATAGGATCTGTCAGGGGACTCAATCGGGAAAGGCCTCATCAGGGCTCAGAAAGGTGACCCAAGCAGCTGGGAACACACGGGGTCATTCCTCATGTTTCCCAGTGAGGACTCACCTCAGCAATCTTGTTAGATCCTGCGAAGTTGTGGTCAGAGAACCAGTTGAAGAAGTTAAGGCTGCTGTTGTGGTGTCTGCGGCGATACGCCTCCACTTCATAATCCGGATACCACTCAATTGGAGTGGAATGAGAAGCCCTGTATTCTACAGAGACAGGAGTTTTTGTGGGAAGGGGGCTGGATCCCGTTGGCAATGATCCACCCACCATCTTCCTTCCACTACCCATCCTGGGAGCCACCTGTCACCTGTGATGTTCACCAGATATTCCTTGGTAATCACTTTATTCTGGAAGTAGGGGTTACTCCGAAAGAACAACATGATCTTGCAGAGATGAACAGGATGCTTCTCTTCTTCCACCTGTCAGGACAAGGTGGAGAAAGCTTAGATAGGTTTTCGGGTGAGGTGCTCACTCTTGCTTACAGGAATGAATTATTTCCCTTACCCTCCCCCGCTAAACCCTCTAGCCCCAGTCTTCCTGGCCTCACCTCCAGGCTGACCATGTAGCTCAGCATGTCTTCATCTTCGTCAGTGATCAGGGCTGACATCTGGGGGTGGTTTGCAATCTGATTTAGGTCAAAGAGACTTTACACACGATGGAAGGGAAAGCGAGGAGCAACAGGGAAGAAGGCCTAAGAGCACCCAGAGGCTGGGGTAGGGGATTTCTCAGATCTGCTTCCATGTATGATCTCCTTTCGCCTCCCCCTCCCCGTAAACTAAGGCCTCCTGTGTTCACAGAGGGTGTATGATTCTGAGGCTGACTGCACTGACATGGGGAGGCGCGATTTGCAGAGACTTGCTGGTGTCTGAGGAGTGGCAGAATCTGCTTATAGCCGAAGACGCCCAGTCCCAGATCGGACTAGCAAGGGGCAGCAATCACACTCCCTTAAAAATAGCTTCATTCACTGAAAAACCTCTTCCGCTCTGAACTCGCTTCTGCTCTTCAAAAAGATGCCCCAAACGTCTGCTGCTCGGCATCACCAAGGGTTTCTCTGCCGCATGCAGGACAATAGTACCCACGCCTGCTCCGGCTTTCCACAGCCACACTGGTCCGTGGCAACTCCCCTTTGTTCCCCAAAGAGTCACATCGACGCCGAGCTGCCCATCGGTCACTTACACTTCCCCGAGAGCACCTCTCCACTAGAAAGGCCGAAGAAACACTGAGAAGGATACAACATTGGCCCAGAAGCCAGGGACGCTCTGGATGACGGCGCCTCTGCGGTCTAGGTGGGGCTTGCGCCTCCGCTCCATCTTTTCCCGCTGCCGAGAAAAGGCCTTCCTGGCTTGGGCATTAACCGGCTCCAGCTCCACCTGAACGGCCAGCAGCTCCTCCAGTGCAGACTCTGGGGTCATGGGCCCAGGGCCAGGCACAGCCTGCTGTGCCCGCTGGGCCTCCTCCCGCCGCTCCACGAGGCCCTCCTCCTCCGCCACCACCTCCACCTCCGCCACCACCTCCACCTCCGCCATTATGTCATCCAACAGCAGCACCGCCTCCTCCCCCAAAGCCGCCTGCTCACTCTCCACCCCGGCCGCCCCCTCCTGTACAGCCTCCATCCTGAAGGCGGTGCCCTCCTTGGCACTCGCACACACCAAGGCCTGTGCTGCCCGACCCACGCCACAGAAACCCTGCCGCAGCCTCTCTGGCACCCGGTAGGTCAGCGAGCCCTCAGGGCGCATGCGCCGGGCTTCCAGGCGCCCCCTAAGGGACTGCGCGCGAAGGGCCGGGGGGCCGCACCCAGGCCGACTTCCTCCCGTCGTGGCCAGTCAATGGGAGGGCGGTGGGCGTCTCCCTGGGCGGCACAGCCACTGGCGGGCCTGCATCTCCAGCCCCCCCAACCCCCGCCTTCCCTGCCCAAGCCTCCTCCGAGAAGCCCTTGGAGCTTGTGCCGGGTAGCTAGGCATCCGGGCACACGCGGGCTGCGTGGCCTTTGGAATTGTGGGCATGGCAGCCCTGTGCCCTGACATCCTCAGTGTGGCAAGCCATGAACATCTCTATGTGTCATGAACACAGGAAACATCTCTCTTCGTTAGGCAGGCCAGGTAGATGGTACGGAGGTAATACAGCAGATGCAGAGAACTCTCTCTGGTTGCTGGGGCTAGGGCGGCAGGGGTGTCCTGGGGGAAGTGATCGGGGCGGGCACGTGGGAGGAAAGTCGCCTGCCGGTGCTGAGGTGGAATTGATCTGCTGTAGAGGCCAGAGCCCCGGCACACACTCTCACAGGTCGAGGCAAATAGAGGCTCCGAGTACCATGCTTCCTCCCTGAGGATGCTGTACTCCAAGGAGCATTCCAAAGGGCCTCTTGTCCTATGCCCTGGGCACACCAGAGGCCAGCCGCCAGGGTTGGCCATTGTCGGCCTGCGCGCACGCTGTTGTGCGCTGCCTTGACGACCCAGAGGCTCCCGCACCCGCAGCAGCGGTTGCGGTGCCTGTTGGTGGGGCTCTGCAAGCCCAGGGCCGGGGCCTCTGGCTCCCGAGCTCCTGTGCGCAGTTGAGCCTGCTGGGGACCGGAGCCCTTTGGCCAGTGCGGGATCTGCGGGTCCAGCGGAGCTCCTCAGGAAACCTGGGTCCACGTAGGTGTGGGACCAGGTTCACAGCAGGGCGACGCCCGTGGGTCTTGCAGGGAGCGGGTCTGCTGGGGAGCGGGCCCCCAGAGCCTACGGGTGCGGGGCATGGGCTGGGCTGGGCTGGGCTGCGCAGGCCCAGGGTCTGTGGGAGCACCCAGGAGAAAACCGTGTTCAGGCTGGAGGCAATGCTGGAGAGGACGGCCGGGGTACAGAGCAAGGAGGCGGCCTTGGAAGAGGAGGCGGTGCTGAAGGTGGAAGACATCATGGCTGAGGTGGAGGTGGTGGTTGAGGTGGAGCCCGACGTGGGGTGGCAGAAGGAGGGCCAGCGGGCACAGCCTGGCCCTGGACCGAGCACACCGGGGCCGTCAATGGACTCGCTGGAGGTCCTTCACTTGGAGCTGGGCTCCGTGAATGCCCCAGGCCACAGAGCATCTCCGCCTTGTGAGCCAGAGCCATATCCTTGCGGCTGCCGATTTGGGATGGCGGGCAGCAGGGGATAGTCATCGGGCCTCGGGGGGTATGGGGGCTGTTTGCGGGGAGGAGCCAGGTGGGAGGCACGTGGGGTCAGCCAGGAGGCAGGGGATGGGGGACAGCGTGGGAGCCGAGGCCACGTTCCCGCAGCTGTGAGGGCAGCTCGCTTGTAGCAGCCCTGGGAGCACGTGGTAGGGAAGGGGAGCCAGGGCCAGCACTGACAAGGGAGAATCGCGGCGCCAAGGTCCCTTTGCGCACAGCCCAAATTCGAAGGACGCGTTTCCCTGGGAACGTCCCTGGAGGACGGGGAATCTGTATGCCATTACCAGCCATTGAACCACCCCTGCTCTCGGTGCCTGTTTCCAGCAGGCTCACCCCAGAAACACAAGGTGCTTAAGACGGGTTCGCGGCGCATGGGGCTGCCGACCACCTGACGGCGGGCACCAGCTCCGCAGATGCGCATTCATCCAACTGCAGGCGCTGCACTCAAAGGCGTGTAGGCCCTGAGCCTGTATAACTTCCTCTGGACCCACGCAATTCCCTTGGAGAGCGCCAGGCACGACCCTGCTGTGGCTTCTAACTACAAGGCTTCCCTCAGGTGGACAGGCCCACCCCTCAGGGAGACTAGGATAAGAGGACACCACACACCCGGACATCAGCGGAGCATGTCCAGCACCCAGCACACAAAGGCCTCCTGCATCTCAGAAACCCAGAGAAGCAGCCGCCTCACACCACCCCCGGCCCCTCCCGTCCCTCAGCTGCAACCACCTGCCCACTTTTTCTGCCTCCCGTCTCTGGTCAGCCCAGGCCGTCTTGGCCGGGGTCCACCCACTCCAAAAACCACCACAGTTGTGGCGTTGCCTCCTCGCCAGACAGAGATAGAGGGCCAACAATGAAGGGTGACTGGCCAAATGTCTGGGAGATGGCCCTGTTCCACATTGTCTGTGTTCTTGCGAAATTGCAAGGCGTCACGAGGCTTGCCCACCCAATCCTCTGGAGAGTTCTTGCGCAGAGGTAGATTGTTTGGCACACCCGAGATGTCGGCGTGGGTCGGAAAGCATGCGGAAGTCCTGCTTTGCTACGTGATGGATTTGCAGGTCAGGCTGGGGAGCCTGGGTCTGTGGGAGGAGTCCAGTGTCTGAGTCAGTTTGAGGTCCCCCTGGGGACCAGGGTTGTCTCAGTGGGAGAGCTGGGAAGGGGAAACTCATGGTTCACTACAGCTAGTAGGCCACCTCAGCCCAGCTAGTTGAGATGGTCCCATTGAATCCATCCTCTTTCTCCTTGATCCGGCAGGTGGAGGAACTCAGCCATCCCGGTTACCGGTGGCAGGATGATTTCCTTTCATCCCAACCTTTATTTCCACAGTGAAATCATCATGAAGGAGCACTGTGTTGGCATCCTCGGTAAGGAATGCCTCCCAGCATGGTAGGGGAGCTGGTGTGTGGGAGGGTGGGACTGGCATGAACCTTCCTGACTCCTCTCCCTGCAGGCTACAGGGTGTCTCATTCCACTGCAGTCCAGCGGTTCTGGGATCACGAAGGTCAAGCCTCCAGCTGCAGGCAGTACACCTCCTACCTGAGCTCATTCAGCTGTTTGGCTGAACATGACTGCCCGGGTTTTGGCAGGATTGCTGAGGTGGGGTTCGCCGTGGGGCATCATGGGAAAGGACCTAGCTGGTCATTCCTTGGTCTCTGGGGAATTGGCTTTGAACTGTCACCTGAACTGTCCTGGACCCACTTCTGCAGTCCCCTAGATCATCAGCCAGGGCCTATGGCTCAATCCATTGCAGTTCTATCCCATGGAGAGAGGGTCAGCCCTAGAGGCGGAACAGAGAGGAGGCCAGGCGAGCAGCCTAGGGCTGGGAAGGGCTGGGAACTGAGAGGCCTTTTGACCTGGATCTGGGCCCCACATGGAGAACCCAAGGATCCGGGAGGAGACTGCAGTGAGCAATCCCAGGCAATCCGTGGGTTGGGGGAGAGAGGCCCATCAGGGACATGTAACACCCACATTTCAGGATCGGGGCACCTTAAGCCACTATGATGCATATGTGGCTAAAGTCAGTGGGTGACAAGCAGGGCTTAAGGGATAGCTGTCTCATCATTACTCGCCAGCTCCCTGCCCTGCGGTAAGACCTGCTACCACCTGGGGCTCATTTTGAGATCAACCAGGGCCCCCTTTTTCTCCACGAGGATGTCCACCTGAGGCCCACCTAGGTCTGTGTCCTTTCACAGTGTTTCTCCCAGGCCAGTCATGTTTTGTTTCCATGACCCCGGCTGCCTTGACATGTGTAATCCTCTCTGCCATCCTCACTCCCGCTGCCCTGCCTTCCCATATAAGTTAGTCCACCTCACACGGAATCTGGAGGACCACACTGGGCTCCAGTGTGAGGCAATGTTTTATTTTCTTCAGGTACATGTATTTTAGGGCTACCTCCAGGGCTGGGAATGTGAAGAGATTGCCAAATGGCTGGGGACCTTCAGTGTGTGTCCAGGGAGGGAACCCGGCTGGGAATTAAGGCCCACCTGAGTAATGGTATGGACATCCAGTGTCAGTTATCTTGATAAAGGCCTGCTTTCTTACATCACCTACTATTAATATAAAAGTTAATTCCTTATAATATTGAAAAAACAAATCTATGTATGAAGAAATATAATTTGTTCATAATTGTATGGAAAAAACTGCCGACTGATCCATTTTCCATTACAATTCTTATGGGAGACTTGAAGTGTTTAGCAAGTTTTAAGATGCATTTCTATTCGTCTACTGCTGCCAGTTTTTATGATCATTTTTGTAATACAAGGACATGGCCTCTGGAAAGTTTTTGAGGGACTTTCAGCTTCTTTTAGGGTAGATACTTGTAAATTTTGAATTGTTTTCCCCTGCGGTTCTTTTGAGGTTACTCTTTGTACTTTCTTTGGGGGGTGTTAAATTTGTTTTCTTGTTTCGCCCTTGTGGAACTTTCGTTTTCAAGGAATTGTGTGTGTGTGTGTGTGTGTGTGTGTGTGTGTGTGTGTGTGTGTTAGATATGGGAGTTAGCCTGTGAGCATGTTTTCGAATATGGATTTTTTTTTTACTTATCAATTTTGGGGGTGTGTGTGTGTGTGTGTGTGTGTGTGTGTGTGTGTTTGTTTCTTTTCAGTTGGAGTCTCACTGTGTCATCCAGGCTGCAGTCAAGTGGCAAACTCTCAGATCACTGCAACCTCTCCCTCCAGCTTCAAAGGATTCCTCTGCCTGCTGATGCTGCTTTTCCCCCACATGAGGAGAACATGCAGACAGTTATAAAAAATTCTGTGCCTGGGTAGGTATGAAAATATAATTTCAATGAATGGTAAATTTCACAAATACAGTTTCACATTTGTATTTTGCAACATTTTGAAAATTTTAGTTGCTGACACATGAAATTCTGTGTTGACTTTCATGTTAAATGTACACTTTTGAATCAATTTCAACAGTGACAACTAGCGAAGGCCAAGCGTTAGTTCAGGAAGCTGAAAGCAGTCGTTCTGTAAAAAAAACCATATTTATTGAAGGTATATTTAGAGAGATTTTAGAAGGCTTCAGTCAATATTTTTGTTTCTGTTGCTCTGGTGTTTTATCATACAGGGACCAGACTGTAGCATCAGTAGCTATAGTTACAAGGCTACCAAAGACTCAGTGCTATAGAAATTATTATTGTGGAAATTGGCAGCCTGGCTGTCTGTTTGAGGAGACTAGAGGACTTAGGAGTTTCCACCCAAAGTACAAGGGCCTGGTTTAGTGGGTGGCCTTCTTTTGCTGAAGTAGATAAGATCCAGGAGAAGGGTGGATTCACTGTAGTAGCCAGGGCTTTGAGACTGGTAAAGCTTATTTGTCTCCTAGTGCCATTGCCAGATATTGGTCTGTGCATAAAGGCACTTCCCGGACTCGCTGACTCCTGTAAATTCAAATGTAGAATTTAGATTTAAATCCCTATTCCAACTTCTTAAACTTAGATCTAATAGGTGGGTAATAAAATATGTATTCAGAAGAAAGGGAGACGTCAGGTAGGTATATAAGCAAATCATCCTGGTCAAATACCTTCAAAAATATTACTACAAAAAATTACTGAAGATTAAACCTTAAAAAAGTTATTTTAATTGGAGAAACAGAAAAAGGTTGGAGTCATTTTAAACCCTGAGGTGTAAAGGTACTGTTATTAGATTACAGGAATTATATACAATGAATAATTTGTGGGAAGAGCAGCATACTATCTCTTTAGTATGGCTAGAGATTCATAAGCCGTGTAAGAAAACTCAGAGATTGAGAAGAAAATGTTTTCAGGGATTTTGTTCTGTTATGAAAGACTTTTAAAATGGTTTCCTACTGATCAATGATTCACTTATATTTATCACTGAGGCATATGCTATATACCCTTCTATATAGGGATGAAGTTATAGTTTCTATCATGTAGATACAAAAACATGTGACTCTGTACCACATTTGCATTAGAGCCTTTGGCATGATTAATGAAGCAAACGGTGGAACTGTCTACGTCAGGTTACAGGTGGGCACAGCTGGAAGCTTCCGTCCCTTGCACTTTAACATTTCTGCATTCTCATCTGTCTCTCCTGGAAAGAAAACGGACTATAACTATCCTAAAGGACATATGTTACATGAAGACACTAAGTATTGAGATAAGACCATGAGTTGTCTTATCAGTGTCTTGGCATTACATTTATATGTATAACTTATACAAAAAATCCAGTTTATTTTATCACGATTACATATTACATCCCACATTTATGTATTTTATTATCTTTCCAGTGACTGTTTTGTTTTGTTTTGTTTTGTTTTGTTTTGAAATCTCGTTCCACTCTGTCACTCAGTCTGGAATGCAGTGGCCTGATCTCAGCTCACTGCAACCTCCATCTCTTGGGTTCAAGGATTTTAAAAATTAGTAAAGAATTTTCAATTGAGTTAGCAGAAGTAAAAATAAACTTAAGTGGAAATAGAACAACAAAATTGTAAACACTATTTCTCAGCAATTCATAGATTATCATACTAGGAATTGAAATGTACTTAGAACTCAATGATACCGCCAATATTAAAGATTAAATCTGTGAGTAGCAAGAAAAGTGATATTACAATAGGAGTTTACAGACAAATATTTCTCTAATAACTTGAAAATTAATGTACTAGATATTTCAATAAAGAATTAGAAAAGAAACAACAGAATCAATTCTGAAAAACTAAAGTGTGGGAATAATGATGTAGACAAAATTAGTAAAACATACAAAGCTAACCTTTGCTTGTTGGAGAAATATAATAAATGATGCAACCGTCAGTCAAGTTTAGAAAAAAAGGGAGAAAACATAGATAAAACTAAGAATTTAAAAGGTACACAACCATAGATACAGCATAGATTAAGAAGCTAATAAGGAAATATCATTAACACCTTAACCTACAAATTTGAAAACTTAGATCAAATAGACAGATATTTATAATCTGTCTATATATATAGACATATATATCGCTTTCTATATATATTTTCATATTTATACATAATTTTTATATTTGTATCTTACATTTATATATATAATATATAAACATAAGCTATGTATATAGCTTAGTAAAATTGATACAAGAAGACATATATAATCTGTATAGTCTCATAAATGTTCAAGGAAATAAAGGATTCTTCCTAGAGATAAAACGCTAGGCTCAGATTTTTTTCCCCAGGCAGAGCATTTCAATATATATGAAGAATTCTATAGAATAAAAAAGGGAAAATCCTAAACTCATTGTGTGAAGCAAGCAGAACTTTGACGCCAACAAGCCATAAACTGAGTGTAGAAAAAGATATGAAAATTAAGGCCATTCTCATTCCTGAAGCAAATCGTAAAATCCCAAATGTAACAAGATTTATGTGGATTCTTTGAGGGTTAGAAGGAAATTTCCTTCTGCCAGATCCTGCTACTCTGGGACAACCCACACACAAATTTATGTTTTGAGATTTTCTGTAATACCCATGCAATATGGAACTGGCTTGACAATCTGTGTGATAGCCAGCCTGTGGCCATGACTTCTCAGGGACACAAATCTTTTCTGTTTGCCTCCTTGTTCTGCTCAGCTCCAAGAGAACTTTGACCAAAGTTCCTTGAGCTTGGAAATAGGAATGGGTTTGCTTCTGTTTCACCCTTACTGTGAAGATACAGTCCGGTGGAATCCAGATCCACTGGGAGAGAGTCGGCTATTAAACTCTTTTCATGAGTAGTCCCTAGGCCTTGACTGGAGTCTTTCTTGAGATATGAGGCTAATAGTTCCTTCTTGGTCCACCACTTTTTGATATAATTAATGCTTCTTCTATTGGGAATTTTTAATTGTTTGGGAAGTGACATGGTTTGGTGTGTCTCCATTCAAATCTCAGCTTCAATTGTATCTCCCAGAATTCCCTCGTGTTGCGGGTGGGACCCAGGGGGAGGTAATTGAATCATGGGGGTCGGTCTTTCTCATGCTATTCTTGTGACAGTGAAGAAGTCTCACGGGATCTGATGGGTTTTTCAGGGGTTTCTGCCTCAGGTTCTTCCTCATTCTCTCTTGGCATTGCCATGTAAGAAGTGCCTTTATTCGTATACCATGATTCTGAGGCCTCCACAGCCATGTGGAACTGTCAGTCCAATTAAACCTCCTTTTATTCCCAGTTTCAGGTATCTCTTCTTCAGCAGCGTGAAAATGAACTAAGACAGGAGGTTTGGTCCAAATAACCTTGGCTTCCATGATAGAAGATAGAAGTTGCTGAAATGTTTAATCTTTTCTGTGGCAACCTTTTGCAGTGGGTCTTATTTTTCTCATTTTTTTTTCTTGTTCTCTTCACCTTTGTTTCTCACAGGGTACTCTCGCTCTGTAGACCAGGCTGGAGCGCAGTGGCAGGATCTCAGCTCAACACATCCTCCGCCTCCCAGGTTCAGCCTCTGCAGTAGCTGGGATTACAAGCATGCATCACCACGCTCAGCTAATGTTTTGTATTTTTAGTAGAAGCCAGGCTTCACCATGTTGGCCAGGCTGCTCTCCTACTACAGATCTCAGGTGACCCGCCCGACTCAGCTTCCCAAAATCCAAAGTGCTGGGAATACAGGTGTGAGCCACCGAGCCCAGCCAACTCCAGTATTTTTTACCTAAGCCAGTGGACGAGTGGAGTTGCCTTTATTTTTTTTTTCATGGTCTCGCTGTGTCATCCAGGCTGGAGTGCAGTAGTCTGATCTCGGCTTACTATACAATCTCTGCCACCCATGTTCAGGTGGTTCTCCTACCTCAGCCTCCCAAGTAGCTGGGACCACAGGAAAGTGCCACTAGGTCTGGCTAATTTTTGTATTTTTGGTAGAGACAGCTTTTTGCCATGTTGCCCATGCTAGTCTCCAACTCCTGACCTCAAGTGACCCACCAACCTCGGCCTCCCAAAATGTAGAAATTACAACAAGAGCCACGAAGCCTGGCCTGGAGTTGTGGCTTTTTGACATAAGAAATCTGTGGAGGGAAAAGCTTGGTTTGTGGGAGCACCTGAGCTCAGTTTGGCTCAAAGGTTTGGGATACCTATTATTGAGTGGCAGTGATGGTATGTTGTTAATGTACAATATCTTCCTGTATATAGCATACGTCTATGCTCATCAGATATTTTCAGGTAAAAAAAGATAGTCTTTCCAGTAGTTTGAGCCATTATAGCAATTTCCACCAGGGGATTTCAAAGTCCAATTCCAGTTGTGGGCAACAGTGATTAACATAATGGTAATTAATGAGAAGAGATTTTGAGACGTCCAGCCACGTTTCCATGTCAGTGCCTTGTTTGCAGTATTATGAAGAAAGAGTGCATTGGACTAGATACTAAGAAAAACATTGAATTATTTTTCTTGCCTCTATAACATCAAAGGACAATTAGAGATATAGAAACTATGGAACATTTCACAGCATGGCTTGACATTTCACTGAACTTTTATCCTTTTAACCATGTACAAAGTTTGTTACCTATGCAAAGGTAGGACTGCAAAAGGAAGACAGAGGTGGAGTCAGAGGTCACAATCCACAGCAAGGTGACACTCTTGTTGATCGCACCTTGAAAGCCAAATTAGAGCGAGAATTAACTTTCCGGTTGCCGTAAGAGAACAAGGAGAATGAAGCTACCAGCAGTTAACAGTATTGGATTAATTGAAATGAAGGTGGACAGAGTTTTTTGGCTTTCCATCAAATTGAGTAAAGAAAAGGTAACCGCTTATCTAATTTCACACACATACAATTATGGATTAATTAAAAGATTACACAACCCATATATTATGGGTTTCTCATTTAAGTGTATATATACATGGGCAAACTCACAGTGTGCCAGTATGTGTCTATATCCAAATATATACAAATCCATGTCCAACAGTTAGCAAGTGAGAAATTCTCTTCCATTTCACCATTCCCTTTCCTAGAATTTTTTCATAAATATAATTTTTCCATATATTTGAAGCCTACTCTCTGGAGGCATGTAATGCATGCATGCAGTAAACCTGTGCGATATCACAATGTTGGTGTCAGAGAAAACTATAACACCGATGTTATAAAAGATTAATTGTGAGGAGAAAGTTATGCTTCGCATTACTACAAATACACAAGTATGATTTCATCCAAAGCTGAAATCAGTCAATATAATTTGTTTTTAATGTTTTATTTAAAATCCTTAATTTCAACAGGATTACTCAAGAAAAATAACGTTATTGGTATTAAATAATGTTGATGTATTCCCTTTAATTGTTGATTATTTAAAATGTCAGTAAAATAGTAAATGGCACTGTACAATGTAGTTTCATGAAGCATTCTTTATAGTTTTCATAAAATTGATAGTCTCCATGGAATATTTTAAGACTGAGGAAGTTCCATATATCATTTGATTGTACTTTCACTTTATTACTTGCTTGCATGTCATAACTGATGGAAATAAAACTATGTATATTTACAAATATGAAAAACATGGACTTTTGTTTACGTTTTCTAGTGAGACACAGTTACCAATAATTTTATCTATATAGGAAAATTTTTACAAACCCAAAGTTCTAATGTTTCTTTTCTTTGAAGTTTCGTATTTCAGTCTAGGTATGTAATGGAATTGGCTGTGATCATTCTTTGATTTCACTGTTATTTGTGAGTTTCTGATATGCTTTTAGGAATGTATAGAGCTTAACGCTTGCTTTCTTCTTCTTCCTCTACCTTTGGACCTGTATATGCGACGTCTGCAGTAATGTGCAGTGCTATCTGACATACGGTTGCTGAAAGATACAAGCATATATAGAATTCTTCGTTTCAGTGAATCTTTAGGAACAGACAAGTAACCTGAGAGATAATTACGGTATGAATGTAAGCAAGCAGTTTATCATAGAGGTACAATAAGGGTGAAAATAAATTTAAAAATACATGCCTCATCCAAAACATGAGGTAGTAAAAATGAAAAATTTAAGTTGGCATAAAGAACACTTTAAAAGTTCTGATTCTTTCTGGTGAGAGCAAGGAGCTCAGAAACCATGAGAAAGTCCTTCAAAGCTGCATGTTGGATTTGCAGGTCAGGATGGAAAGCCTGGGTCTGGGGGAGGGTGCTAAGGTCCTGGTCAGGTTGAGGTCCTTCTGGGGCTCAGGTGTGTCTCAGCGGGAAAGCTGGGAAGGGGAAACGCATGCTTCACCCCGGCTAGAATGCCACCTCAGCCCACCTAGATGAAATTGCCCCTTCACAGCCCTGTTTCTCCTTCTTGGACAGGCAGGTGGAGGAACTCGGCCACCCTGAATACAAGGGGTAGGAAGAAGTTTGCCTTTCATCACAACATTTACTTCGGAAACAAAGTGATGACTAAGGAGTATTGCGTTGGCATCCTCCCTGAGGAGTAGAGGGGGTAGTACCTCGGGAGCTGGGCCTGGCGTGCGCCTTCCTGACTCGTCTCCCTCCAGGATACAGGGCGACTGGCTCCACTGCAGTCCAGTGGTTCTAGGGTCATGCAGGTGAAAGCCCGAGTTTCCCGCAGGTCACTGCCTGAGCTTCTTCAGCTGGTTGTCTGACTGTGAGGGCCCAGGTTACGGCACGATTGCTGAGGTGGGGCAGCTATGGGGCATCATGGCAAAGGACCTTCTTCGACATTCCTTGGCATCGGAGGAATTGGCTTTGAACCAGAACCTGACCTGTCACGACCAATTTGCCCAGTCCACCAGATCATCAGCCAGGGCCTGTGGCTCTATATTCTGCAGCACTACCCAAGGGAGTTAGGCCCTCAGAGAGGGAAGAGAGAAGAGGCCAGGGAAGCAGCCCAGGGCTGGGGGTTGACAGGCCTGTGGGTCCTGGAGTTAGGACACACATAGAGAAGCCAAGGCTCAGGGAGGAGACTGCAGTAAGGAAACTCAGGCCATCATGGGCTGGTGGAGAAATGCCCATCAGGGAACTGTGGTACCCACATTTCACGATGGGGGAACCGTAATCTGCTTAATAGGCACAAGTAGCTAAGGTCAATGGGTGGGAAGCCAGGGTCAAGAGATAGCTGCCTCATCATCCCTTGCTAGCTACTTCCCTGTCCTGAGGCTTGCTTCTACCTGGGGTTCAGTTTGGGCTCAACCAGGGATCTCTCACCCTCCACACAGATGCCCACCTGAGGCCTCTCTAGGTCTGCGTCCTCCCAGAATGACTCTCCCAGGCCTGCTAAGTACCGTTTGGATGACACCACGCTCCACTGACATACTTGGTTCCCTCCGCCATCCTCATTCACCCAGCAACTCCCCACCCCAAAAAAGGCAGGCCACCGCACAGGGAATCTGGAGGACCACACAGGGCTCACAGGGGAGGAAATGTGAAGAGATGGCAAAACAGAACAGGACATTCCGTGTGTTTCCAGAAGGCAATCTGGCTGGATATTAAGGCCCACCTCAGTATTGGTGAGGACACCCAGTGTCTCTTGGCCCTGAGCTTGTGCACACAAACACGCACATTGTCTAAACGGCATTGACATCACTACTACCTGAGTCATCCTCAGATTCTATACAACCCCTGTAAAAATATCAATGACACATTCTTCTTAGAAAAACAATCTGGGAATCCCAAATTTGCTATGAAATGGCAGAAGATCCTGAAAACCCAGAGCAATCCAGTAAAAAGCACAAAGCTGGAGCCACCACACTACCTAACTTCATGATATACTACTACAAAACTTTTTGTACCAAAATACAATAGCACTGGCAGAAAAGCAGAGACTAGAGCTTAGGAAAAACAACAGGAGCCCAGAACTAAGTCACTGCATTTGCAGCTCACAGCCTTTTCCCAAAGAAGCAAGAACGCCCAATGCAAAATCAAGTATCTTCTATAAACTAGGTTGGGGAAATCTGAATAGCCACACAAAGGATTTTACAAGTGGATTATTTATCACCAAACTCCAGTGTCAGATGTGAAACGATAAAAATAGCAGAAGAGATCACAAGGAAGAAGCTCCATGGCGTCCGTGTGTGCAATGATGGTCTCAAAGTGACTGCAAGAACACAGTAAACACCATCAAAAATAGAGAATGGAATCATATCAAACTAAAGTGCTTCACCACACCATAGAAAACTCAACATACAGAAGGGGCATCCTACAGGATGGGAGCAATGATTGGATCACCATACATCTGTTCATGGGGGAATAGTCACAGTACATAAGGAACTCCCAACAACTCAATAGCATGAAAACAAATGGGCGAAGGCTGCGAAGACTCATTTGTGAAACTGAGACATACAGTTGCCCAGAAGACACACTAAAAATTCCTCATTATCCCCAATCCATCACGAAAATGCAAATCAAAAACACAATGAGATTTCTTCTCACTTCAGTCAGAATGCATATTATCCGAAAGACAAACAAACAAAAAAAAAAAAGAAAGAAAAGAAAACCCTAATCTCTGGTGAGGAGGCAGAGAAAACGAATTCCCTGCTCACTTTTGGGGAGAATGTAAATTAGTGCTGGCATTAAAGAAGCTTTATGGCTCTTATTTAAGTATAAACAGCCTTCAGAAATCTACAAGTAGAACCACCCACTATATGATCCAGCAAATCAGAATACCCGGGCACGCCCGCCAGTACACAGATCAGTATGTTGAAGCGGTGCGCGCACCCATGCAATTATTGCTGCACTCATTACATTTTTGCTGTAGCCAAAATGCGGAAGCAACCTGAGTGTCCCTCCATTGATAAGTGGATTAAAAAATGGGGCAAAAACGCATATGCGCAACGGAAATATGCGCTGCAATAAGAAATCAGGAAATCCTGCCAGTTGTGAGAATGTGTGGGAATCTGCTGAATGTGTGCATGCCATTCTGTTAAGTGACATAAGCCAGGTATCAGAAAGGAAAATAGCACATGATCTCATTCTTATATGAAATCAAAAAAGCGGACTTCACAGAAGTAGTGACTCCAATGACTGCGGTGAAGAGGGTGCACTGACGAGATGCTGGATGAAGAACTCATACTTCTAGTTATAAAGGAGGAATAGGTTAAAATATTTTCTTCAGCATGCTCACTATAACTAGTGGTAACATATTCTTTCTCTAAAAATATTCGAATACAGTGCAGGTCAAGTTTTTTCACAACAAAAATGACAACTATGTGAGGTCACACATATGTTGATTGGCTGGATGTATCCAATGCATAATGTATATGACCTGTTGAACATCACGCCTTAAGTTGTAAATATGTATCATTTCATATGACATTTTTTAAACAAACATACAATTTTTAAAATGCCTTAACAAAATAAATGCAAATAAAATATTTTATTATAAAGCAGTGCTTTTCTTTTCTAGCAAAGTCTTTTTCATGACACAGGAAAGAATGCAAGCCGTTTCGTAACTTGAGAAATAAATACATATGTGTACATGTATATATATACGTATATACATGTATATACGTATATAAATGTGCATATATACGTATATACATGTATATACGTATATATGTGTGTACATAGGTATTCTTATATAGGTGTATATATATATGAAAATCCCAATGAATGCTGATGATGAGTTGAAAGATAGAAATTCCAGGCACAGAGACTATAGTCCATGAATTGAAACCTTCAGTGCATGTTTCAAAACAAGACGTGAGGAGGAGGAAGAAAAAAGCAAAAAACACAAAGCCATGGCAGGGCCATGGGTCACACCTGTCATCCCAGCACTTTGATAAGCTGAGGTGGGAGGATTGCCTGCACTCAGGAGTTCCAGATGAGCCTGGGGCAACATGGACCCACATTCAAAAAGTAAGTATTTAGTTAATTAATACATAGCTTGGAGGGGTGGCATGCACCTGTACTGCCAGGTGTGTGAGAGTCTGAGTTGACAGGATCACATGGGTGTGTGGTGCCTGGGCTGCAGTGGGCTGAGATCGTGGGGCTGCTGTCCAACCTAGAAGACAGAGTAAGACCCATTCTCGGAAAACAAACAAAAAAACAGTCACATTAGGTAAATTAAAACTATGTAGTGTGAGGAGAATCAAAATAAACGAAACATCATTAGAGCCTACGCGATGTGATGAAGGAAACCAGCTTTCACATAATAACAGCCCCGGCTGGGGAGAACAATGAGAAAGGGCAGAGAGAACCCTGTAAATAATACCACGCCAAATTCCCCAAATGAGTTAAAACACATAAAAGTAC
This sequence comes from Homo sapiens, assembly GCF_000001405.40. NCBI lineage: Eukaryota > Metazoa > Chordata > Mammalia > Primates > Hominidae > Homo > Homo sapiens. The sequence continues at coordinate 230,403 of NW_025791821.1, read as the reverse complement.
GAAGAGTGCTTCTTTTCAATTCAATGCCCTTGAATTCAGAATTAGAAAGTAAACCCAGATAGAGAATAGAAACATAGACGATACAGATGGAGAGAGTGTGGTGGGGAAGCAAGGGAAGGATGAAAGGGGTGTAAAGGAAGGAAAAGAAAAAAGGAAGGGAGAGAGAGTGACAGATGTTCAAAGACACAGATACAAAGTCTACAATGGTTGTAGAGATAGGCATGTGCAAATTGTCGCAGGGAGTGTGGAAAAATATCGGAACCACGGAGACACAGGTGGAGTCAGAGAAAATATACAAACCCGCACAGAGAAATAAACATACGCAACCACAAACACACACGTGCTACTTTAAACACGAAAAGACACCAAGTCCCTGTCGGTACAAATCACAGATGTGCTTCCGAGTTACTGAGGCACGGTGCAAATTTGTCAGTGCCCTTAGCATCTGTGGCCCACGTGCACGGATATTCAGTGGAAGAAGCATTACACAGCCTGTATAATTCAGCACGATCTGTGATAATACCAGAAGAAGGGATCTCATGTGAAATCACTAGACTGAATTGCACGTAGGATTCAAGGAAGAAGCCCAGTCTGCTGCATTCACTCGGTGGGGTGGCAATATGGCTGAGCCACCAACCCGTGGCACGCCCATCCATCGTAGACAGTTCCTGGTTTGCTACCTGCCTTGGAAAAAGCTCCTCCCCTACCACCACTTTAAAACAGGCTAGCTCCAAAACTAGCCCTGGCATCTATTTACGGTCATTTTCTTATCTATTTACCTCCTAGAAAAATCATTGCAAGACCCTTTCCTCAACATTTTCCTATGCCTTAAATTTGGGGCAACACGTTTTAAGACGACCTCGTTATAGGCAAGTCCCCAGACGTTTCCTAATCTGAGTTGCCCAGAGTGCACACACCAATCTGTTGCCCCATTGCCGCTATAGGGATACCGTACTGGACCACAGTGTCTTTGACATGCACACAGTAGGATAGAGGGCAGCTTGAGGGGGCCAAAGTGTTCCGACTGTTTTCAGAATAATTTGCTTAGAACACCTGTTTCTCCTGTGTTTGTGGGTCAGGGGGACGGTAGTCAGAGGAGGACAAGACTCCCGCTCCAGAGCTTCAGAGGTCTGCATAGGAGCAGGGACAAAACCGGGCGATAGATTTTCAAAGCTCAACTGCTTTGACACCGAGCAGGAGGTGTAGAATGCATATTGCAGGCACCACAACAGATTCAGGAACTTTGACTGTCAAACCCTCTTCCCTGAAACAACATAGCTCTTCTCACAGAAGCTGTGCTGACTGGAGTCTATACGGGACAGCAATGTTAGCACTCTAGTAGCGTGTGGTCAACATGGATGCTCGTGTTGGAACTGTTTCATCTGGGAACAGGAAAGAAAGTTCTGCCTCCGACACTGAAATCCTCCTGCCCCATCCTTGACAGAGGCAACCCCTTGTCTTGTGCAGACACACGTGTTCCTGGGAAGCAGCCTCCCACTCGCGAATGAAAGCTGTATGTTTTGTCCTCCTGTGTGAGGCTTGCAAAACATATTCCGCAACTATATTCACTTTACGTTCTAAACCTTAGGCAAACTATGCTGAAGAGGCCACAGAAAATTTAGGGGCCCTGGGTCCAGATACAATCTGCAGTGCCAATCACGAGGGAGAATAGAGCCTCACTAGACTTTGCAAGAGCACAAAATGCACTCGTACTGTTGTTAGCTACATACGTTATTGGCTCCTCACCTAACACAGAATCTTGGAGAAAAGCTTAAAACAACTAAAGATGTAAACATCAACAAGAGTGTCCATATCCTGGGTCATCAAGTGACAAGAGAGTCCATGGATGGATTCTCCAACAATCTTATATTCCACTAATCCACCCCCTTTCCCCTCACTTCTGTAAGTTTCTGTTTTCCCTTAGTCATCTCTGCCAAAAGCGTATCCTGAATGCCTTCCCACATGCCTCTGTCACCTTTCCCACAGTCCCTCCATACACCTTGCATGCCCATTTCTTCTCACGTTGATGTTTCAGAAGTCCTGAGAGGCTGATTGTCCCAGAAAAGGATCATGCATTCACCTTTAAAAGAACATGTGGATTCAACACGAAAGCGAACTTTAAGATTTCCATCATCCTGTGCTTAGCTACTGTGTATGATGATACCCAAAATGAAGGATTTTGGAGGTCCCAGCAAACTGGGCCCTGGAAACCCAGTAACCCCTTTCCTTGAACTATCTCTGCTTCCACAGGACGAAGTCAGCCTCCAACTAAGCTGTCTTTTGCTTTTACCTCTCCCACTCTGTCCTGTAGGAAGAATCCCAACACATCCCACACCCATTCACTCTACAACTTTAGAGGCCCAGCTCCAACGCAGACTGGTTATTTCCATGAAGAGAATAAAGCACGTGGATTGATCAATTCATTATGACACCCGAATAAAGTGGATAAACATACACACACACACACACACACACACACACACAAACACAAAGACACACACACACACACACAGACACAGAGTCACACATCCTTGAGAATGTTTATTTTTCATTCCATACAATCCACATTTACCCCCTCTTCCTGAATTTTTGTGACTCGATCTCTTTTTCCTTTAGTTCCTGTGCATAAGACCATGCTGAGTACTGCCGTCCTGCATATGGCTGTAACTTTTTAGGAGTTCTGCTGTATTAGGTAAAATCTGATGCTCCATCATATTCAACTCAACAACTGGGAGTCCCCTAGAGAAACACAAACTCATGTTAAAACGCATTTTCTCTGAGCCATACTTTGAAATGTTTCAATTGTGGGGCCCGCTGAGAAAAGGATATCCCTTCCCCATTTGTGATCCCTTAAACTTCCTCCTACCACGTGTTACAAACTGTTCTGCGCAATCCCTGCCCCATTCCCAGTATTGTCTGTGAGGGGAGTCAGCTAACAAGATGCACTGGGCCCTAAAAGCACACACAAGTCTGATGGGGCAACAGCTTAAGGAAATCCATCAATCTAAACAGTCCTTTGTGGTTTGGGGCAAGGATGACCAGGACGCACATTCAGGGAGCCCAATCTCATGGGGTTGGCGGGATGACTGCCGGTGGGGTTGACAGCCGTGGAATCAAGTGCCACAGACTGAACTGAATGATTTTCAGCTTTACTTCTCATTGATTCTGGAAATGGACGATTCTTCACTGGGCTTAAGACTCCACAGCTATCACCCGCTTTGCAGTGCAGTCTCTAACGTGCCTTTTCAGCCCAATGCCATGAACGTCCTGGATTCTGTCACTCTCTGTCTTCCTCTCAAGGAATTTCTACATGTACGAAAGGAGCCTCAATTTCTACATTTCTGAAATGAGCACCCAGGCTCCCTGAATAGGCAGGTGTGTCAACCCCCTTATACTGGGCATCAAACAGCTCCAGTGCCAACTAACGGCTCACCTGACGTCTCTGTTCCCTCTTCAGGTGGCTTCATCCTCTTGTAGTATTGCAGGGGATTGCGCCACAGGTCCTTACATAGGATCTGTCAGGGGACTCAATCGGGAAAGGCCTCATCAGGGCTCAGAAAGGTGACCCAAGCAGCTGGGAACACACGGGGTCATTCCTCATGTTTCCCAGTGAGGACTCACCTCAGCAATCTTGTTAGATCCTGCGAAGTTGTGGTCAGAGAACCAGTTGAAGAAGTTAAGGCTGCTGTTGTGGTGTCTGCGGCGATAGGCCTCCACTTCATAATCCAGATACCACTCAATTGGAGTGGAATGAGAAGCCCTGTATTCTACAGAGACAGGAGTTTTTGTGGGAAGGGGGCTGGATCCCGTTGGCAATGATCCACCCACCATCTTCCTTCCACTACCCATCCTGGGAGCCACCTGTCACCTGTGATGTTCACCAGATATTCCTTGGTAATCACTTTATTCTGGAAGTAGGGGTTACTCCGAAAGAACAACATGATCTTGCAGAGATGAACAGGATGCTTCTCTTCTTCCACCTGTCAGGACAAGGTGGAGAAAGCTTAGATAGGTTTTCGGGTGAGGTGCTCACTCTTGCTTACAGGAATGAATTATTTCCCTTACCCTCCCCCGCTAAACCCTCCAGCCCCAGTCTTCCTGGCCTCACCTCCAGGCTGACCATGTAGCTCAGCATGTCTTCATCTTCGTCAGTGATCAGGGCTGACATCTGGGGGTGGTTTGCAATCTGATTTAGGTCAAAGAGACTTTACACACGATGGAAGGGAAAGCGAGGAGCAACAGGGAAGAAGGCCTAAGAGCACCCAGAGGCTGGGGTAGGGGATTTCTCAGATCTGCTTCCATGTATGATCTCCTTTCGCCTCCCCGTCCCCGTAAACTAAGGCCTCCTGTGTTCACAGAGGGTGTATGATTCTGAGGCTGACTGCACTGACATGGGGAGGCGCGATTTGCAGAGACTTGCTGGTGTCTGAGGAGTGGCAGAATCTGCTTATAGCCGAAGACGCCCAGTCCCAGATCGGACTAGCAAGGGGCAGCAATCACACTCCCTTAAAAATAGCTTCATTCACTGAAAAACCTCTTCCGCTCTGAACTCGCTTCTGCTCTTCAAAAAGATGCCCCAAACGTCTGCTGCTCGGCATCACCAAGGGTTTCTCTGCCGCATGCAGGACAATAGTACCCACGCCTGCTCCGGCTTTCCACAGCCACATTGGTCCGTGGCAACTCCCCTTTGTTCCCCAAAGAGTCACATCGACGCCGAGCTGCCCATCGGTCACTTACACTTCCCCGAGAGCACCTCTCCACTAGAAAGGCCGAAGAAACACTGAGAAGGATACAACATTGGCCCAGAAGCCAGGGACGCTCTGGATGACGGCGCCTCTGCGGTCTAGGTGGGGCTTGCGCCTCCGCTCCATCTTTTCCCGCTGCCGAGAAAAGGCCTTCCTGGCTTGGGCATTAACCGGCTCCAGCTCCACCTGAACGGCCAGCAGCTCCTCCAGTGCAGACTCTGGGGTCATGGGCCCAGGGCCAGGCACAGCCTGCTGTGCCCGCTGGGCCTCCTCCCGCCGCTCCACGAGGCCCTCCTCCTCCGCCACCACCTCCACCTCCGCCATTATGTCATCCAACAGCAGCACCGCCTCCTCCCCCAAAGCCGCCTGCTCACTCTCCACCCCGGCCGCCCCCTCCTGTACAGCCTCCATCCTGAAGGCGGTGCCCTCCTTGGCACTCGCACACACCAAGGCCTGTGCTGCCCGACCCACGCCACAGAAACCCTGCCGCAGCCTCTCTGGCACCCAGTAGGTCAGCGAGCCCTCAGGGCGCATGCGCCGGGCTTCCAGGCGCCCCCTAAGGGACTGCGCGCGAAGGGCCGGGGGGCCGCACCCAGGCCGACTTCCTCCCGTCGTGGCCAGTCAATGGGAGGGCGGTGGGCGTCTCCCTGGGCGGCACAGCCACTGGCGGGCCTGCATCTCCAGCCCCCCCACCCCCCGCCTTCCCTGCCCAAGCCTCCTCCGAGAAGCCCTTGGAGCTTGTGCCGGGTAGCTAGGCATCCGGGCACACGCGGGCTGCGTGGCCTTTGGAATTGTGGGCATGGCAGCCCTGTGCCCTGACATCCTCAGTGTGGCAAGCCATGAACATCTCTATGTGTCATGAACACAGGAAACATCTCTCTTCGTTAGGCAGGCCAGGTAGATGGTACGGAGGTAATACAGCAGATGCAGAGAACTCTCTCTGGTTGCTGGGGCTAGGGCGGCAGGGGTGTCCTGGGGGAAGTGATCGGGGCGGGCACGTGGGAGGAAAGTCGCCTGCCGGTGCTGAGGTGGAATTGATCTGCTGTAGAGGCCAGAGCCCCGGCACACACTCTCACAGGTCGAGGCAAATAGAGGCTCCGAGTACCATGCTTCCTCCCTGAGGATGCTGTACTCCAAGGAGCATTCCAAAGGGCCTCTTGTCCTATGCCCTGGGCACACCAGAGGCCAGCCGCCAGGGTTGGCCATTGTCGGCCTGCGCGCACGCTGTTGTGCGCTGCCTTGACGACCCAGAGGCTCCCGCACCCGCAGCAGCGGTTGCGGTGCCTGTTGGTGGGGCTCTGCAAGCCCAGGGCCGGGGCCTCTGGCTCCCGAGCTCCTGTGCGCAGTTGAGCCTGCTGGGGACCGGAGCCCTTTGGCCAGTGCGGGATCTGCGGGTCCAGCGGAGCTCCTCAGGAAACCTGGGTCCACGTAGGTGTGGGACCAGTTTCTCAGCAGGGCGACGCCCGTGGGTCTTGCAGGGAGCGGGTCTGCTGGGGAGCGGGCCCCCAGAGCCTACGGGTGCGGGGCATGGGCTGGGCTGGGCTGGGCTGCGCAGGCCCAGGGTCTGTGGGAGCACCCAGGAGAAAACCGTGTTCAGGCTGGAGGCAATGCTGGAGAGGACGGCCGGGGTACAGAGCAAGGAGGCGGCCTTGGAAGAGGAGGCGGTGCTGAAGGTGGAAGACATCATGGCTGAGGTGGAGGTGGTGGTTGAGGTGGAGCCCGACGTGGGGTGGCAGAAGGAGGGCCAGCGGGCACAGCCTGGCCCTGGACCGAGCACACCGGGGCCGTCAATGGACTCGCTGGAGGTCCTTCACTTGGAGCTGGGCTCCGTGAATGCCCCAGGCCACAGAGCATCTCCGCCTTGTGAGCCAGAGCCATATCCTTGCGGCTGCCGATTTGGGATGGCGGGCAGCAGGGGATAGTCATCGGGCCTCGGGGGGTATGGGGGCTGTTTGCGGGGAGGAGCCAGGTGGGAGGCACGTGGGGTCAGCCAGGAGGCAGGGGATGGGGGACAGCGTGGGAGCCGAGGCCACGTTCCCGCAGCTGTGAGGGCAGCTCGCTTGTAGCAGCCCTGGGAGCACGTGGTAGGGAAGGGGAGCCAGGGCCAGCACTGACAAGGGAGAATCGCGGCGCCAAGGTCCCTTTGCGCACAGCCCAAATTCGAAGGACGCGTTTCCCTGGGAACGTCCCTGGAGGACGGGGAATCTGTATGCCATTACCAGCCATTGAACCACCCCTGCTCTCGGTGCCTGTTTCCAGCAGGCTCACCCCAGAAACACAAGGTGCTTAAGACGGGTTCGCGGCGCATGGGGCTGCCGACCACCTGACGGCGGGCACCAGCTCCGCAGATGCGCATTCATCCAACTGCAGGCGCTGCACTCAAAGGCGTGTAGGCCCTGAGCCTGTATAACTTCCTCTGGACCCACGCAATTCCCTTGGAGAGCGCCAGGCACGACCCTGCTGTGGCTTCTAACTACAAGGCTTCCCTCAGGTGGACAGGCCCACCCCTCAGGGAGACTAGGATAAGAGGACACCACACACCCGGACATCAGCGGAGCATGTCCAGCACCCAGCACACAAAGGCCTCCTGCATCTCAGAAACCCAGAGAAGCAGCCGCCTCACACCACCCCCGGCCCCTCCCGTCCCTCAGCTGCAACCACCTGCCCACTTTTTCTGCCTCCCGTCTCTGGTCAGCCCAGGCCGTCTTGGCCGGGGTCCACCCACTCCAAAAACCACCACAGTTGTGGCGTTGCCTCCTCGCCAGACAGAGATAGAGGGCCAACAATGAAGGGTGACTGGCCAAATGTCTGGGAGATGGCCCTGTTCCACATTGTCTGTGTTCTTGCGAAATTGCAAGGCGTCACGAGGCTTGCCCACCCAATCCTCTGGAGAGTTCTTGCGCAGAGGTAGATTGTTTGGCACACCCGAGATGTCGGCGTGGGTCGGAAAGCATGCGGAAGTCCTGCTTTGCTACGTGATGGATTTGCAGGTCAGGCTGGGGAGCCTGGGTCTGTGGGAGGAGTCCAGTGTCTGAGTCAGTTTGAGGTCCCCCTGGGGACCAGGGTTGTCTCAGTGGGAGAGCTGGGAAGGGGAAACTCATGGTTCACTACAGCTAGTAGGCCACCTCAGCCCAGCTAGTTGAGATGGTCCCATTGAATCCATCCTCTTTCTCCTTGATCCGGCAGGTGGAGGAACTCAGCCATCCCGGTTACCGGTGGCAGGATGATTTCCTTTCATCCCAACCTTTATTTCCACAGTGAAATCATCATGAAGGAGCACTGTGTTGGCATCCTCGGTAAGGAATGCCTCCCAGCATGGTAGGGGAGCTGGTGTGTGGGAGGGTGGGACTGGCATGAACCTTCCTGACTCCTCTCCCTGCAGGCTACAGGGTGTCTCATTCCACTGCAGTCCAGCGGTTCTGGGATCACGAAGGTCAAGCCTCCAGCTGCAGGCAGTACACCTCCTACCTGAGCTCATTCAGCTGTTTGGCTGAACATGACTGCCCGGGTTTTGGCAGGATTGCTGAGGTGGGGTTCGCCGTGGGGCATCATGGGAAAGGACCTAGCTGGTCATTCCTTGGTCTCTGGGGAATTGGCTTTGAACTGTCACCTGAACTGTCCTGGACCCACTTCTGCAGTCCCCTAGATCATCAGCCAGGGCCTATGGCTCAATCCATTGCAGTTCTATCCCATGGAGAGAGGGTCAGCCCTAGAGGCGGAACAGAGAGGAGGCCAGGCGAGCAGCCTAGGGCTGGGAAGGGCTGGGAACTGAGAGGCCTTTTGACCTGGATCTGGGCCCCACATGGAGAACCCAAGGATCCGGGAGGAGACTGCAGTGAGCAATCCCAGGCAATCCGTGGGTTGGGGGAGAGAGGCCCATCAGGGACATGTAACACCCACATTTCAGGATCGGGGCACCTTAAGCCACTATGATGCATATGTGGCTAAAGTCAGTGGGTGACAAGCAGGGCTTAAGGGATAGCTGTCTCATCATTACTCGCCAGCTCCCTGCCCTGCGGTAAGACCTGCTACCACCTGGGGCTCATTTTGAGATCAACCAGGGCCCCCTTTTTCTCCATGAGGATGTCCACCTGAGGCCCACCTAGGTCTGTGTCCTTTCACAGTGTTTCTCCCAGGCCAGTCATGTTTTGTTTCCATGACCCCGGCTGCCTTGACATGTGTAATCCTCTCTGCCATCCTCACTCCCGCTGCCCTGCCTTCCCATATAAGTTAGTCCACCTCACACGGAATCTGGAGGACCACACTGGGCTCCAGTGTGAGGCAATGTTTTATTTTCTTCAGGTACATGTATTTTAGGGCTACCTCCAGGGCTGGGAATGTGAAGAGATTGCCAAATGGCTGGGGACCTTCAGTGTGTGTCCAGGGAGGGAACCCGGCTGGGAATTAAGGCCCACCTGAGTAATGGTATGGACATCCAGTGTCAGTTATCTTGATAAAGGCCTGCTTTCTTACATCACCTACTATTAATATAAAAGTTAATTCCTTAGAATATTGAAAAAACAAATCTATGTATGAAGAAATATAATTTGTTCATAATTGTATGGAAAAAGCTGCCGACCGATCCATTTTCCATTACAATTCTTATGGGAGACTTGAAGGGTTTAGCAAGTTTTAAGATGCATTTCTATTCGTCTACTCCTGCCAGTTTTTATGATCATTTTTGTAATACAAGGACATGGCCTCTGGAAAGTTTTTGAGGGACTTTCAGCTTCTTTTAGGGTAGATACTTGTAAATTTTGAATTGTTTTCCCCTGCGGTTCTTTTGAGGTTACTCTTTGTACTTTCTTTGGGGGGTGTTAAATTTGTTTTCTTGTTTTGCCCTTGTGGAACTTTCGTTTTCAAGGAATTGTGTGTGTGTGTGTGTGTGTGTGTGTGTGTGTGTGTGTGTTAGATATGGGAGTTAGCCTGTGAGCATGTTTTCGAATATGGATTTTTTTTTTACTTATCAATTTTGGGGGTGTGTGTGTGTGTGTGTGTGTGTGTGTGTGTGTGTTTGTTTCTTTTCAGTTGGAGTCTCACTGTGTCATCCAGGCTGCAGTCAAGTGGCAAACTCTCAGATCACTGCAACCTCTCCCTCCAGCTTCAAAGGATTCCTCTGCCTGCTGATGCTGCTTTTCCCCCACATGAGGAGAACATGCAGACAGTTATAAAAAATTCTGTGCCTGGGTAGGTATGAAAATATAATTTCAATGAATGGTAAATTTCACAAATACAGTTTCACATTTGTATTTTGCAACATTTTGAAAATTTTAGTTGCTGACACATGAAATTCTGTGTTGACTTTCATGTTAAATGTACACTTTTGAATCAATTTCAACAGTGACAACTAGCGAAGGCCAAGCGTTAGTTCAGGAAGCTGAAAGCAGTCGTTCTGTAAAAAAAACCATATTTATTGAAGGTATATTTAGAGAGATTTTAGAAGGCTTCAGTCAATATTTTTGTTTCTGTTGCTCTGGTGTTTTATCATACAGGGACCAGACTGTAGCATCAGTAGCTATAGTTACAAGGCTACCAAAGACTCAGTGCTATAGAAATTATTATTGTGGAAATTGGCAGCCTGGCTGTCTGTTTGAGGAGACTAGAGGACTTAGGAGTTTCCACCCAAAGTACAAGGGCCTGGTTTAGTGGGTGGCCTTCTTTTGCTGAAGTAGATAAGATCCAGGAGAAGGGTGGATTCACTGTAGTAGCCAGGGCTTTGAGACTGGTAAAGCTTATTTGTCCCCTAGTGCCATTGCCAGATATTGGTCTGTGCATAAAGGCACTTCCTGGACTCGCTGACTCCTGTAAATTCAAATGTAGAATTTAGATTTAAATCCCTATTCCAACTTCTTAAACTTAGATCTAATAGGTGGGTAATAAAATATGTATTCAGAAGAAAGGGAGACGTCAGGTAGGTATATAAGCAAATCATCCTGGTCAAATACCTTCAAAAATATTACTACAAAAAATTACTGAAGATTAAACCTTAAAAAAGTTATTTTAATTGGAGAAACAGAAAAAGGTTGGAGTCATTTTAAACCCTGAGGTGTAAAGGTACTGTTATTAGATTACAGGAATTATATACAATGAATAATTTGTGGGAAGAGCAGCATACTATCTCTTTAGTATGGCTAGAGATTCATAAGCCGTGTAAGAAAACTCAGAGATTGAGAAGAAAATGTTCTCAGGGATTTTGTTCTGTTATGAAAGACTTTTAAAATGGTTTCCTACTGATCAATGATTCACTTATATTTATCACTGAGGCATATGCTATATACCCTTCTATATAGGGATGAAGTTATAGTTTCTATCATGTAGATACAAAAACATGTGACTCTGTACCACATTTGCATTAGAGCCTTTGGCATGATTAATGAAGCAAACGGTGGAACTGTCTACGTCAGGTTACAGGTGGGCACAGCTGGAAGCTTCCGTCCCTTGCACTTTAACATTTCTGCATTCTCATCTGTCTCTCCTGGAAAGAAAACGGACTATAACTATCCTAAAGGACATATGTTACATGAAGACACTAAGTATTGAGATAAGACCATGAGTTGTCTTATCAGTGTCTTGGCATTACATTTATATGTATAACTTATACAAAAAATCCAGTTTATTTTATCACGATTACATATTACATCCCACATTTATGTATTTTATTATCTTTCCAGTGACTGTTTTGTTTTGTTTTGTTTTGTTTTGTTTTGAAATCTCGTTCCACTCTGTCACTCAGTCTGGAATGCAGTGGCCTGATCTCAGCTCACTGCAACCTCCATCTCTTGGGTTCAAGGATTTTAAAAATTAGTAAAGAATTTTCAATTGAGTTAGCAGAAGTAAAAATAAACTTAAGTGGAAATAGAACAACAAAATTGTAAACACTATTTCTCAGCAATTCATAGATTATCATACTAGGAATTGAAATGTACTTAGAACTCAATGATACCGCCAATATTAAAGATTAAATCTGTGAGTAGCAAGAAAAGTGATATTACAATAGGAGTTTACAGACAAATATTTCTCTAATAACTTGAAAATTAATGTACTAGATATTTCAATAAAGAATTAGAAAAGAAACAACAGAATCAATTCTGAAAAACTAAAGTGTGGGAATAATGATGTAGACAAAATTAGTAAAACATACAAAGCTAACCTTTGCTTGTTGGAGAAATATAATAAATGATGCAACCGTCAGTCAAGTTTAGAAAAAAAGGGAGAAAACATAGATAAAACTAAGAATTTAAAAGGTACACAACCATAGATACAGCATAGATTAAGAAGCTAATAAGGAAATATCGTTAACACCTTAACCTACAAATTTGAAAACTTAGATCAAATAGACAGATATTTATAATCTGTCTCTATATATAGACATATATATCGCTTTCTATATATATTTTCATATTTATACATAATTTTTATATTTGTATCTTACATTTATATATATAATATATAAACATAAGCTATGTATATAGCTTAGTAAAATTGATACAAGAAGACATATATAATCTGTATAGTCTCATAAATGTTCAAGGAAATAAAGGATTCTTCCTAGAGATAAAACGCTAGGCTCAGATTTTTTTCCCCAGGCAGAGCATTTCAATATATATGAAGAATTCTATAGAATAAAAAAGGGAAAATCCTAAACTCATTGTGTGAAGCAAGCAGAACTTTGACGCCAACAAGCCATAAACTGAGTGTAGAAAAAGATATGAAAATTAAGGCCATTCTCATTCCTGAAGCAAATCGTAAAATCCCAAATGTAACAAGATTTATGTGGATTCTTTGAGGGTTAGAAGGAAATTTCCTTCTGCCAGATCCTGCTACTCTGGGACAACCCACACACAAATTTATGTTTTGAGATTTTCTGTAATACCCATGCAATATGGAACTGGCTTGACAATCTGTGTGATAGCCAGCCTGTGGCCATGACTTCTCAGGGACACAAATCTTTTCTGTTTGCCTCCTTGTTCTGCTCAGCTCCAAGAGAACTTTGACCAAAGTTCCTTGAGCTTGGAAATAGGAATGGGTTTGCTTCTGTTTCACCCTTACTGTGAAGATACAGTCCGGTGGAATCCAGATCCACTGGGAGAGAGTCGGCTATTAAACTCTTTTCATGAGTAGTCCCTAGGCCTTGACTGGAGTCTTTCTTGAGATATGAGGCTAATAGTTCCTTCTTGGTCCACCACTTTTTGATATAATTAATGCTTCTTCTATTGGGAATTTTTAATTGTTTGGGAAGTGACATGGTTTGGTGTGTCTCCATTCAAATCTCAGCTTCAATTGTATCTCCCAGAATTCCCTCGTGTTGCGGGTGGGACCCAGGGGGAGGTAATTGAATCATGGGGGTCGGTCTTTCTCATGCTATTCTTGTGACAGTGAAGAAGTCTCACGGGATCTGATGGGTTTTTCAGGGGTTTCTGCCTCAGGTTCTTCCTCATTCTCTCTTGGCATTGCCATGTAAGAAGTGCCTTTATTCGTATACCATGATTCTGAGGCCTCCACAGCCATGTGGAACTGTCAGTCCAATTAAACCTCCTTTTATTCCCAGTTTCAGGTATCTCTTCTTCAGCAGCGTGAAAATGAACTAAGACAGGAGGTTTGGTCCAAATAACCTTGGCTTCCATGACAGAAGATAGAAGTTGCTGAAATGTTTAATCTTTTCTGTGGCAACCTTTTGCAGTGGGTCTTATTTTTCTCATTTTTTTTTTCTTGTTCTCTTCACCTTTGTTTCTCACAGGGTACTCTCGCTCTGTAGACCAGGCTGGAGCGCAGTGGCAGGATCTCAGCTCAACACATCCTCCGCCTCCCAGGTTCAGCCTCTGCAGTAGCTGGGATTACAAGCATGCATCACCACGCTCAGCTAATGTTTTGTATTTTTAGTAGAAGCCAGGCTTCACCATGTTGGCCAGGCTGCTCTCCTACTACAGATCTCAGGTGACCCGCCCGACTCAGCTTCCCAAAATCCAAAGTGCTGGGAATACAGGTGTGAGCCACCGAGCCCAGCCAACTCCAGTACTTTTTACCTAAGCCAGTGGACGAGTGGAGTTGCCTTTATTTTTTTTTTTTTCTTTTTTCAGTCATGGTCTCGCTGTGTCATCCAGGCTGGAGTGCAGTAGTCTGATCTTGGCTTACTATACAATCTCTGCCACCCATGTTCAGGTGGTTCTCCTGCCTCAGCCTCCCAAGTAGCTGGGACCACAGGAAAGTGCCACTAGGTCTGGCTAATTTTTGTATTTTTGGTAGAGACAGCTTTTTGCCATGTTGCCCATGCTGGTCTCCAACTCCTGACCTCAAGTGACCCACCAACCTCGGCCTCCCAAAATGTAGAAATTACAACAAGAGCCACGAAGCCTGGCCTGGAGTTGTGGCTTTTTGACATAAGAAATCTGTGGAGGGAAAAGCTTGGTTTGTGGGAGCACCCGAGCTCAGTTTGGCTCAAAGGTTTGGGATACCTATTATTGAGTGGCAGTGATGGTATGTTGTTAATGTACAATATGTTCCTGTATATAGCATACGTCTATGCTCATCAGATATTTTCAGGTAAAAAAAAGATAGTCTTTCCAGTAGTTTGAGCCATTATAGCAATTTCCACCAGGGGATTTCAAAGTCCAATTCCAGTTGTGGGCAACAGTGATTAACATAATGGTAATTAATGAGAAGAGATTTTGAGACGTCCAGCCACGTTTCCATGTCAGTGCCTTGTTTGCAGTATTATGAAGAAAGCGTGCATTGGACTAGATACTAAGAAAAACATTGAATTATTTTTCTTGCCTCTATAACATCAAAGGACAATTAGAGATATAGAAACTATGGAACATTTCACAGCATGGCTTGACATTTCACTGAACGTTTATCCTTTTAACCATGTACAAAGTTTGTTACCTATGCAAAGGTAGGACTGCAAAAGGAAGACAGAGGTGGAGTCAGAGGTCACAATCCACAGCAAGGTGACACTCTTGTTGATCGCACCTTGAAAGCCAAATTAGAGCGAGAATTAACTTTCCGGTTGCCGTAAGAGAACAAGGAGAATGAAGCTACCAGCAGTTAACAGTATTGGATTAATTGAAATGAAGGTGGACAGAGTTTTTTGGCTTTCCATCAAATTGAGTAAAGAAAAGGTAACCGCTTATCTAATTTCACACACATACAATTATGGATTAATTAAAAGATTACACAACCCATATATTATGGGTTTCTCATATAAGTGTATATATACATGGGCAAACTCACAGTGTGCCAGTATGTGTCTATATCCAAATATATACAAATCCATGTCCAACAGTTAGCAAGTGAGAAATTCTCTTCCATTTCACCATTCCCTTTCCTAGAATTTTTTCATAAATATAATTTTTCCATATATTTGAAGCCTACTCTCTGGAGGCATGTAATGCATGCATGCAGTAAACCTGTGCGATATCACAATGTTGGTGTCAGAGAAAACTATAACACCGATGTTATAAAAGATTAATTGTGAGGAGAAAGTTATGCTTCGCATTACTACAAATACACAAGTATGATTTCATCCAAAGCTGAAATCAGTCAATATAATTTGTTTTTAATGTTTTATTTAAAATCCTTAATTTCAACAGGATTACTCAAGAAAAATAACGTTATTGGTATTAAATAATGTTGACGTATTCCCTTTAATTGTTGATTATTTAAAATGTCAGTAAAATAGTAAATGGCACTGTACAATGTAGTTTCATGAAGCATTCTTTATAGTTTTCATAAAATTGATAGTCTCCATGGAATATTTTAAGACTGAGGAAGTTCCATATATCATTTGATTGTACTTTCACTTTATTACTTGCTTGCATGTCATAACTGATGGAAATAAAACTATGTATATTTACAAATATGAAAAACATGGATTTTTGTTTACGTTTTCTAGTGAGACACAGTTACCAATAATTTTATCTATATAGGAAAATTTTTACAAACCCAAAGTTCTAATGTTTCTTTTCTTTGAAGTTTCGTATTTCAGTCTAGGTATGTAATGGAATTGGCTGTGATCATTCTTTGATTTCACTGTTATTTGTGAGTTTCTGATATGCTTTTAGGAATGAATAGAGTTTAACGCTTGCTTTCTTCTTCTTCCTCTACCTTTGGACCTGTATATGCGATGTCTGCAGTAATGTGCAGTGCTATCTGACATACGGTTGCTGAAAGATACAAGCATATATAGAATTCTTCGTTTCAGTGAATCTTTAGGAACAGACAAGTAACCTGAGAGATAATTACGGTATGAATGTAAGCAAGCAGTTTATCATAGAGGTACAATAAGGGTGAAAATAAATTTAAAAATACATGCCTCATCCAAAACATGAGGTAGTAAAAATGAAAAAATTTAAGTTGGCATAAAGAACACTTTAAAAGTTCTGATTCTTTCTGGTGAGAGCAAGGAGCTCAGAAACCATGAGAAAGTCCTTCAAAGCTGCATGTTGGATTTGCAGGTCAGGATGGAAAGCCTGGGTCTGGGGGAGGGCGCTAAGGTCCTGGTCAGGTTGAGGTCCTTCTGGGGCTCAGGTGTGTCTCAGCGGGAAAGCTGGGAAGGGGAAACGCATGCTTCACCCCGGCTAGAATGCCACCTCAGCCCACCTAGATGAAATTGCCCCTTCACAGCCCTGTTTCTCCTTCTTGGACAGGCAGGTGGAGGAACTCGGCCACCCTGAATACAAGGGGTAGGAAGAAGTTTGCCTTTCATCACAACATTTACTTCGGAAACAAAGTGATGACTAAGGAGTATTGCATTGGCATCCTCCCTGAGGAGTAGAGGGGGTAGTACCTCGGGAGCTGGGCCTGGCGTGCGCCTTCCTGACTCGTCTCCCTCCAGGATACAGGGTGACTGGCTCCACTGCAGTCCAGTGGTTCTAGGGTCATGCAGGTGAAAGCCCGAGTTTCCCGCAGGTCACTGCCTGAGCTTCTTCAGCTGGTTGTCTGACTGTGAGGGCCCAGGTTACGGCACGATTGCTGAGGTGGGGCAGCTATGGGGCATCATGGCAAAGGACCTTCTTCGACATTCCTTGGCATCGGAGGAATTGGCTTTGAACCAGAACCTGACCTGTCACGACCAATTTGCCCAGTCCACCAGATCATCAGCCAGGGCCTGTGGCTCTATATTCTGCAGCACTACCCAAGGGAGTTAGGCCCTCAGAGAGGGAACAGAGAAGAGGCCAGGGAAGCAGCCCAGGGCTGGGGGTTGACAGGCCTGTGGGTCCTGGAGTTAGGACACACATAGAGAAGCCAAGGCTCAGGGAGGAGACTGCAGTAAGGAAACTCAGGCCATCATGGGCTGGTGGAGAAATGCCCATTAGGGAACGGTGGTACCCACATTTCACGATGGGGGAACCGTAATCTGCTTAATAGGCATAAGTAGCTAAGGTCAATGGGTGGGAAGCCAGGGTCAAGAGATAGCTGCCTCATCATCCCTTGCTAGCTACTTCCCTGTCCTGAGGCTTGCTTCTACCTGGGGTTCAGTTTGGGCTCAACCAGGGATCTCTCACCCTCCACACAGATGCCCACCTGAGGCCTCTCTAGGTCTGCGTCCTCCCAGAATGACTCTCCCAGGCCTGCTAAGTACCGTTTGGATGACACCACGCTCCACTGACATGCTTGGTTCCCTCCGCCATCCTCATTCACCCAGCAACTCCCCACCCCAAAAAAGGCAGGCCACCGCACAGGGAATCTGGAGGACCACACAGGGCTCACAGGGGAGGAAATGTGAAGAGATGGCAAAACAGAACAGGACATTCCGTGTGTTTCCAGAAGGCAATCTGGCTGGATATTAAGGCCCACCTCAGTATTGGTGAGGACACCCAGTGTCTCTTGGCCCTGAGCTTGTGCACACAAACACGCACATTGTCTAAACGGCATTGACATCACTACTACCTGAGTCATCCTCAGATTCTATACAACCCCTGTAAAAATATCAATGACACATTCTTCTTAGAAAAACAATCTGGGAATCCCAAATTTGCTATGAAATGGCAGAAGATCCTGAAAACCCAGAGCAATCCAGTAAAAAGCACAAAGCTGGAGCCACCACACTACCTAACTTCATGATATACTACTACAAAACTTTTTGTACCAAAATACAATAGCACTGGCAGAAAAGCAGAGACTAGAGCTTAGGAAAAACAACAGGAGCCCAGAACTAAGTCACTGCATTTGCAGCTCACAGCCTTTTCCCAAAGAAGCAAGAACGCCCAATGCAAAATCAAGTATCTTCTATAAACTAGGTTGGGGAAATCTGAATAGCCACACAAAGGATTTTACAAGTGGATTATTTATCACCAAACTCCAGTGTCAGATGTGAAACGATAAAAATAGCAGAAGAGATCACAAGGAAGAAGCTCCATGGCGTCCGTGTGTGCAATGATGGTCTCAAAGTGACTGCAAGAACACAGTAAACACCATCAAAAATAGAGAATGGAATCATATCAAACTAAAGTGCTTCACCACACCATAGAAAACTCAACATACAGAAGGGGCATCCTACAGGATGGGAGCAATGATTGGATCACCATACATCTGTTCATGGGGGAATAGTCACAGTACATAAGGAACTCCCAACAACTCAATAGCATGAAAACAAATGGGCGAAGGCTGCGAAGACTCATTTGTGAAACTGAGACATACAGTTGCCCAGAAGACACACTAAAAATTCCTCATTATCCCCAATCCATCACGAAAATGCAAATCAAAAACACAATGAGATTTCTTCTCACTTCAGTCAGAATGCATATTATCCGAAAGACAAACAAACAAAAAAAAAAAAAGAAAGAAAAGAAAACCCTAATCTCTGGTGAGGAGGCAGAGAAAACGAATTCCCTGCTCACTTTTGGGGAGAATGTAAATTAGTGCTGGCATTAAAGAAGCTTTATGGCTCTTATTTAAGTATAAACAGCCTTCAGAAATCTACAAGTAGAACCACCCACTATATGATCCAGCAAATCAGAATACCCGGGCACGCCCGCCAGTACACAGATCAGTATGTTGAAGCGGTGCGCGCACCCATGCAATTATTGCTGCACTCATTACATTTTTGCTGTAGCCAAAATGCGGAAGCAACCTGAGTGTCCCTCCATTGATAAGTGGATTAAAAAATGGGGCAAAAACGCATATGCGCAACGGAAATATGCGCTGCAATAAGAAATCAGGAAATCCTGCCAGTTGTGAGAATGTGTGGGAATCTGCTGAATGTGTGCATGCCATTCTGTTAAGTGACATAAGCCAGGTATCAGAAAGGAAAATAGCACATGATCTCATTCTTATATGAAATCAAAAAAGCGGACTTCACAGAAGTAGTGACTCCAATGACTGCGGTGAAGAGGGTGCACTGACGAGATGCTGGATGAAGAACTCATACTTCTAGTTATAAAGGAGGAATAGGTTAAAATATTTTCTTCAGCATGCTCACTATAACTAGTGGTAACATATTCTTTCTCTAAAAATATTCGAATACAGTGCAGGTCAAGTTTTTTCACAACAAAAATGACAACTATGTGAGGTCACACATATGTTGATTGGCTGGATGTATCCAATGCATAATGTATATGACCTGTTGAACATCACGCCTTAAGTTGTAAATATGTATCATTTCATATGACATTTTTTAAACAAACATACAATTTTTAAAATGCCTTAACAAAATAAATGCAAATAAAATATTTTATTATAAAGCAGTGCTTTTCTTTTCTAGCAAAGTCTTTTTCATGACACAGGAAAGAATGCAAGCCGTTTCGTAACTTGAGAAATAAATACATATGTGTACATGTATATATATACGTATATACATGTATATACGTATATAAATGTGCATATATACGTATATACATGTATATACGTATATATGTGTGTACATAGGTATTCTTATATAGGTATGTATATATATATATATATATATATATATATGAAAATCCCAATGAATGCTGATGATGAGTTGAAAGATAGAAATTCCAGGCACAGAGGCTATAGTCCATGAATTGAAACCTTCAGTGCATGTTTCAAAACAAGACGTGAGGAGGAGGAAGAAAAAAGCAAAAAACACAAAGCCATGGCAGGGCCATGGGTCACACCTGTCATCCCAGCACTTTGATAAGCTGAGGTGGGAGGATTGCCTGCACTCAGGAGTTCCAGATGAGCCTGGGGCAACATGGACCCACATTCAAAAAGTAAGTATTTAGTTAATTAATACATAGCTTGGAGGGGTGGCATGCACCTGTACTGCCAGGTGTGTGAGAGTCTGAGTTGACAGGATCACATGGGTGTGTGGTGCCTGGGCTGCAGTGGGCTGAGATCGTGGGGCTGCTGTCCAACCTAGAAGACAGAGTAAGACCCATTCTCGGAAAACAAACAAAAAAACAGTCACATTAGGTAAATTAAAACTATGTAGTGTGAGGAGAATCAAAATAAACGAAACATCATTAGAGCCTACGCGATGTGATGAAGGAAACCAGCTTTCACATAATAACAGCCCCGGCTGGGGAGAACAATGAGAAAGGGCAGAGAGAACCCTGTAAATAATACCACGCCAAATTCCCCAAATGAGTTAAAACACATAAAAGTACGAAGAGTGCTTCTTTTCAATTCAATGCCCTTGAATTCAGAATTAGAAAGTAAACCCAGATAGAGAATAGAAACATAGACGATACAGATGGAGAGAGTGTGGTGGGGAAGCAAGGGAAGGATGAAAGGAGGGGTGTAAAGGAAGGAAAAGAAAAAAGGAAGGGAGAGAGAGTGACAGATGTTCAAAGACACAGATACAAAGTCTACAATGGTTGTAGAGATAGGCATGTGCAAATTGCCGCAGGGAGTGTGGAAAAATATCGGAACCACGGAGACATAGGTGGAGTCAGAGAAAATATACAAACCCGCACAGAGAAATAAACATACGCAACCACAAACACACACGTGCTACTTTAAACACGAAAAGACACCAAGTCCCTGTCGGTACAAATCACAGATGTGCTTCCGAGTTACTGAGGCACGGTGCAAATTTGTCAGTGCCCTTAGCATCTGTGGCCCACGTGCACGGATATTCAGTGGAAGAAGCATTACACAGCCTGTATAATTCAGCACGATCTGTGATAATACCAGAAGAAGGGATCTCATGTGAAATCACTAGACTGAATTGCACGTAGGATTCAAGCAAGAAGCCCAGTCTGCTGCATCGACTCCGTGGGGTGGCAATATGGCTGAGCCACCAACCCATGGCACGCCCATCCATCGTAGACAGCTCCTGGTTTGCTACCTGCCTTGGAAAAACCTCCTCCCCTACCACCACTTTAAAAAAGGCTAGCTCCAAAACTAGCCCTGGCATCTATTTACGGTCATTTTCTTATCTATTTACCTCCTAGAAAAATCATTGCAAGACCCTTTCCTCAACATTTTCCTATGCCTTAAATTTGGGGCAACACGTTTTAAGACGACCTCGTTATAGGCAAGTCCCCAGACGTTTCCTAATCTGAGTTGCCCAGAGTGCACACACCAATCTGTTGCCCCATTGCCGCTATAGGGATACCGTACTGGACCACAGTGTCTTTGACATGCACACAGTAGGATAGAGGGCAGCTTGAGGGGGCCAAAGTGTTCCGACTGTTTTCAGAATAATTTGCTTAGAACACCTGTTTCTCCTGTGTTTGTGGGTCAGGGGGACGGTAGTCAGAGGAGGACAAGACTCCCGCTCCAGAGCTTCAGAGGTCTGCATAGGAGCAGGGACAAAACCGGGCGATAGATTTTCAAAGCTCAACTGCTTTGACACCGAGCAGGAGGTGTAGAATGCATATTGCAGGCACCACAACAGATTCAGGAACTTTGACTGTCAAACCCTCTTCCCTGAAACAACATAGCTCTTCTCACAGAAGCTGTGCTGACTGGAGTCTATACGGGACAGCAATGTTAGCACTCTAGTAGCGTGTGGTCAACATGGATGCTCGTGTTGGAACTGTTTCATCTGGGAACAGGAAAGAAAGTTCTGCCTCCGACACTGAAATCCTCCTGCCCCATCCTTGACAGAGGCAACCCCTTGTCTTGTGCAGACACACGTGTTCCTGGGAAGCAGCCTCCCACTCGCGAATGAAAGCTGTATGTTTTGTCCTCCTGTGTGAGGCTTGCAAAACATATTCCGCAACTATATTCACTTTACGTTCTAAACCTTAGGCAAACTATGCTGAAGAGGCCACAGAAAATTTAGGGGCCCTGGGTCCAGATACAATCTGCAGTGCCAATCACGAGGGAGAATAGAGCCTCACTAGACTTTGCAAGAGCACAAAATGCACTCGTACTGTTGTTAGCTACATACGTTATTGGCTCCTCACCTAACACAGAATCTTGGAGAAAAGCTTAAAACAACTAAAGATGTAAACATCAACAAGAGTGTCCATATCCTGGGTCATCAAGTGACAAGAGAGTCCATGGATGGATTCTCCAACAATCTTATATTCCACTAATCCACCCCCTTTCCCCTCACTTCTGTAAGTTTCTGTTTTCCCTTAGTCATGTCTGCCAAAAGCGTATCCTGAATGCCTTCCCACATGCCTCTGTCACCTTTCCCACAGTCCCTCCATACACCTTGCATGCCCATTTCTTCTCACGTTGATGTTTCAGAAGTCCTGAGAGGCTGATTGTCCCAGAAAAGGATCATGCATTCACCTTTAAAAGAACATGTGGATTCAACACGAAAGCGAACTTTAAGATTTCCATCATCCTGTGCTTAGCTACTGTGTATGATGATACCCAAAATGAAGGATTTTGGAGGTCCCAGCAAACTGGGCCCTGGAAACCCAGTAACCCCTTTCCTTGAACTATCTCTGCTTCCATAGGACGAAGTCAGCCTCCAACTAAGCTGTCTTTTGCTTTTACCTCTCCCACTCTGTCCTGTAGGAAGAATCCCAACACATCCCACACCCATTCACTCTACAACTTTAGAGGCCCAGCTCCAACGCAGACTGGTTATTTCCATGAAGAGAATAAAGCACGTGGATTGATCAATTCATTATGACACCCGAATAAAGTGGATAAACATACACACACACACACACACACACACACACACAAACACAAAGACACACACACACACACAGACACAGAGTCACACATCCTTGAGAATGTTTATTTTTCATTCCATACAATCCACATTTACCCCCTCTTCCTGAATTTTTGTGACTCGATCTCTTTTTCCTTTAGTTCCTGTGCATAAGACCATGCTGAGTACTGCCGTCCTGCATATGGCTGTAACTTTTTAGGAGTTCTGCTGTATTAGGTAAAATCTGATGCTCCATCATATTCAACTCAACAACTGGGAGTCCCCTAGAGAAACACAAACTCATGTTAAAACGCATTTTCTCTGAGCCATACTTTGAAATGTTTCAATTGTGGGGCCCGCTGAGAAAAGGATATCCCTTCCCCATTTGTGATCCCTTAAACTTCCTCCTACCACGTGTTACAAACTGTTCTGCGCAATCCCTGCCCCATTCCCAGTATTGTCTGTGAGGGGAGTCAGCTAACAAGATGCACTGGACCCTAAAAGCACACACAAGTCTGATGGGGCAACAGCTTAAGGAAATCCATCAATCTAAACAGTCCTTTGTGGTTTGGGGCAAGGATGACCAGGACGCACATTCAGGGAGCCCAATCTCATGGGGTTGGCGGGATGACTGCCGGTGGGGTTGACAGCCGTGGAATCAAGTGCCACAGACTGAACTGAATGATTTTCAGCTTTACTTCTCATTGATTCTGGAAATGGACGATTCTTCACTGGGCTTAAGACTCCACAGCTATCACCCGCTTTGCAGTGCAGTCTCTAACGTGCCTTTTCAGCCCAATGCCATGAACGTCCTGGATTCTGTCACTCTCTGTCTTCCTCTCAAGGAATTTCTACATGTACGAAAGGAGCCTCAATTTCTACATTTCTGAAATGAGCACCCAGGCTCCCTGAATAGGCAGGTGTGTCAACCCCCTTATACTGGGCATCAAACAGCTCCAGTGCCAACTAACGGCTCACCTGACGTCTCTGTTCCCTCTTCAGGTGGCTTCATCCTCTTGTAGTATTGCAGGGGATTGCGCCACAGGTCCTTACATAGGATCTGTCAGGGGACTCAATCGGGAAAGGCCTCATCAGGGCTCAGAAAGGTGACCCAAGCAGCTGGGAACACATGGGGTCATTCCTCATGTTTCCCAGTGAGGACTCACCTCAGCAATCTTGTTAGATCCTGCGAAGTTGTGGTCAGAGAACCAGTTGAAGAAGTTAAGGCTGCTGTTGTGGTGTCTGCGGCGATAGGCCTCCACTTCATAATCCGGATACCACTCAATTGGAGTGGAATGAGAAGCCCTGTATTCTACAGAGACAGGAGTTTTTGTGGGAAGGGGGCTGGATCCCGTTGGCAATGATCCACCCACCATCTTCCTTCCACTACCCATCCTGGGAGCCACCTGTCACCTGTGATGTTCACCAGATATTCCTTGGTAATCACTTTATTCTGGAAGTAGGGGTTACTCCGAAAGAACAACATGATCTTGCAGAGATGAACAGGATGCTTCTCTTCTTCCACCTGTCAGGACAAGGTGGAGAAAGCTTAGATAGGTTTTCGGGTGAGGTGCTCACTCTTGCTTACAGGAATGAATTATTTCCCTTACCCTCCCCCGCTAAACCCTCTAGCCCCAGTCTTCCTGGCCTCACCTCCAGGCTGACCATGTAGCTCAGCATGTCTTCATCTTCGTCAGTGATCAGGGCTGACATCTGGGGGTGGTTTGCAATCTGATTTAGGTCAAAGAGACTTTACACACGATGGAAGGGAAAGCGAGGAGCAACAGGGAAGAAGGCCTAAGAGCACCCAGAGGCTGGGGTAGGGGATTTCTCAGATCTGCTTCCATGTATGATCTCCTTTCGCCTCCCCCTCCCCGTAAACTAAGGCCTCCTGTGTTCACAGAGGGTGTATGATTCTGAGGCTGACTGCACTGACATGGGGAGGCGCGATTTGCAGAGACTTGCTGGTGTCTGAGGAGTGGCAGAATCTGCTTATAGCCGAAGACGCCCAGTCCCAGATCGGACTAGCAAGGGGCAGCAATCACACTCCCTTAAAAATAGCTTCATTCACTGAAAAACCTCTTCCGCTCTGAACTCGCTTCTGCTCTTCAAAAAGATGCCCCAAACGTCTGCTGCTCGGCATCACCAAGGGTTTCTCTGCCGCATGCAGGACAATAGTACCCACGCCTGCTCCGGCTTTCCACAGCCACACTGGTCCGTGGCAACTCCCCTTTGTTCCCCAAAGAGTCACATCGACGCCGAGCTGCCCATCGGTCACTTACACTTCCCCGAGAGCACCTCTCCACTAGAAAGGCCGAAGAAACACTGAGAAGGATACAACATTGGCCCAGAAGCCAGGGACGCTCTGGATGACGGCGCCTCTGCGGTCTAGGTGGGGCTTGCGCCTCCGCTCCATCTTTTCCCGCTGCCGAGAAAAGGCCTTCCTGGCTTGGGCATTAACCGGCTCCAGCTCCACCTGAACGGCCAGCAGCTCCTCCAGTGCAGACTCTGGGGTCATGGGCCCAGGGCCAGGCACAGCCTGCTGTGCCCGCTGGGCCTCCTCCCGCCGCTCCACGAGGCCCTCCTCCTCCGCCACCACCTCCACCTCCGCCACCACCTCCACCTCCGCCATTATGTCATCCAACAGCAGCACCGCCTCCTCCCCCAAAGCCGCCTGCTCACTCTCCACCCCGGCCGCCCCCTCCTGTACAGCCTCCATCCTGAAGGCGGTGCCCTCCTTGGCACTCGCACACACCAAGGCCTGTGCTGCCCGACCCACGCCACAGAAACCCTGCCGCAGCCTCTCTGGCACCCGGTAGGTCAGCGAGCCCTCAGGGCGCATGCGCCGGGCTTCCAGGCGCCCCCTAAGGGACTGCGCGCGAAGGGCCGGGGGGCCGCACCCAGGCCGACTTCCTCCCGTCGTGGCCAGTCAATGGGAGGGCGGTGGGCGTCTCCCTGGGCGGCACAGCCACTGGCGGGCCTGCATCTCCAGCCCCCCCAACCCCCGCCTTCCCTGCCCAAGCCTCCTCCGAGAAGCCCTTGGAGCTTGTGCC
Source organism: Homo sapiens (assembly GCF_000001405.40). NCBI lineage: Eukaryota > Metazoa > Chordata > Mammalia > Primates > Hominidae > Homo > Homo sapiens. Next base: position 204,580 of record NW_025791821.1, on the reverse strand, counting down.
GGGTAGCTAGGCATCCGGGCACACGCGGGCTGCGTGGCCTTTGGAATTGTGGGCATGGCAGCCCTGTGCCCTGACATCCTCAGTGTGGCAAGCCATGAACATCTCTATGTGTCATGAACACAGGAAACATCTCTCTTCGTTAGGCAGGCCAGGTAGATGGTACGGAGGTAATACAGCAGATGCAGAGAACTCTCTCTGGTTGCTGGGGCTAGGGCGGCAGGGGTGTCCTGGGGGAAGTGATCGGGGCGGGCACGTGGGAGGAAAGTCGCCTGCCGGTGCTGAGGTGGAATTGATCTGCTGTAGAGGCCAGAGCCCCGGCACACACTCTCACAGGTCGAGGCAAATAGAGGCTCCGAGTACCATGCTTCCTCCCTGAGGATGCTGTACTCCAAGGAGCATTCCAAAGGGCCTCTTGTCCTATGCCCTGGGCACACCAGAGGCCAGCCGCCAGGGTTGGCCATTGTCGGCCTGCGCGCACGCTGTTGTGCGCTGCCTTGACGACCCAGAGGCTCCCGCACCCGCAGCAGCGGTTGCGGTGCCTGTTGGTGGGGCTCTGCAAGCCCAGGGCCGGGGCCTCTGGCTCCCGAGCTCCTGTGCGCAGTTGAGCCTGCTGGGGACCGGAGCCCTTTGGCCAGTGCGGGATCTGCGGGTCCAGCGGAGCTCCTCAGGAAACCTGGGTCCACGTAGGTGTGGGACCAGGTTCACAGCAGGGCGACGCCCGTGGGTCTTGCAGGGAGCGGGTCTGCTGGGGAGCGGGCCCCCAGAGCCTACGGGTGCGGGGCATGGGCTGGGCTGGGCTGGGCTGCGCAGGCCCAGGGTCTGTGGGAGCACCCAGGAGAAAACCGTGTTCAGGCTGGAGGCAATGCTGGAGAGGACGGCCGGGGTACAGAGCAAGGAGGCGGCCTTGGAAGAGGAGGCGGTGCTGAAGGTGGAAGACATCATGGCTGAGGTGGAGGTGGTGGTTGAGGTGGAGCCCGACGTGGGGTGGCAGAAGGAGGGCCAGCGGGCACAGCCTGGCCCTGGACCGAGCACACCGGGGCCGTCAATGGACTCGCTGGAGGTCCTTCACTTGGAGCTGGGCTCCGTGAATGCCCCAGGCCACAGAGCATCTCCGCCTTGTGAGCCAGAGCCATATCCTTGCGGCTGCCGATTTGGGATGGCGGGCAGCAGGGGATAGTCATCGGGCCTCGGGGGGTATGGGGGCTGTTTGGGGGGAGGAGCCAGGTGGGAGGCGCGTGGGGTCAGCCAGGAGGCAGGGGATGGGGGACAGCGTGGGAGCCGAGGCCACGTTCCCGCAGCTGTGAGGGCAGCTCGCTTGTAGCAGCCCTGGGAGCACGTGGTAGGGAAGGGGAGCCAGGGCCAGCACTGACAAGGGAGAATCGCGGCGCCAAGGTCCCTTTGCGCACAGCCCAAATTCGAAGGACACGTTTCCCTGGGAACGTCCCTGGAGGACGGGGAATCTGTATGCCATTACCAGCCATTGAACCACCCCTGCTCTCGGTGCCTGTTTCCAGCAGGCTCACCCCAGAAACACAAGGTGCTTAAGACGGGTTCGCGGCGCATGGGGCTGCCGACCACCTGACGGCGGGCACCAGCTCCGCAGATGCGCATTCTTCCAACTGCAGGCGCTGCACTCAAAGGGGTGTAGGCCCTGAGCCTGTATAACTTCCTCTGGACCCACGCAATTCCCTTGGAGAGCGCCAGGCACGACCCTGCTGTGGCTTCTAACTACAAGGCTTCCCTCAGGTGGACAGGCCCACCCCTCAGGGAGACTAGGATAAGAGGACACCACACACCCGGACATCAGCGGAGCATGTCCAGCACCCAGCACACAAAGGCCTCCTGCATCTCAGAAACCCAGAGAAGCAGCCGCCTCACACCACCCCCCGCCCCTCCCGTCCCTCAGCTGCAACCACCTGCCCACTTTTTCTGCCTCCGGTCTCTGGTCAGCCCAGGCCGTCTTGGCCGGGGTCCACCCACTCCAAAAACCACCACAGTTGTGGCGTTGCCTCCTCCCCAGACAGAGATAGAGGGCCAACAATGAAGGGTGACTGGCCAAATGTCTGGGAGATGGCCCTGTTCCACATTGTCTGTGTTCTTGCGAAATTGCAAGGCGTCACGAGGCTTGCCCACCCAATCCTCTGGAGAGTTCTTGCGCAGAGGTAGATTGTTTGGCACACGAGATGTCGGCGTGGGTCAGAAAGCATGCGGAAGTCCTGCTTTGCTACGTGATGGATTTGCAGGTCAGGCTGGGGAGCCTGGGTCTGTGGGAGGAGTCCAGTGTCTGAGTCAGTTTGAGGTCCCCCTGGGACCAGGGTCGTCTCAGTGGCAGAGCTGGGAAAGGGAAACTCATGGCTCACTACAGCAAGTAGGCCACCTCAGCCCAGCTAGTTGAGATGGTCCCATTGAATCCATCCTCTTTCTCCTTGATCCGGCAGGTGGAGGAACACAGCCATCCCGGTTACCGGTGGCAGGATGATTTCCTTTCATCCCAACCTTTATTTCCACAGTGAAATCATCATGAAGGAGCACTGTGTTGGCATCCTCGGTAAGGAATGCCTCCCAGCATGGTAGGAGAGCTGGTGTGTGGGAGGGTGGAACTGGCATGAACCTTCCTGACTCCTCTCCCTGCAGGCTACAGGGTGTCTCATTCCACTGCAGTCCAGCGGTTCTGGGTTCACGAAGGTTAAGCCTCCAGCTGCAGGCAGTACACCTCCTACCTGAGCTTATTCAGCTGTTTGGCTGAACATGACTGCCTGGGTTTTGGCACGAGTTCGGAGGTGGTGTTTGCCGTGGGGCATCATGGGAAAGGACCTAGCTGGTCATTCCTTGGTCTCTGGGGAATTGGCTTTAAACTGTCACCTGAACTGTCCTGGACCCACTTCTGCAGTCCCCTAGATCATGAGCCAGGGCCTATGGCTCAATCCATTGCATTTCTATCCCATGGGGACTGGGTCAGCCTTAGAGGCGTAACAGAGAGGAGGCCAGTCGAGCAGCCCAGGGCTGGGAAGCGCTGGGAACTGAGAGGCCTTTTGACCTGGATCTGGGCCACACATGGAGAACCCAAGGATCCTGGAGGAGACTGCAGTGAGCAATCCCAGACAATCCATGGGTTGGGGGAGAGAGACCCATCAGGGACATGTAACACCCACATTTCACGATCGGGGCCCCTTAAGCCACTATGATGCATATGTGGCTAAAGTCAGTGGGTGACAAGCAGGGCTAAAGGGATAGCTGTCTCATTATCATTCGCCAGCTCCCTGCCCTGCGGTAAGACCTGCTACCACCTGGGGCTCATTTTGAGATCAACCAGGGCCCCCTTTTTCTCCACGAGGATGTCCACCTGAGGCCCACCTAGGTCTGTGTCCTTTCACAGTGTTTCTCCCAGGCCAGTCATGTTTTGTTTCCATGACCCCGGCTGCCTTGACATGTGTAATCCTCTCTGCCATCCTCACTCCCGCTGCCCTGCCTTCCCATATAAGTTAGTCCACCTCACACGGAATCTGGAGGACCACACTGGGCTCCAGTGTGAGGCAATGTTTTATTTTCTTCAGGTACATGTATTTTAGGGCTACCTCCAGGGCTGGGAATGTGAAGAGATTGCCAAATGGCTGGGGACCTTCAGTGTGTGTCCAGGGAGGGAACCCGGCTGGGAATTAAGGCCCACCTGAGTAATGGTATGGACATCCAGTGTCAGTTATCTTGATAAAGGCCTGCTTTCTTACATCACCTACTATTAGTATAAAAGTTAATTCCTTAGAATATTGAAAAAACAAATCTGTGTATGAGGAAATATAATTCGTTCATAATTGTATGGAAAAAACTGCTGACTGATCCATTTTCCATTACAATTCTTATGGGAGACTTGAAGTGTTTAGCAAGTTTTAAGATGCATTTTTATTCTTCTACTCCTGCAGTTCTTATGATCATTTTTGTAATAGAAGGACATGGCCTCTAGAAAGTTTTTGAGGGACTTTCAGCTTCTTTTAGGGTAGATAGTTGTAAATTTTGAATTTTTTTCCCTTGTGGTTCTTTTCAGATTACTGTTTGTACTTTATATGGGGGGTGTTAAATTCTTTTTCTTATTTGCCCCTTGTGGAAATGGTAGGTCTGGGGAAAAGGAAGGAAATAATAGGCTAGATATATGTAAATTATGTGTTGGAAATAGAAGCTTAGGTGACAGACAGTAGTTGATTTGTCTGGCCACAGTCGTTTTGTCATCTGTTATATTCTTATAACTACCTATTTATGGGCTATTTGCTAATGACTATTTAAAAAAATCTGTTTCATCAGCAATGGCCTAAAAATGCAAGTAGGTACTTAATTGAAAACTACTCAGTTTCCCGTTCAATCAAATTATGGTTTAAAGAGTGCCAGTAAACACATGGGGTAGTCATGATACCCATGGGGTAGCCTGTGATCCCATGTAGTCCATGTTGGGATCACAGGCTAAAAGTGATATCCTGAAATCCAGAATACAGATGGCTGAGGGGAAAAAGCAGCTGCTATTTCATAACATAATAATTAGTTACATTAAGAAAACTATGCCTGAAGATGACATTTTCACAGGTTTAGTGTGTGAATTTGGAAAAATTAAGCATATAATTCTGAGATGCCTGGCTTTTTATTTATATTATATTACTATTTTAAAAAATCAATTGTGTACATTTTAATTCTAATTTTTCTGCACTTAAGAAATATGCATCAGTAATTGTTAGTATGTTAGCTCCATTAGCTACAGAAGAAATTCCAAAAGAATTGAATAATGCCATTTAGATGTTTCAAATAGAAAATTACATTAAAAAACAGTTTGAATTTTTAATCAATCATTGCAAACAAAATAAAGCTTTTGAAATTTATTGTGCCAGAAATAAAACATTGAACAATGTGTGATAAATGATTTTTAATGTTCAGTTAAAAAGCTAAACATTGGTGATAACTTTTATTGGTGACAACAAGAAGCAACTTTGGAAAAGCTTGCAAGTAACTTTATTTAAAAATCAATATAACATTAAAAGAAATGCATTTTCTAGAAAAGAACTATGTATAATTATTGTTAAGAAACACATTAATTCATATAAATATGTTCAGAATCGTTATTCTGCCTACTATTTCTAATGTTTAAACAATAAATTTAAAGAAGTTATTTTTCTCTTTTGCTTCAAGATATACTATTGTGGTTTTAAATTTTTCAAGGTATTTCATTTTCAAAAATATTTGGAAGGTAACTGTTTTATAGATCCAACCATACAGTAAAAACAATTTGCCTGTAAGGAAATAATATATTAAATAATAAATGGTTTTGTATATGTTCGTACTCTTTTATCCTAAAAAAGTTTCCATTGGATCAATAAAGGTTTTAGTCACCCTAATTTTACTAAATATGATTAGATAGTCCTGTGGATTGATGGGAAAAATTATCATTCCTTACATTCTTGACTACACTCAGTAATTATTATTTTAATAGTTGACAAGCTAATGAACAAAAGTTGGAACCTAATGTGGTTTTGATTTATATCCCCAGATTACTAATGAGTTCAAGCATCTAGCCATTTTTCGTTGGTCAGTTGACTTTCCTCTTTTCTAAAAAGGATCTAATTATTTACCTGTACTGCTTTCTTCTACTGGGCTAGATTGTATATATTTTTTCCTGTACATTTGTATGAGTTATTTTGATTATTTTGCATAGTGGTAATTTTATTTATATTCTTCCTAGTGATGTTCTGAAGTTTTACAAACACCCAAGATAGTTTTTAGAATTTATCATCTGAAGATTTTCCAAAAGCTAACTCAGAAGTCATTTGAGGCCATAATGCTAACTTCAGATGAAAAAATTATTTTGCCATTTTAGCAAAACATACTTTAAAGACACTAATTAGAAAGCACTGAAGTGCTCACTTCTATCTTTTTAATAAAACTTGCATTTAAATAGTCATTTCAACAAAATCCTTTACCCTTACAGTAAGAACCAATTATTAAATGTTGATTACCTAGCTCCTGGATGATTGTCTAAATATTTCACAATTGTCATTTTGGTAATAATCACTTAGCATACTTGTGAGAATTACTGGTTCTCCAGGTCTCATTCCAGGTGATTGAACCAGGATTTTGAAGTAAAATAGCTATAAGTTTCTGGGTATATGTTTTATTTATGACCCATGTAATTATTTGAGGATGTTTGTGAAACTCTGATCTGACACATAAGAGAAAGTAAAACAACAACAAAAAACCAAAAACAGAACAACAACCATAAAAAAAAATAAGCCCCACACAAAGAATATCAAGCCAGGAGTCAGGAATAAATATGATATCTTTTCATAACGGCAGCCTTCTCAATTCATATGGCCCTATCTTCTTTTTCATTCTTGGTAAATACTACTCCAACTGTCTAGCACTTCACGGTAGCGATTAACCTGTTAGTTTGCAATTTAGCAAAATATATGAAACCTATTTCTGAACATTTTCTTTAGGATCATTTTTCTAGCTATACAACATGGGTCAGTTAATGCTATGTATGGCTATAAAATAGCAGTATTTAACAAAAATATTTGACCACTGTGGCAAAATTATCTTCTGTAATGAACCACTGCTACTAAGATTACATTGACATTTTGGAGACTGTACTGACATTTTGGATATTATATACTCAAGGAAGATTGGAAAGCGTCTTCAGATGTCATTGTCTATAATGATAAGAGTTAATACTCGTATTAACTTTCAAATTTTTCTATGTTAAAGCATGCGTGCAGGTATTGGATGAACAGGTAGGCCACAGAAGCATGGCTGTGGTTAAAGTTGTAAAAGTTTTGGCAAAATTGTGCACACCAACATCTCCACAGAAAATTTAGATTTTGGCTCAGCTAGGAGATGTTGAAGAAAATTATATTTTTTATTCTTAATGATTCCCCAGCTGGTTCTTAAAGGCAGATAGCACAATATTGTGGAAAGAGGTAGTTTTGCAATCTGAAATTAGACTTTAAGAGGAGTTAATGACTTTGAGAGTCAAATTTCAGATGTATGAAGTGGGGTCTGAAATATCTAGTACCTTTGTGTGTAGTTATAAAGATTATATAATAACAATTGATTCTATTTGCCTTGTACTTTTCTGTAAAACAAAGACATAATTTAATTGTGTTACTTAGTATAGATTTGTGTGGGCATTTTTAAGGATAATTTATCTCATCATAAATAAAATGGTAATACTGGCAGAGAATGGTACTTACTCCAACATTGACATTGCAGAGCTCCAGCTGTTCTGTAGAGAAACTGGCGTGAATTGAAGAAAAAAAAACTGGACGATTGAAGGTTACTTACGGGCCACTCTTCATTTACTAAGACTATGTAATTCTCAGAGAGGACACACAACCTGTGAAGAGTTGGATGTAAATGATGAAGAGTCATTGAGAAAAGGCTGCCTGAAGAATCATCCTCTACATTTCTAGCTTGAAATACAGGGTATTTGGTGCTGTGAATTTCTGAAATAGTGGAATACTGTAGGAGGAAACATGTTTTGGGGATGAAAGGAAGGTCTGGTTTTGGTATGTGGAGATGTAAGGCATGAAGTTGGATATGCCAAGTCTGAAGGTAGAACAAAGATCTGGCCTGAAGTTGAGAATTTCTTAATGGTCAGCATAGAAAGGGTGTTTTAGCCTTGAGAAAACCCAAGAGGATCCATGACTGAGATCTGAACAACTTCAACACCTGTAGATTTAGTAAAGATGCCAACAAACTACACACCAAGTTCATATTAAATGTATTAGGAAAAGACAAACAACTTAGTGAGAGGCATTCAGGCAACTAGCATTTAGCTAGCTATTAGGTAGCAAATTTCGGAAAAAATAAAATGTATAAAGAATCTTTGATCAGGTTTCCAAATATACAAAATAAAAACCACTTACATGTTAGAAGACAATATACAAAATGATATTATGTTAATGGTACTATTTAATGCTAATAGACAAAAATGAAAATTATTCTGAATTAAATCAATAGACAATATATTTTCTATCACTGTCTTTTCTTCTCAATTTGTGTGTTGTTTTAATTCACTAAGCAATGACTCCTCTTAATTCCACTACTTTTTATTTAACACTGCATTTTTTTTCATATGTGCAATATTACGCTGCCCAATAGAGAGGAAATGCAGAATTTGGTCTATTATATCAGAAACACCTTAGTTTTTCAGCTTTGGGCTTGTGCAGTGTGGTTAATTTAAAGGTTCTCATCAGGCTTTGATTTTTGTAGTTTCTGTAATCACTTCTCCAAAATAAACAATGTCTGAAACTAATGACTACAATAAAATTAAAATTATGCTGGCTTTTAAGATAATTATGTTTATGTAAATTTGATGCTTTTTTTGGGGGGTGTGGGGTGGGGGAGACAAAGCTTTGGTCTTGTGACCCAGGCTGTAATGCAGTGGCGTGATCTTGGCTCACTGCAACCTCCACCTCTCGGGTTCAACCGATTCTCCTGCCTCAGCCCACCAAATAGCTAAGATTACAGGAACCTGCCACCACGCCCAGCTAATTTTTGAATATTTAGTAGAGATGGGGTTTCACCATGTTGACCAGGCTGGTCTTGAACTTCTGACATCTGGTAATCCACCAGCCTTGGCCCCCCAAAGTGTGGGGATTACAGGCGTGAGCCACCCCACCTGGCCTTCAAATTATGTTTTCATACCCACTCACTTCCACAATTGTTTGGAACTATCTGCATGTTCTCCTCAGGGGTGGGGGGATGGAAACAGTATCAGAGTTCTTCAAAAATTTATGAAAGAGAGAATGACAATACTATACAAGGTTTAACCTATTCACAATACTGTGAGCCCAGTGTGGTTCTCCAGATTCCCTGTGTAGTGGCCTCTCTTGTCTGGTGGGGCAGCGTGGGGCAGGGAAGTGTGAGTGATGATGGCAGAGAGCAGAAAGCATCTCAGGGAAGCCTGGGATCATTGTAACAAAAAATGATGGGCGTGGGACAGCCCATCAGGGAAGACATAGGGACCTTGGGAGGATATCTGCGTGGAGGGTGAGAGGGCCCTGGTTGAGCCCAAACTGAGTCCCAAGTGGTGGCCGGCCTCAGGCCTCAGCTGGTGAGGGATGATGAGACAGCTACCACTTGAGTCTTGCTTCTCACCCATTGACCTTAGACACTTATTCCTCTTAGGCGGCTTAAGGTGCCCCAATCCTAAAATGTGGGTGTTACAGTTCTTTGATGGCCATTTCTCCGCCAGCCCATGGATGGCGTGGGATTGCTCACTGCAGTCACCTCCCTGAGGCTTGGATTCTCCATGTGGGGCACAACTCCAGGAATAAACGGCCTCTCAGTCCCCAGCCCTAGACTGCTCACCTGGCCTCCTCTCTGTTCACTCTCTAATGGCCTCCCTCCCTGGAGAAGTACTGCAGGGGATTGAGCTACAGGCTCTGGCTGATGATCTAGGGGACTGCAGAAGTGGGTACTGGTTAGTTCAGGTCATGGCTCAAAGCCAATTCCCCAGAGGCCAAGGAATGACCAGCAAGATCCTTTCCCATGATGCCCTACCTGGCGCTCACCTCAGCAATCCTGCCAGAACCTGGGCAGTCATGGTCAGCCAACCAGCTGAAGAAGCTCAGGTAGGAGCTGTACTACCTGCAGGTGGAGGCTTCACTTTCATGATCTCACAACCACTAGACTACAGTGGAATGAGACATCCTGTATCCTGCAGAGAGAAGAGTCAGGAAGATTCATGCCAGACCTACCCTCCCACACACCAGCTCCCCTACTATGCAGGGAGGTGCTCCTTACCGAGGATGCCGAAGCAATACTCTTGAATGATCACTTCATTGTGGAAGTAAAGATTGTGATAAAGGGAAAACTTCATCCTGCCTCCGGTACCCGGGATAGTTGCGTTCCTCCCCTTCCCTGGCCAAGAAGGAGAAAGAGGATGTACTCAAAGGACCATTTCACGTAGCTGGGGTGAGGTGAGCTGTTAGCTGGGGTGAAGCATGTGTTTCTCCTTCCCAACTCTCTCATTGAGACACCCCCGCATCCCAGGGGTACCTCAACCTGACCCAGACACCAGACCCCTCCTGAAGACTCAGGCTCCTTAGCCTGACCTGCAAATCCATCACATACGTAACTTAGCAGGACTTCATCATCATTTGTGATCCCGGCCAACATCTGGGTGTGCTGCACAATCTGCCTCTGGTCAAGGAGCCGCCAGATGATTGGGTGGGCGTGCAAGGAAACACCCTGCAAGTTTGCAAGAGCACGGAGAGTGTGGGGCAGGGCACCTTCCCTTCCAGGTCCTCTGTCTCTCTCTGGCGTGTAGGGCACCATCAGAGCTGTGGTGGTCTTGGTGGTGGGTGGAGACAGGCCCAGACAACCTGCTCTGACCAGGGGCTGGCACTGAAGAAGTTGGCAGGGGGTTGCGGGCAGGGTGTTGTTGTGTGAGGCAACTACTTGCTCAGTGTTTCTGAGCTGCAGGAGGCCCTCCTGTGCTGGGTGCTGGACAGGCTCTGCTGCTGTCTGGGTGTGTGGTCTCTCCTTCTCCTGGTCTCCCTGAGGGGTGCATGTGTCCACCCCATGGAACTGCTGTGCGTAGAAGTAGCTACAGGGCTGTGCCTGGCTCTCCCCATGGAGCTCGAGTGGTTTCAAGGGAGGTTATATATGCTCAGGGCCTAAACATCTTTGGGTGCCGCGCTGGCAGAGGGAAGAAATTGTGTCTGGGGAGATAGTGCCTGCCTTGCATAGGACAGCAGCCCCGTGCACAGTGACACCGAGTCTTGAGCACCTTGTGTTTCTGGGGTGAGCTTGCTGGACACAGGCATGGGGAGCAGGGAAGTTCCACTGCTGGCATGGGCATGCAGACTCCCCTTCCTCAAGGGACTTTCCCAGTGAAACGTATCCTTCAACTTTCTGCTGTTACGAAGGGTCCTTGGCGCTGCTATTCTTCCTTGTGAGTGCTGTGCTTGGCTTCCTGTCCCTACCACATGCCCTCAGGGCACATGCAATTAAGCTGCCCTACTATCTGCATGAGTCTGTTCTCGGCTCCCCTTGTTGTCCCCCATGCCCTGAATCCTGGCTGACCCCCAGTGCCTACCACGTTGTTTCCCCCACCTCCATTCTCAGGAGCTCGGCGCCCATCCCCTGCGGCCAACCATCCCGAATTGGCAGCTGCAAGGATATGGCTCTGGCCCAGAAGCCGGGGATGCCCTGCAGCCTGGGACATTCATGTAGCTGCGCTCCAAGTGAAGGACGTCCAGCGAGTCTGTTGCTGGCCGGGGCGTACTGGGGCCAGGGCCAGGCTGTGCCTGCAGGTCCTCCTGCTGTGGCTCCACATTGGCCTCCTCCTTGGCCACCACCTCCATCTCTGCAATGATGTCATCCCCCACTAGCATGCCTCTTCCCCCAGGGTTGCCTTCCTGCTCTGTGCACAGGCCATCCTCTCCTGCACAGCCTCCAGCCTTAACATGGTGCCCTCCTTGGGGCTCCAACAGAGCAAAGCCTGTGCCTCCCACCCCACCTGCCCCCGGCACCCCTAGACTCTGGGGGCAACTCCAGGAGAGACCTGCGGGCCTTGCCCTGCTGAGAACCACATCCTACACCTATGTGGAACAGGGTTCCTGGGGAGCCCCACAGGACCCTTAGCCTGTCACACTCACAATGGGGCTCAGATACCCAGCAGGGTTAGCTGCGCACAGCAGCCCTGGAGTAGGATGCCAAGGCCCTGGCTTCCAGAGCCCCGCTAGCAGGCACCACGGCCACCCCTGCACTTGTGAGGGCCTCTGCACCAGCAAAGCAGTGCACATGGATCACTGCATTGGCGACCATGGCGGTAGGCCTCCCGTGTGCCCAGGGCACAGGATGAGAAGTCCTTTGGAATGCCCCTGTGAGTACAGCATCCTCAGGGAGGAACCATGGAACTCGGAGTATGTATTTGCCTAGACCTGAGAGAATCCTTGCAGGGTTTCAGCTTCTGGTGCAGATGAATTCCACCTCAGCAACGTACCAGTCGACTTTAGTCCCACGCACCCGCCCTGCCCCAATCCCCCCAAGCCACCGCTGCTGCCCTCGCCCCTGCAGCAGCGCTGGTCCCTCTCTCTCCCCTCTGGATCCGCAATATTCAGTACCATCAGCCTAGCCTGACTAATGAAGTGAGATGTTTCATGTGTTCCCTGTGGGTTAATTAATGTCTTGCCACACTCAGGATGCCAGTTAGTGTGTAGGTCTTCCATGCCCACAATTCCAAAGGGCTCACAGTTCGCCTGTGCCTTAATCCACCGCCGCCCGCCACATGGCACAAGCGGGGTCTCAGAAGAGTTACAGCGAGATGATGGAGCTGCAGGCCAGCCGGGGCTGGGTGCCTCAGGACTCACCCACAGCCTTCGCAGTAACTGGCTGACGCCCACCGCCTTCTCAATGATTGGCCGCTGGAGGTAGGCGGGATTTCCGGGCACGGCTTCTGGCGTCCTTCTCTCTCAGGGTAGCTCCAGGTGTCCTTCCCGCAGCTGGCCCTGTGGTGTTCCGAAGCTGGATACATACGGCCTGAGGGCCAGGCGAACCTCAGGCTCTTTGTCCTAATAAAAAGCGCAGGTATTTTCTGTTTCTCTGGACAGCTGGGTCTCTCGGCAAGAATAGAAAGCAAAGGTTTGGGATTTTGTCTATAAAAGGGGATGGGTTTTCTATGTGTGGGTGTTGAATTACGGGAGGAGTCAGTGGGGAAAGAACTCCTTAGTGCTATTAAGAGACTCACTTTCGTTAAACTCATTGATTTTTCCTGAGGATTCTACATTTAACTGCCTAATATGTCCGACTAGTTGTGGGAGATGGTGCTAAGGCGCCACTGTTTTCGTGTGCACTTTTTATTAAAGCGGGTTTTCTCTGTGAATGTGGTCATAATTCAGAATACAGGCAATACACTTAACCACTGCGATTAAAAAGTCACACTTTTAGTTAGCACATGTGGCGTGTCTGATTTGCTTGGATGAAATTTGACATAAATTGTGTTACTTTAGTGTATGTAGAAATATGGGGGCCATAAATAATCTCAGTTTCAGTTTGCCTCTGTAAAGCCTGTAATTGTCTCCTTCGTTGTATGACAGTATTTGAAACATGTTTCATGTATCTTTGGCACCGTAAATAATTTAAACCGAATAATCGGTGGGTGTAATCGAGATAAATGGAGTTAGATAGCCTAAAACGGGAACAACATAGATGAGCTTAAGTTATTCTGTTAACCTGGCACACTGACTTACTCGTGTAATCCTAGCATTTTGGGAAGTGGAGGTCAGAGGATGGCTTGAGGTGAGGAGTTTGAGACCAGCCTGGGTGACATAATGGACTCCTTTATTGGTATTTTCGCATCAGGGACTGGTTTAGTGAAAGACAATTTTTCCTCAGACAAGGGTTGCACAGGGGTAGAAGGCGGCGAGGTGGACAGGTTTGGGAGTGGGGGCTGGCGGCAGGTACCCGAGGGGCACGTGGTAGGGCGGGTCTTCCGGTAGGAGCAATGTGACAGAGGACAGGTGGGGCAGTGGGGCTGCCACGGGGACAGGGAGGGCCAGCGAGGGAGTAGGGAGGATGGTTTCTGGATAGAACTGTACCACCTCAGGTCATCCTCAGGCGTTACATTCTCCACAAACAGGTATTACATGTCATCCTGTGGCATCACATTCAGGCCACAGATAGGTACGGGTTGAAGGCTAGGGTTTTAGAATCTGTGACCTATTGTATATTTCAAATCACTAGAAGATTGTAAAATATTTAAAATATTCTCCCCCTAGAACATTTTAAGTAGCTTGATTTAATCTTTTATCCAAATATCATGCTGAGTGTGGTGATTCACCCTTGAAATCCCATCACTTTGGTAGGCCCAAGCCGGCAGAACACTTGAGCCCAGGATTTGGAGACTACCTTGGGCAATATGGGGAAACCCTTGTTTATTTTTAAAAACACAAAAAATTGCCCAGCTGTGGTAGAAAGCCCCTGTAGTACTAGCAACTTCGGAAGCTGAGATGTGGGAAGATCAGTTGGGCTGGGTGGAGGAGGCTGCAGTGAACAGTGCACTTTGGCAACAGGAGACACACATCTCAAGAAAGAAAATATGCAAAACATCACACTGTACCTCATAAATAGACAGTTTTCAAATAAAATTATTTAAATGAAGGCATTCTTCATATTGCAACTTAGGAAAATTATGATAGCTTTTCTTATCTAATTTTTAGAAATGAGATTCTGTCAGTTCATACTAAAATGCAGCATTTGTGTGTGAAGTTAGTGCCCCTTTGCTCTGAGTGTTACAAATTTTACATATTTAAAGTAAGAAGTAATAAAAAGATGTCAGCCTCAGGAAGGGAATTTTACTTGGATTTTCAGCACAGTTTGTAATAAAATTTTATCTTTTTAGCTTATTTATATCTAAATATAGATAATTTTTTACCATTTACAGCACAATGGTAGAGGCAGATCATCCTGGCAAGCTTTTCATTTGTGGCCTCAATAGAGAGACCAATGAGAAGATGCTTAAAGCAGTGTTTGGGAAATATGGTCCCATATCAGAAGGTAACTCTTAAAACCGTGTGTGTGTGTGTGTGTGTGTGTGTGTGTGTGTTTATGTGTATTTTCACATGTATATTTCAGTATGTATGTTTAAAATATGTATGTTATATATATATATGTTTTGAAAAAATATATTTTTTCAAAGTTCATTGTATACCTACATGAAAATGCCTTATGAGTTTTAAACTCTTATTTTGTAGTATCTGTTTGATATTTGGAAAATTCTCATAGTACTAGGTTAAGGCTCTATGGAAAGGATAACCTACTACTTAGAAAGGAAAATGAGGAAAAGTAAATGTGCTGTGGAGTTCAGAAAGAAACTGGAATAAACTAGACTGACTGTAGGGGTGACTGAGTATTAAGAACCATAATAATGATGTGAAATGCAATTATTTTTTAGTTTGATGTAACTTTTAGATGGTTAGTACCTTGATGAGTCCATTACATGAATGTAAAATGTTTTCATATATTTTAGTTCTTTTGATAAAGGATCGAACCAGCAAATCCAGAGGCTTTGCCTTTATTACTTTTGAGAACCCTGCAGATGCTAAGAATGCTGCCAAAGATATGAATGGAAAGGTAAGAGTCCCTTATTAATAATATTCTAACTGTGTTCTTCAATTAACAATATTTCTAGGTCTTTTTAATATTACTAAACTTTTGAAGATAGTAGAATGACATATGAAGCCATCCTCTTTTTTGTGCCTTATACGTGCAAGTGTAGTTGGAAGGGTATTGGAATTAAC
Organism: Homo sapiens; assembly: GCF_000001405.40. NCBI lineage: Eukaryota > Metazoa > Chordata > Mammalia > Primates > Hominidae > Homo > Homo sapiens. The sequence goes on along the minus strand of NW_025791821.1, from coordinate 189,299 downwards.
ATTATATAAATTAATATTTGGTAACCTTTTTCTATGTTTGTATTTCGATATGAGTGCAAATAGATTTTAAAAGGTTTTGATGAGCTTTAAAACTTATAAGGAACCCTCATGTAAATGAAATTAATAAGTCAATATTTATTAAATGCTATTAATTGAAGTACTTCCAATTCATGGAAATTCTTTTAGAGCGTAGACAAACTGTGGATAGACATCTAGACAGACTCACAAGAAGGAAAGACTCCTTCCTTCTTGAAGAATATATTTTATGAAAATATATTCTTGCAAAAGTATATTTAAATAAGACCTTTACATTTACGGAAAGGGTAAGTAGTTGAAAAGAGAAAATAATATGAGAACATTGAAGTCAGATAGCAGAAGAAGTAACTGGCATTTTTGCTCCATGCTTGCTTTTTCTCCTAAGGACATTTCTTTCCTGTCACCAGAGTGATTTATGTAACATGAATAGCTAATTACTCATTTCCCCAGTGTGTTTGAGGACTTGTTTTGATTCAACCAATGGTCTCTTGTCCTGTTGAGTCTTAAATCTAGAGATTGTGTGTTTACTAAAGCTTTAAACTTTTATGTAATTATATTAATTATTGAATTCCTTTACATTGTAGTCAAGAGCATTCCATTCTGTGCTCTTTAGTGCTTTTTTGCTTTGTAACATTATCCCAATCATGCCGGGCATGGTGGCTCACGGATGTAATCCCAGCACTTTGGGTGGCCAAGGCAGGCAGATCACGAGGTCAGGAGAAAGAAACCATAATGGCCAACATGGTGAAACCCTGTCTCTACTAAAACACACACACAAAAAAATTAGCTGCGTCTGGTTGTGTGTGCCTATAGTTCCAGCTACTCAGTAGGCTGAGGCAGGGGAATCAGTTAAACCCAAGGAGGCAGAGGTGGCAGTGAGCCGAGATCACGCTGATGCACTCCAGCCTGGCAACAGAGCAAGAATCCGTCTCAAAAAAATAAAAAATAAATAAAATAAATAAACAACATTATCCCAATCTGTTTTTAGCTCCTGTTAGTCTTCATGCTATCCCCAAAGTGCTGTTTTAGACTTGTTGAGAATTATCCTTCCCTGTGTATGTCTCATAAATAAAATTTATGCTTCAAAAACCACTTAGATTTCATATTTTCTTTCTCATTGCATATTGTAGGTATTTTGTACTCACTGTACTATGTATTAATCTATTGAATGTGAAATTGTATGTAGTGCATATTTAAGTCTTGCTAGTTGCTTTTCTTTCTGTTACATCTAGCACAGTTCCTGGCACATAGCAGAAAGTACATTTTTATTCACCCTCATAAATTAGTATTTCAAGCTGTGGTAGAAACCGAGAGTTGCTTTTGGTTCATGGCTTTGTGGTAGGTATGGAGATAATTTTGACTTCTGTATAGTAATCTATGATAATTTCTTTGTTCCCTCTAGTTTTCAAGCAAAAGAGCAGCTAATTTGTGTAAAGTTTTTGTTCGTTTGTTTGTTTTTTAAGATGGAGACTCACTGTGTGCCCTAGGCTGGATTGCAGTGGGGCCATCTTGGCTTACTGCAACATCCGCCTCCCGGGTTCAAGCGATTCTCCTGCCTCAGCCTCCCAGTACCAGGGGCTACAGAGGCGCGCCACAACGCCCAGCTAATTTTGTACTTTGAGTAGGGATGGGGTTTCTCCCTGTTGGCCAGGATGAGCTCTATCTCTTCACCTCATGATCCACCTGCCTTGGCCTCCCAAAGTGTTGGGATTACAGGTGTGAGCCACCGTGCCCAGCCAACATTATTTCTAAGTTAGTTCATCTCACATATTTTAGTGTGTTAAAATAAATATGAATATTGTATGCACATTAATGTTAAGATGGCCAATAAAGGAAGTTCTTCGAGTTTTCAGGGGGAATTAACAGTTAAGGAATTTTAGCTGACTTCAGAACACTGGGAAGGAAGCAGCCATGGGCAAATCTGGGGAAAATATTTTGATCCCAGAAATAACAAAAGAAGTGTCAAGGTAGGAACAACTGGCGATGTGGCTGCAAGGGGTCTTGTCAGGGATTTAAGTCCTTCCTCCAAATAACAAAAGCCATGTAATTTGTAAATCACATTATTAGCTGAACTGTTTTCAAAAATTGCTATGGCCTGTAGAGAAGATTACAGTGAAAAATGTTATTATGAAATTAATTAGGATATTTAAGCATTTCTGAGAAACTACCTGAAGTACTATATTAAGATTCGTTTTTTAGGGGCACGTGTAAGGCAATATAAGAAATGAGTAAGGCAAGAAAACTTAATGAGATCAAACAAGGATCACATTTACAGAAACATTTTTAGAGTCAATATAGAATTGTAAATCATATGGGGACATTTTATGTAAGTGTTAGCAAATCCAACAAGAAACAGCTCATAGTGACTAATGTGACTAATCACTCTGAAAAAGTAAGCTCACTTTTTAAAATGACACAAGTTTCGTTGGGACACTGCAACTTTCAAATCAGTGATGTGAATACAAAGATGAAGTGGATTATATATTGTAAAAAACAGATGTTCCACATTCTTCCATAGAATGTGTGATGGGTCAATCTTTTTTTTTATGTTTGAGTTTTTTTTTTTTAATAATGGAGGAGTTTTCAAGGAATTTGAATAATAGAATTTGTGTTTGGTCCCTTAATGGAAGGCATGTGCTCAGTAACTATCTCAAATTTGGCATTGTGAAAGATGTGTTCATTTTAGGAGAAAAAAAAGTTTCCTTTTGGGAGAAAATACCTCGAATTGAACTATGGTTGATGTAAAAATGTTTGTAAAATGCGCTTACGTTAAATGTGCCATTGTTATTGATAGTACCCTTAATACTTCTAGTCTTTGGATGGAAAAGCAATAAAAGTAGAACAAGCCAAGAAACCATCTTTTCAAAGTGGTGGTAGGTGAAGACCACCAGCTTCTTTGAGAAACAGAAGCCCTTCAGGAAGTCTGAGATCTGCAAGAGGAAGCAGTGGAGGAACAGGAGGGTGGCTTCCCTCACATGAAGGACACCTGGGTAATGTTTTAAAATATAAAGATGGAACCATAGGACTGAAAGAAAATAAGTTTGAAGATATCGAAATTTCTCAATTTTTTTATTTCCTGTATGAAGAGAAAATTAGCTTATTGATAATAAGCAAAATTATTTCTAAGTACTAAAGGTGTATTATAAGAATGATTGAATTAATACATAAATTTGTTTTAAAATTACAATAAGTTTGCACTGAAGTAACACACATTTCAAACTGAGTTGTGTTTATGAATGCTGATTACCTGTACTCAACCGGTTTTCTGCAGAACTCATTTATATTCATTATACTTTAGAGTTTTCTGCTTTAGGGCCCAGAACTTCGTGTCAGTTGTATTATCAAAGTATGATGTCATATTTAAAATTTTCCAACAGGAAAAAGTAACTCAATACTTAAGACTGATTTTGCAGTATTTGTTTTCTTGTGTATACATGTGCGAACATCTATGCAAAGGTATTGCTTTGTAATTTTGATACAGAGAGTTTGTACATTGGCCTGCCATAAAGCATTTTCAATTTAAGAAATGTAGAACTTTAATTTCTGAAAAGAGTCTGTGACTGGAAATGTCTAAAAACCACTGCTTCACAGATATGTATGTATCTTTCTTTGCTGGAGGCTGAGTCACTGAAAATGATATTTATGAGTGATTTACTTAATAGAAATGAGGGGTCTATGTTTACATATAAAAGAAAAACAAACCATATATTTAAAAAAAAAGAAAAAAGACTATTGGATGGGCTGTGCGAGGTGGCTCACGCCTGTCACCTCAGCACCTGGGGAGTACAGGGCAGGTGGACCACGAGGTCAGGAGTTCCAGACCAGCCTGGCCAACATGGTGAAACCCTGTCTCTCCTAAAGATACAAAAAAATTTGCCTGGGCGTGGTGGCATGCACCTGTAATACCAGCTACTCAGGAGGCTGAGGCAGGAGAATCACAGGAACCTGGGAGGCACAAGCTGCAGTGAGCCAAGGTTATGCCATGGCACTCCAGCCTGCGTGATAGGGCAACAGTCCATCTGAATAAATAAATAAATAAACCTGTTGGTTAACTTGTATTATCTATTAACCAACCTTCAAAACTCTAACAATTAACTTGGAGTTTTAATAACCAGACATGTAGTTTATTGGAGATTTTTTTCAAGTTGAAATTGCAGTGTTTGCTCCATTTTAAGATGCATAGCTTCGTGGCTATTTTGTCTCCACTGATCTTGAGGGTGAGGTTCAATTATACTCTGCCACGGACGAGAATGTATATATAAATTCTAACCCGTAACACCACCTGGCAGTTGGCATATATCTACATTTTTGTAGATGTATAAAAATATTTTTATATTACCGAATATGCAGTTCCTAAAGACTGTTAAAATTCAGCATAGTCTAATCTGAAAGTCAGTGTCTCATAAGGGAATTTTAAGAATTCTATATTGTGTTAACAAATTTTAGAGACAATGTATTTTCCTGATATGTCACTTCTTGGTATTGGAAATATTTGAGTTTCTTTGAATGGAAATTAGTTTATGATGTGCTTTGAAAATTTTTCCTCATTACAGAATGATATAAGCAGTCATTTATCACTTTTCTTTTAATATTTTTATGCATATTATATTTAGATATTTCAGTGATAGATTTGTGCCCCCGTTCACTCCCCATTTTCCCACATCTCTCTCTCATACCAATATATTATGATACTTGAGTTTCTTTCTAGATTTTCTAAATGAACTTTTATTGCTTGAAGTGTACTAATACCATGTAGGAATGCTAATTTTATTAGTTTAGACAAAATGTGAATTAGTTATAAAATGTAGAAAATATTTGTAAACAACTAAAACTTAGCCATTTAAGAAACAGTGATGTTAGTTAACTAAAAGGATTTTGTTTGAAATACAGATGATGGTGGATACACTCCTGATCTCAAGATGAGTTATTCTAGGGGACTCATTCCAGTTAAAAGACGTCCATCTTCAAGAAGTGGAGGTCCTCCTCCTAAAAAATCTGCTCCTTCTGCTGTGGCAAGAAGCAATAGTTGGATGGGAAGCCAAGGTAAATGCTACCTGACAGAAAGACCGTAGTTTTTGTATGACTAAAAATGAGCTATTTTCCCTGAATGGTTAGCTTTAAGTTCATTGAACAAAAGAGAAGTGACACATACGTGAGCATAATTACTGATTGATAGTTTTTATTATAGTTTCTATCTCACTAGGTACATTTCAGATTTATATTGAAGAAATACTTGAGCTTCTCATTGCAGATCAAAGAAGTGATTAGAGTGAGGCCAACATTCCTTTTAATCCTGTGTTTGCTAGAAAATTCCCCTTAATTTTTCTAAAAGTTCCTAGCAGTATTCTTTGATGGTAGGCTTCTTGATCTAATTAATTCTTCCATTTCCTAGGTCCCCTGGTGTCCCATTCTAAAAATTGCTTGTTCAGTGACTTTGCTGGGTTGGAGTCTTGCTCTTACTAGGTGAGAGTGCACTATGTGAGATGACGGCTTACTATAGCCTCAAATTTGTGAGATGACGGCTTACTATAGCCTCAAATTTGTGAGATGACGGCTTACTATAGCCTCAAATTCCTGGGCTCAAGCAATTCTGCTGTTTCAGCCTCCCGAGTTTCTGCAACTACAGGCATGCAGCACCACACCTAGGTACATTTTTTTCCTATGTTTTTGTAGAGAGAGGATCTGACTGCATTGTCAAAACTGATGTTAAAGCCCGGGGCTCAAGCGGTCCACCTGCCTCAGCCTTCCACACTCACTCACAGTGTGAGCCGCTAAGCCTGGCCATCCAACTTCTGAGTCCTCAGTAATGCGTATGTGCAAGGCATACTCACTGCTTGCATGAAGATTCAAAAGAACTACAAGAGCATTTAGCAGACAAGGAGTCATTGGGCTTAAATATGATTTAAAAATAAATTTAAGCCTTGAAAGGTAGACACGTAGGAGTCCAAAATGCTTAAATTAAGTGGGTATCACAGAAATGCAGAGTTGTGAAATATAGGTGTATGTAAATCAGTAATTGAGATTGTACCGGGATGTTTAAACATTAACACAAGATCCTTAGTGTAAGATTTGAAATTATTTGAGGAGAGAATTTAGAACTAAGCAACATGAGGTGAGCAGTAGGATTGAATGCAAGTAATACTCTTGAGAAAGAATTGTAAGACTGCAGACTGAACAGAAGAAAATAAGACAATAAATAAAAGTTCTTAGGAAGGAAGTTTAAGCAGAGCAAATTAAAATTCTTTCTTAGTCCTCCATCCGAATATGGAGGAAGTTAAAAACTGCTGTTTTCAATTTTACATTTCATACGTAGAGTATCGGTGAAGAGAGGTATTTATTGGCTTCAGGATACCCAAGCCAACACATTTCCATTGGAAAATTAGCCAGTGAACGTATCATATGTGAAACACTGACCTCTAAGGAATAGCAAGTGAAGAATATATTGAAGGAGAAACTTTCTATTTTGAAATAGCAACAATGTTGTAATGACCCCTTGCATAGCATTGCTTTCTTTGCAGTAAAAGCAAATCTTGACCATCATTAGAAAATCTTCACTAATACATTTTAATTTGTCAACATTTAAGATAGAGCCAACCAGTTAGAGATAAAGAACTTTTATGTAAACATTTAGCATATAGTCATTTAAAGGTAGCTGTATTTATATGTGTGTGAGATGGACTGAATGATATTGGAAAATTCACCATCTTTGGCTGAGAAAGGACAATGTATGTAAACTTTAAAATCAGTGAAGAGTTTGATGGTTTTACATGTTTTCCCTGTGTCACTCACAGTCATCAGTAATTTATATGAAAAAGAAAATAATAACTAAGTAGATATTAACCATTACAAATGAACTTTTACCTAAGAATTAATGTTTGCCTTCAGCTTCATTAGAAGAACTGGCCTTGTGGGAGCCATGGGATTCTCCAAAGCCATAAGAAGTATTCACAGTGTCATGAGTGTCTAGTAATTTAGGAAACAAAGAATGGAGTCATAGAAAAAATAATTTTAAAAAGTAGTTTGAGAGAAGAGAAAATAGCGTTTCAGATTTGGTGTTCTCTACATAATGTTCCATCATTTTAATGTTAAAGGTCCTATGTCACAAAGAAGAGAGAGATATGGAGTTCCTCCATGCAGAGTGACAATCTCTTCCTGGAGAAATGATCATATATCACCAAGAGATGATGGTTATGCAACAAAGGATGGGTAAAGGAAAAATTAAAAAACACAGTTGATTTTTTTTTTGTTGTGGTGATGAAATTCACATAACAAAATTAAATATTATAAGGTGAACAGTTAAGTGGTGTTTAATACATTCTGTGCCATACAACAACTACCTCCATCGAGTTCCAAAACGTTTTCACCACTCCAAATTAAAACTCCAACTACCAGTTAAGCAGTCCCTTCCATTTTCTCCCTTTCCTCAGCTGCTAGCAAACACCAGTCAGTGTTCTGCCTCTGAACTTACCTGTTGTGGGTATTTAATGTTAATGTGCTCAAACACTACATGACTTTTTGTATTTGTCTCCTCTCCTTTTGCATGATGTCCTGAAGGTTCATTTACATCATAGCACTTCACTCCCTCCAGAAGCTATTAACCCATTATTTTATCTGGGTTGTTTCCACCCGAGTATTTCTACGCACCAATATTTGTTTGAGTATGCTTATTCGGTTCTGGGTGTATATGAGTGGAATTGCATGGTCCTATGATAATTATGTTTGTTTTCTTGAGGAACCACCACATTTCTCCATAGTAGCTGCATCATTTTCCGTTCCAACTAGCATTGTATCAGCATTCCAGTTTATCTACATCCTCTAGAACACTTGTTATTTCCTGCTTTTTGAAATTTATTGCCATTCAACTGTGTGTGTGAAATATGATATCTCATTTTGGATTTGAAATGCATTTTCTGCACCCATTAACTCATCATGCACATGTATCCTGGAACTTAAAGTATAATAAAACAAAAAGAAATGCATTTTTTGAATCACTGAATATGAGTATCTGTCCCATGTGCTTTTTGGGTATTTGCCGATTTTATTTGGAGAAATATCTGTTTAGATGTTTGGCCTTTTAATTTTGTTTAAGTTGTAAGTTAGTCATATATTGGATACTAGAAGTTGAAAATTTAAAATTTGTTGCTTAAACTTATGCATACAGAAATGATCGAAGTTCCCGAGAAACTAGGGATTATGCTCCACCATCTAGAGGCTACGCATACCGTGATTATGGTCATTCTCGTCGGCATGAACATTATTCTAGAGGATATAGGTACTGTAACTGTTTCTGGATTTGTCAAATAGATTTCTTAAATTGTTCATTCCAACTAACGTATCAGGGCTCCAATTTATCTACATCCTCTCAAACACTTGTTATTTCCTGCTTTTGAAAATTTATTGCCTTTCCAGTGTGTGTGAAATATGATATCTCATTTTGGATTTGAAATGCATTTTCTGTACCCATTAACTCATCATGCATGTGTACCCTAGAACTTAAAGTATAATAAAAAAAAGAAATGGATTTTCTGAATCATTGAATATGAGTATCTGTCCCATGTGCTTTTTGGCCATTTGCCTATTTTATTTGGAGAAATAGCTATTTAGATGTTTGGCCTTTTAATTTTAAGTTGTAAGTTAGTCATATATTGGATAGTAGAAGGTGAAAATTTAAAATTTGTTGCCTAAACTTATGCACACAAAAATCATCCAAGTTCCCGAGAAACTAGGGATTATGCTCCACCATCTAGAGGCTATGCATACCGTGATTATGGTCATTCTAGTCAGGATGAACATTCCTCTAGAGTATATAGATACTGTAACTTTTTCTGGATTTGTCAAATAGATTTCTTAAATTGTTCATTCCAACTAACATTGTATCAGGGCTCCAGTTTATCTACATCCTCTCAAACACTTGTTATTTCCTCCCTTTTAAAATTTATTGCCATTCCAGTGTGTGTGTGAAATATGATATCTCAGTTTGGATTTGAAATGCATTTTCTGCACCCATTAACTCATCATGCACATGTGCCCTAGAACTTCAAGTATAATAGAAAAAAGAAATGCATTTTCTGAATCACTGAATTTGAGTATCTGTCCCATGTGCTTTTTGGCCATTTGCCTATTTTATTTGGAGAAATATCTATTTAGATGTTTGGACTTTTCATTTTGTTTAAGTTGTAAGTTAGTCGTATATTGGTTACTAGAAGTTGAAAATTTAAAATTTGTTGCTTAAACTTATGTACACAGAAATCATCCAAGTTCCCGAGAAACTAGGGATTATGCTCCATTATCTGGAGACTATGCATACTGTGATTATGGTCATTCTAGTCCGCATGAACATTCCACTAGAGGATATAGGTACTGTAACTTTTTCTGGATTTGTCAAACAGATTGCTTAAGTTGTTCATGCCAACTAACATTGTATCAGGGCTCCAATTTATCTGCATCCTCTCAAACACTTGTTATTTCCTGCTTCTTAAAATTTATTGCCCTTCCAGTGTGTGTGTGAAATATGATATCTCATTTTGGATTTGAAATGCATTTTATGTACCCATTAACTCATCATGCACATGTACCCTAGAACTTCAAGTATAATAAAAAAAATTTATTGCCCTTCCAATGTGTGTGTGTGAAGTATGGAAGCTCCTGTTGGATTTGAAATGCATTTTCTGAATCATTCATTATGAGTATCTGTTTCATGTGCTTTTTGGGCATTTGGGCATTTTGGGCATTTGGACTCTTTGGGCATTTTTTTAGATGTTTGGCAATTTAATTGTGTTTAAGTTGTAATTTAGTTATGTTTTGGATACTGGAAGTTGAAAATTTAAAATTTGTTGCTTAAACTTGTGCACACAGAAATCATCAAAGTTCCCGAGAAACCAGGGATTATGCTCCACCACCTAGAGACTATGCATACCGTGATTATGGTCATCCTAGTTGGGATGAACATTCCTCTAGAGGATATAGGTACTATCATGTTATCTGGATTTACCAAATAGATTTCTTAAATTGTTCATTCTAACATTAAAAATGTTTTTTTTTTTCAATTTAGTTACCATGATGGCTACGGTGAGGCCCGTGGTAGAGATCATTCTGAACATCTAAGTGGAAGTTCTTATAGAGATGCATTTCAGAGATACGGTAAGGGTCCAGGATGGATTTGTAAATTACAGAATTTTATGTAATAGACCAGATTGTTATTTTAAGGAAATTCTAAGGAAAATTATAAAGGACATATGCAACATGTTTAAATATTGAGTATTCTTAACAGTATAAAGATAGGGAATGTTATGAAGGCGAGAACTTCAGTTCACGTTAAGAAAATGTGACTCCACATTTACTTTAGAATTAAGTTTGTTAAGCTTCAGAATACTACTCTTATACTTCTTTTAAATGAAACCTTCTGACTGTTGAAGACTTGATTAATGTCCTGTCAACAAAGGCAGAAGAAAGCAGATATTTCCAAATAGTACTTTAACTAATTCATGCTTTAATGATAGCAGTAAAAATGTTCAAAGGTAGTCCAACATATTATTTTGTCAACCATGCAGGGACCTCTCATGGTGCACCACCTGCACGAGGGCCTCAGATGTCTTATGGCGGAAGCACATGCCATGATTATAATAATACTCGAGATAGATATGGCAGAAGTTGGGAGAGTTACTCCAGGAGCTGTGGTGATTTTCATTATTGTGATCATGAGTAGGTTTGCAGAAAAGACCAAAGGAATCTGCCTTCTCTGGGTAGGGTGCTCCCTGCTCCTCGTGAAGCATATGGTAGCTCAAGTTATGTGGCATCTACAGTAGATGGTGGTGAAAGTTGATCTGAAAAAGGAGACTGAAGCAGATATTAAAGCATGGGTTCAAAATAATAGTTATTGCATACCAAACCTTGTTTGCAAATCAAAAATTGAAATGTTATTTCTGCTGCATTACCTGCATATTACTAAAAGAAACATATTGGTTTTGTGGAGAGAGGTAGATACTAACTTCCTCCATGAATTTTCTGAGGTATTCAAAGGAAAAGGAATTGTTTTCAAAGTAATTTCATACTTGTTGATGCTATTTGAAAAGTGTTTAGATGTAATATCTACCTTAAAATTTTCACAATAAGATTTTACATGTATTTCAAAATGCCTGGTGTTATTGGTTAGCCGCACATGCTTAAAGCAAATTCAATAGGAGAGAAAATTGTGTAGTTTGTTGTACATTTTCCTTTGTTTCTTTGAACATAGATACAAAATTAGGCATACGTTATGCCTCCCTTGCAAACTGTTCAAGTTTTCTAATATGAATGGAAACACTTTAAACCTCATACTTTGGGGAAAGTGAAGTGTGTAAAATATAAACAACAGCATAAAGTTTCAGACGGGATTGCTGAAAGTTTTAAGAAATCATGGAATGATAAAAATATTTGGACCTAAATAACTAAATCAATTATTTTTCCTGATTTTGCAAACTAAAGAAATGAAATACATCAAGTTCCAGAAGTTTTACAGTCCTTAGTTATTAACAATTGACAGACTAATCTGCAAGGAGGAAGTATTTTCTTGAAAAATTTTGACAAGATCATCAATTTTTATAGGGTAAGGGTACGAATAATTTTAAAGGGAGAAGTTGCCAACTTTGATATTCAAGTGAGGTATTCATGTTATGAAGTTGTGTTTTCATTCACCTGTAGCATTGTAAGGATGAAGTGAAAAGATAAATCTCCCTAGTCTTGTGTATCTTACTGTCCAGGTGTGGTGGCTCAGGTCTTTAATTCTAACACTTGGGGAGGCCGTGGCTTGCAGATCACTTTAGGACAGGAGTTGAAGACCAGGCTGGCCAACACCATGAAACCCCATCTCTACCAAAAATACAAAAATTAGCCAGGCATGGTGGTGCCTGCCTGTAGTATGTTACAGTTAATTGGGAGGCTCAGGCAGGAGAATCATTTGAACTTGGGAGCCTGATGCTGCAGTGAGCCGATATTGCACCATGCACCCTAGCCTGGGTGACAGAGTGTGACTCCAAACCAAAAATAATTATATAAATCAACAAATATATACATAATAAATAGGGTATCCTTCAGTTCAAGCACTTATCAATTCTTTTTTCTTTTTTAGAGACAAGGTCTCACTCTGTTGTCCAGCCTAGACTGCAGTGGCACCATCGTAGCTCACTGCAGCCTTGGACACGGGGTTCAAATGTGCCAGACTTCCATTTCAGCCTCCCAAGTAGCTGGAATTACAGACACACACCAACCACCATGCCCAGCTTTTGTGTGTGTGTGGTAGGGACAATGCTTTGGATATATTGTTCAGGCTGGTCTCAAACTCCCAGGCTGAAATGATCCTCCTTCCCTGGCTTCCCAAAGTGTTGTGATTATAGCTGTGAGCCACTGAGTCTGGCATATCTTTTCTTGGTATGAGCAACATTCCACCTCACTGAGTCTGGTATATCTTTTCTTGGTACGAGCGACATTCCACCTTCGCTCTATTAATTATTTTGAGATGTACAATAAATCATTATTAAGTGTAGTCATCCTGTGCCACTGAACACTAGATATTATTCCTTCTAAGCAAGTATAATTTAACCCACCCCCATCCCCTCTTTGATCCCTCGCTTACCAGTTCACATTACTTGTATCAAAATATCACATGTATGCCAAAAGTATCTACAACTGTTACATACAAATTTTCATTCCCTCCCTCCCTCCCTTCCTTTCTTCATTCCTGTGTTTCTTTCTTTTTTTCTTTATATCTTTTTATCTCATTTAATTTTTTTAAGACAGAATCCTGCTCTGTCACCTAGGCTGGAGTGCAGTGGCGTGATCTCAGCTCACTGCTCCCTCCCTGTCCTGGGTTCAAGCAGTTGTCCAGTCACACCCTTCTAAGCAGCTGCAACTGCAATCATATGACACCAATCCTGTATGTATGTATGTGTATATATATCTATATGTTTTTTGTATTTTCGGTAGAGACCAGGTTTCACAATGTTTGCTCAGGCTGGTCTTGAACTCCTGTCATCTAGTGATCCACCCACCTCATCCTCTGAAAATGCTGGGATCCAGGCATGAGCCACAATGCCCACCCAGTTTTATGCATTTCTCTTTTCAGTGATCTCTCCTATTTTATTATTTTATTCTCTTTTTCTTTCTGAGACAGAGTCTCGCTCTGCTGCCCAGGCTAGAGCACAGTGGTGTGATCTCACTTTACTGGAAACTCCATCACCAGGTTCAATGGATTCTCCTGCATCAGCCTTCCAAGTAGCTGGGATAACATCCATGAGCCACCAAGCTTGGCTAGCTTTGGTATGATACTAGACATGGCATCTTGCCATGTCTAATTTCGTATCTGTTTTAAAGCTCAGTTTATAAACAATACTGACTTCCTGGAATGTTTTTTGTTTACAAAACAACTATAGTACTATTATTTAGCATCCTCAGATAAAATATCGTAACACACAAAACACACACACAGACAAAGACACAGTCAGTGATCAAAAAATCAGCATAGGCCATGACCTAAAATGAAAGGTGAACTGCTGCAGTTACCTAGAATTAAACCAGACTAGAGTTGACCCTTACCCTGCCGAGAGATGTGAACAGAGGCTTTCAAACATCTCTATCAGGTGTATGTTAGATTATTCTTCAGCCATAGCAAAGGGGCATTAAAGATCTGTTGTGCTTAGAAGAATCTTGATGATTTGACTTTTCCAGGTTATTATTATTCATGATGTTAGCCTTTACAGCTCTCTGCAATTAAATGAGTAGACAACTCAGTTTTTCTAGGAGTCTAAAGTGCTTTTCAGAATTGTCTAAAACTTAGTGGCTTAAACAATAATTATAATTTACTAACTGTCAGTCTCTGCAATCGCCCTCAGTCTCTCAGCCAAATGAATATGGTTCAGGGGCACTCAGGAGGTTGCAATCTAGTGATGGCCAAGGATGGGGACGTTGGCGGGTGTCTTCCCATCTCCCTGGTGCCATGGCTAGCGTGACTCAAATAGCAGGGGCTGGACTGCTGAGATCCTCAGACATCTTTTTCTATTTCTTTGAGTCTCTCCATTGGATGTCCCTTCTGTGTAGTGTTATCAGGGTGTTAGACTTCGTGGTGTACTGGTCGGGGGCTCCTAAGGGGGATGAGAGCAGGAGACTTGGGCAGAGCTGTGTCACCTTTTCTAAACTAGGCCAGAGGTGGTCCAGTATCCCGAAAATGCTTGCACTGTTTTCTATTCATTACAAGCAAGTACTGTGTTCAGTCCCATCAGGAATATTTTCAAATGGGTTTGAGAAGAATTTCAAAGTGTGTTTTAAACCACTACAGTGGTCATGCCTAATAATTACCTATTTTTACAAGTGCTCTGTGGGTTTTTCCCAAAATCATAGCAGATACAGACTTTTAAACTTGAAACCTATGTATCATAGCTCTGAACATTTCGCTATATGTTAAAATAACTCTTGAGCAAAAATTGAATTTGAAATGACAGTTATAAATAAAATACACGAGATAAAGTCATAAATATATTGATGAAATGCTTATAAAGAGATCAGCCTTAAAATTATCACTAGGTCTAATGTGCCACTATTTTACTATTTCTATGGATATTACTTGGATAAGAGGACAAGGACTCAGGGGTCTGCTGGTCAGTCTCTGCACCTTGAAACAGCAATTGGGGCACCAGGAGTAGCATTTCCAGCTAACACCATGTGGTGAGGACAAGGAATCCATTCAGGTAAAGGAGGGTGTGAGCATATTGTGATCTGGAAGAGAGGTACACCTGGTATGGCAACCAGGATCAAGTTCCCCAGCACACAATGAAATCCCCAATGAAATCCCCCATGCCCAGCTGTGGCAGAGTGAATCCCTCAGCTGGTGCTGGGCTTCCAGGTGTGTGTTCTGAAAGCAGCTGCCTGGGCTGAGAAGGATCTCCTCATTCCCTTGCCATGTGGGAGGGTGAGGCTTGTGGCCCCCGCTCTGTCTGTTCCCACTCTTTCCCTCCCCATTATCCCACTGCTGGGTAAGGTGGCAGGACCCTGGAATGTAGAAGGGCCCTGGATTGTTGACAGTGCCTGTGGGTGGCCATGTACTAGGAGGAGAGTCCCCACTGAGCCTCCCACGAGCTTGGAGGCGGGGAAGGAACAGTCCTGGGGCACTGGCTGTTTCAGAGTCCAGGGGTCTGTCCCAGAGAAGGCCAGGGGGAGGTTGTAAGCCTGTGGATCTGCAATCTAGGTGGAAGACCTGTATCTGCCATGGCTGACATCATCAGGGCATGACACTCACTGGGTGGAGAGCAGGGCTTATGCATTTTACCCCTGTCCTGAAGAGACCCTGCATGCCTGGTTCTCCTGGGAACAGTGATCCTAGGGACCCCCCAGTCTGGGTCCACTCATGACCATAAGCTTAGGATCTTGTGTGCCTTGCTTCCTGTCTGCCCAGGTGAGGCATCCTGGAGAGGGTGCATGGGGCAAAGCTCGTGTGCGCACACCCAGCACTGGGACGGGGTGTCACCGGCCAGTTAGGCTCTCCTGGCCCTCTCCTGAGCTCCCACCTGGCTAAGTGGTAGGTGTCCCATCTACCTGAACCCACAGCCCAGGTTTCTCTTCCACCTACCGACCCATGCCCTCTTGGGGAGAATGCCAGCCTCCCTGGAGACTCAGGCCCTGCCGGACCCACATGCTGTCCTCTCTCATGGGCCAGAGACTCTGGTGCACAGGGATTCCCGAATAGCGAATCCCAAAGCCCTGCAGGTTTCACTGATTCTTACCTGAATGCCCCGGCCGAACACACAGGTAAACACAGGCAGCTACTAGGTTTTATATCCCTCTGGGTGTCATTTCAGGTTTATGACATCTCGTCTAGGTAGCTCGTGCCAGCCACCCTTTTCCTCCTCCCTCTGCCATTTGTGAGAACCATGAGGACTCTTTGCTTCTCCCTAGCATGCAGACTTCACGGGTCCTGAAGTTGGATTGCCAAACCCAGTGGCACCCTGCTTGCCAGCTTAAGAGCTGAGTTTGAGGCACACCTGTGGGCAGGAGTGTCAGCCCTCCCAAAACCAAGGTACACAAAGGGACACAGGCACAGGTGTGCACATGCGTGCATCAGCGTAGACACACAGGCTGGACACGCAAACTGGAACGTGCCCATACCCACACTGGTACGAGGGAAACTGGGTGTCTACACCAATACTCAGGTGAGGCTTACTGCTCAGCCACGTACCCTCCCTGGACACACACAGAAGATCCCCTGCCATTTAATTGATCATCTGCAGTAGGATTTATTTTTACTTTTATGCTTTTTTAACTTACCAAAGTATGTTGCATTCTTTTCCCCATCATGAAAAAGACTTTGATACAAGTAAAGAGGAAAAGCACTTTTTATAATGAAATCTTTTATCTGCATCTATATTATTAAGGCATTTTAAAAACTTTATGTCTATTTTTTAATGTCATAGGAAATATCTTGAGAGCCGGGGAAGCATGAGTGAGGATGGCAGAGGGGATAAAGCATGTCAGGGGAGCCTGGGGTCATTGAAACAAAACATGACACGGCTGGTATAGCCATTCTAGAAGTACGTAGACCTAGGCATGCCCTGCGTGCACTCTAGTTGAGCCCATACTGAGCCCCAGGTAGTAGCAGGCCTCAAGGCATAGAAGGGAGCCAGAGAAGGATGATGAGACAGCTATCCCTTGAGCGTTGCTTCTCACCCATTGACCTTTGCCACTTCTGCCTCTTAGGCACTTCAGGTTCCCCAATTCTGAAATATGAGTGTTACAGTTCCCTGATGGGCTTTTCTGCCCCAGTCCAGGGATGGCTGGGATTTCTCACTGCAGGCTCCTCCCTGAGCCTTGAGTTCTCCATGTGTGTCACAGCTGCAGGACCCACAGGCCTCTGAGCCCCCAGCTGTGGGCTGCTTACCTGGCCTCCTCTCTGTTCCCTCTCTGAGGACCTAATCCTTAGGTAGTGCTGCAGGGGATTGAGTCAGAAGCCCTGACTGATGATCTGGAGGAGTGGGGAAGTGGTCTGTGAAAGGTCAGGTCATAGTTCAAAGCCAGTTCCCAAGATGCCAAGGAAAGACCAGCAAGGTCCTTTCCCATGACACCCCACAGCGGCCCCTGCCTCAGCAGTCCTGGCTGACCCTGAGTGGTCACAGTCAGCCATCTAGCTGAGGAAGCTCAGGTAGGCTGTGTCCTTACTGAAGGTGGGGCTTCTTCTGATGACTCTAGAACCACTGGACTACACTAGAGCCAGAAGCCCTGCATCCTGGAACGAGTCAGAAAGGCTCATGCCAGGCCTAGCGTCCCACACTCCACCCTCTCTACCACACCAGGAGGCACTCCTTACCAAGGATGCGAACACGATATTCCTTAATGATCACTTTATTGTGGAAATAAAGGTAGTGATGAAAGGAACACTTCATCCTGCTGCCGGTACCCCGGATGACTGAGTTCCTCCACCTGCCATGCCAAGAAGAAGAGGACAGACTCAAAGGATCCATTTCATCTATCTGGGCTGAGGGCCTGCTGGCTGGGGTGAAGCATGTGTTGCCCCTTCCCAGCTCTACCACTCAGACACCCCTGTGCCCCAGGAGGACCTCAACCTGAACAGGACCCTGGACCCGTCCTGCAGACCCTGGCTCCTCAGCCTGAGCTTCAAATCCATCCTGTAGCTTACTTAGCAGGACTTCCTCATGGTTTCTGAACTCTGCCGACATGTAGGTGTGCTGCACAATCTGCCTCTGGTCAAGGAACCTCCAGATGATTGGGTGGGCATGCCAGGAAACACCCCACAACTTTGCAAGAGCTGGGAGAGTGTTTGGCAGGGCTATCCCAAAACCTTTGACCTGGTACCCTGCATTCGTGGTCCTGTCTCTGTCCAGTGTTGGGGGCATGGTAGTGGTTGTGGTGGTCTTGTGGGAGGGTGGAGGGAGGCCCAGAAAGCCCCTGCCAACAAGGAGCGGGCGGCACAAGTAGGCAGGGGATTGGGTGTGGGGTGCCGTTGTGTGAGGCGGCTGTATCTTCAGAGTTGCTGAGCTGCACATGGTCATTGTGTGCTGGATACTGGACTGGCTCTGCTGAGGGTGTCCAGGTGTGCAGTCCCCTCTTCTGGTCTCCCTGAGAGGTGGGCATGTCCACTTGATGGAGCTGCTGTGGATAGAAGGGACTGCAGGGCTGTGCCTGTCACTCCCCATGGGGCTCCCATGTGTGTAATGGAGGTGTATGTGCAACGGAGGTTGTATATGCCCAGGGCCTACAGCTCTTTGGGTGCAGTGCAGGCAGAAGGAAGAAAGCCTATCTGGGGAGCTGGTGCCTGCCTTGCAGATGACAGCAGCCCCGTGCACCGTGAACCTGAGTCTGAAGCACCTTGTGTTTCTGGGGTAAGGCTGCTGGCCACAGACATGGGCAGCCAGGGTGGTTTCTATGGCTGGCATGGGCATGCAGACTCCCCTTCCTCCAAGGACTTTCTCATGGAAACATGCCCTTCAAGTTTCTGCTGTGCGTGAAGGGTCCATGGGGCCGCTATTCTCCCTTGTGAGTGCTGAGCTTGGCTCCCAGTCCCTACCACGTGCTCTCAGGGCACCCCCAAGCAAGCTGCCCTCCTATCTGCAGGACCCTGGCCTCAGATCCCCTCACTATCCCCCATCCCCTTCCTCCTGGTTGGCCCCGTGTGCCCCTTGCTTGGCTCCCCTGCTCCCCACCCCAGGAAGCCAGATGCCCACCCCCTGCTGCCAGTCATTCCGAATGGGCAGCTGCAAAGATGTGGCTGTGGCCCAGAAGCTGGAGATGCCCTGGCTGATGGCCCCTGTGCCATCCAGGCGGGGGAGGCACCTCTGCCAAAGGTTCCCTCTCAGCTGTGGGCAGGCCATGTGGCCTGGTTATTCATGGAACTCTGCTTCAAGTGAAGGACCTCCAGCGAATCTGTGGCTGGCCAGGGTGTGCTGGGGCCAGGACCAGGCAGTGTCTGCTGGTCCTCCACCAGGCTCCATGTTGGCCTTCTTCTCAACCACCACCATGACGTTGTCCACCACCAGCACCTTCTCCTCCCCCAAGGGCGCCTTCGAGCTCTGTACCCTGGCTGCCCTCTCCTGCAGAACCTCCAATTTGAATGGGGTGCCTCCTTTGGAGGTCCCACTGACCATGACCTGCACTGTCCACTCCATGTCCAGATAAGCATATCCTTAAAATATACTTTAAAAAAATCTTAAAAGCATTCCCATTTCTCCACATCCTCTCCAACATCTGTTGTTTCCTGATTTTAATGATTGCCATTCTAACTGACATGAGATGGTATCTCTTTGTGGTTCCAAGGTCATGGATGAAGCTGAAAACCATCATACTAAGCACACTATCACAAGGACAGAAAACCAAACACTGCCTGTTCTCACTCATAAGTAGGAGTTGAACAATGAGAACACATGGACACAGGGCGGGGAACACCACACACGGGGCAGTCAGTGGGTTGCGGGGCTGGGGAGGGATAGCGTTAGGAGAAATACCTAATGTAAATAATGAGTTGATGTGTGCAGTAAACCAACATGGCACATGTATCCCTATGTAACAAACCTGTATGTTGTGAACATATACCCTAGAACTTAAAGTATAATAAAAAAAGGAAAAAATGGACACAGGAAGGGGAATATCACACTCCGGGGACTGTTGTGGGGTGGGGGGAGGGGGGAGGGATGGCATTGGGAGATACACCTAATGCTAGATGATGAGTTAGTGGGTGCAGTGCACCAGCATGGCACATGTGTACATATGTAACTAACCTGCACAATGTGCACATGTACCCTAAAACTTAATTTATAATAAAAAAAGAAAAAAAAGATAAAAGAAAAAAAAACTGAAAAGGAAAAATAGCTCTCCAAACCCAAATATTAAATAGAAGATTAGTATCAAGTGGCCTAGAATCTAACTCGCATGAAAATGTCACAAACATTCAGCGGATAGTTTCTAAATGCCACAATAAGCCTGGCAGTCTGCAAGAAGCTCAGAAAAACATGGTCCTTGCTCTTCTGAGAGTGCAGTTGTTACAGGCACAGAGATAAATGAGGAATAATAAGTGTGATAACTGCTGTAATAGGCAAATACAGGAAATACAAACCACATTTTCCTCATTTATGAAACACAAGCTTAAAAACCCTTTTGAAGTTCAAGTGAGAATATTTGCTGTTACTGTATAAACTGTCAAGTAGCTACACAAATGTTTTTTTTTTCTCACAGTGATTTATATTGTGTATATTACATGGTTAGTGTAGCATTCTCATAAAGGAAAGCCTGAAATGTGTCTGCTGCTCAGTTTTTGTTTCTCAACTTTTTCAGTCATTGTTATTTATCATATTTTTCCTAGGGGATTTTGAACTTTAAATAGAATATGTAAAAACTGAAAAGAGAAGGACAATGAAATTTCAAGACTACAGTCAATAATTCTATTGATTAATTCAATTGTTTACAGAGCAAAATTTGATTATATTTCTCCCAAAAAATTCTTGGAGAAATTCTAAGATGATGCACTCATTGTTAGAAATTGCCAGAAAGTTGTTGCTTAAGTTAAACTTAACACTTTTTAAGGCCTGAAGATACAGTAATAGTTATGTACTTAAACAGGAAAAATAGGATTTTTAGTGCTACTTTCTCTCACCTGAAATAATTATAACTTTTAAATTGGTATTTATGTCAAATTAAATTTTTCATTATTCTACATGATGTTTTGGATGAGGCATGCATTTTTAAATTTATTTTCACCCTTTTGGACTTCTGTGAGAAACTGCAGACTTAAATTCATATCACAACTATGTTTCAGTTTTACTTGTCTGTTCCTAAAGGTTCATAAAAATAAAGAATTCCACTTATGCTTGTACCTTTTAGTAACCTTATTTCAGATAACGGTGCATATTACTGCAGAAATCACATGGACAGGTCCAAAGCGGGGAGGAGGAGGATGAGGAGGAGGAGAAGAAGAAGAAGGAGGAGGAGGAGGAGGCAAGCTTTTAAGTCTATACATTAGTATCACTGTATCAGAAACTCAGTAGTCACAGTGAAATAAAAACAATGATCACAGTCAATTCCATCTCATACCTAGACTGAAATATGAAACTTCTAAAGAAAAGAAAGTTAAGAACTTTGGGCATATCAAAATTTTCCTATACTGATAAAATTATTGGTGACTTTTTCTCACTAGAAAACATAAAATTCCATGCTTTGTATATGTGTAAATAAAAATATTTTATTTCCATCAGTTATGATATGCAAGCAAGTAATAAAGTGAAAGTACAATAATGAAATAAGGAAATTTCTCTGTGTCAAAAAATTCCATTGAGGCTATTAATTTTACAAAAACCACAGAGAATGCATCATGAAACTACATTATACAGTACTTTTTAGTATTTTACTTGCATTTTAAATAATCAACAAATGAAAGGAAATTCTTAATCGTTATTTATTACCAATAACATTACTCAAATAATCCTTTTGAGATTAAGTATTTTAAACAAAACATTAAAAACAAATTGTATTGACTGATATCAGCTTTCAATGAAATAACACTTCTGTATTCGTAGTCATGTGAAGTATAAAATTCTCCTTACAGTGGATCTTTTATAACACCAGTTTTATTATTTTCTCTGATACAAACCCTGTAATATCTCATGGCTTTACTGTATCCATATATTACATGCCTCCAGAGAGTAGGCTTCAAACAGAGGGAAAAATTATATTTGTGACAAAATTCTAGGAAAGGGAAAGTTAAAATGGGAGAATAATTTCTAAATTTCTAACTGTTCATCAATGGATTTGGATATATTTAGATATAGACAAATATTTGCACACTGTAAGTTAGCACATGTGTATATTAAATTTATATGAGATACTCATAATGTATGGGTTGTGTAATCTTTTAGTTCTCAATTTTTCATGTGGGAAATTTGGTAAGAGTTTATCCTTATCAAATAATCAATTTGAAGTCCTATACTCAATTTGATGTAAAATCAACAAAATCTCTGTTGACATTCACTTTAATTGATCCAATAATGTTAACTGCTGATAGCTTCATTCTCCTTGTCCCAGGTTGGCAGCCTGAAAGTTGATTCTCACTCTAATTCAGCACTCAAGGTGCCATCCACAACAGACTATTACTTTGCTGTGGATTGTGACTTCTCACACCAACACTTTTTTCCTGTAACAGTCCTACCTTTGTATGTTTAAAGAATTTGTAAGTGGCTAAAAAAAATAAAAGTGCAGTGAAATGTCAGGCCATTCTGTGAAATTTTCCATTGTTTCTATATCTCTGATTTACCTTTCATGTTATGGAGAACAAGAGAAACAATTCAATACGTTTCTTAGTATCCAGTCCAATGCACCCTTTCTTATTAATACCAAACCCATCCATTCAAGGCACTGACATCTAAACACAGCTAGATATATCAAAATCTCTTCTCATTAAAAACCTTTATATTAATCACTGTTGCCCAGATCTGGACTCTGACTATGAAATCCTCAGATGGAAATTGCTGTAATGACTCACACTATGGGAATGACTATTTTTCAGCATAATTATTGCTGTCAACTTACTGAAGAATATCACATTAGATGGTAGCTCTTAGATACATAAATCCTAGTGATTAATATTTAATGTCCAGCGTTTATGATATTGCACAAGTAAAAATCTTTGATACCTTAAATGATTAGCTGAGCAATGACTTAAATAACAGCAATTCAAACCTTAATTTACTTACTATAAGTGCCATACATCATTAACTCCTGGTGAATACAAAGTTGGGAAATTTCAAGTGCTGAATTGGTTACTAAGTTGGGAAATTTCAAGTGCTGAATTGGTTACTAAATTATGTATTTCATGGTATTTTATAAAACTATCCTTGCCATGTATGATGCCTCACCTACAAGGATGAAGCTTTAGCATATATATATATATATATATATAAAATGTCTTTGGTTCTTAATATCTCTCTACATTTGTCTTCAAAACCTCAACACAAAAACACTCATGTACTTGACTTTCAGCTGACTTGACTACCAGTTATTAGGGTTTCAGTAAACAAAATAACGATTTCAAAATTTGTTGACCAAATATGAGAAATCACCCTCTCACCATAAGAAATAATTATTCTCAAGTGCTTCTGCAAATGCAAAATTGAAAGAAGAAATGAAGTCTAACATATTGCAATATTGTAAAATCTAAAATTTCCTCTTTGAGATCTGGTGGTTCATGCCTGGAATCACAGCTCTTTGGGAGGCTGAGAAGGGAGAATTGCTTCAAACCCAGAGTTTGAGACTAGCACAGGCAACATAGCAAGACCAGTCTCTACAAAAGTAACTAATTAATTAATTAATTAAATTGGGCATGATGGCACACACCTATTTTTCTATTCACTCAGGAGTTCAATGTTGCAGTGGGCTGTGATTGCACACTGCACTTCAGCCTGGGCCACAGGGCAAGACTTTGTTTCTACAAAATAATTCAATATAACAGAACAAAGTCAAACAAAATAAAAACACTTTCCGGTGTTCTTTGGAAGTTTGTACAATTGCTCCAAAGCATAGACATTGTTTAAAGTTGAGCAGTTCATGGGGAATGGGCAGTGAACATTGTTTATATTGTTTTCCAAAAATTAGGATAAATATGTTATAATATTATATGTAAATATCTAATAACCTTTGGTACAATAAGTATTGACAAATGACAGGCCATTGTGTTTATAGACATTTCCTTCAAAATATTCATAGTTTAATTGGAGAATAAAGAGAACAGCGATAATTGCAATGTACTCTGACAAGTGTTACAATAGACACAATTTAGTAACTTAGTTGGAGAGGAATGAAGTTCTTAACGGGGTTTGCAGGGGTTTGGGGACCATTCTTAGGGCAGGAACAATTGACTGGATCAGTAAGGATTCAAATTTCCATGAAGAATGTTTGGGAGGAAAACATTGTAGAAAAAAAGAAACATTCTTTCTATCAAAAGAAGTACTAACAATGCACATGATGCCATCTGACCAATTCTTAGACCATACTAGCTCACTAAATATTTCTTGAATGAATCTATGAAAGGAAGCTATTGGGAAAGGGATTCTGCAAGGGATTTTCAAAATCCTATAAAGGAAAGTTAATACCCTGGACTTTACAATTTTGCCTGCTTTTGTTTATGTTCTTATTATGTTTACTACCTCATAAGCTCTGTTTTACTTTTTGTCCTCTTCACAAATATCATGCATGAATCATTCCTGATACTACTTCTCTCTTAATCTCTTCATACTATATTTCTCTCTGATACTCCTTTGTGTGAGGTCCTGGGTTTGTATGCCCACAGATACATCACTCACCTCTCCCTGGCACTATTCTGTTATAGAGATGCCTGACCCCTGGGAGGCACATTTCCTAGGCTCCCATAAAATTTACTCCCTATTTTAGGTCAGTCAAGGGGTGATACTGCAGAGATTAGAGAAAAAGATGAGAGAAGCCTGTTTGTTTCCCTTTCCTTCTCAGTAGGGGATATCTTTCCACAGTAATTCCATGGCCTGCAGGACATGCCATCTGTGTTTCCATTTTCTATGTAGTGACCCTAATCCTAGTCTGGTTCTTCTAATGCCATCTTCTCCAATTGTCTTCTCTAAAGGATCTGGGTACTATTTTTGGAGTTTTAAATTTAAAAAATATTGATATGGAAGGGGGGCAGGGAAGTGTCTGGTAGAGGAGGGTGTGATTCTTGGCTAGGGATCCACCCTCAGGCCTGTGCTCACTGACCTAGATGAGGACACACACTTCTGTTTTCTTGCCCAAATTGGTGAGGACATGCCCTTCTGTTTTTTTGTTTTTTGTTTTGTTTTGTTTTTGTTTTGCCCAAGTGTTGCACTTTCCAAGACCACCCTGGCCTGCCATACCCCCATCATCTTCTATAAGAATCCCTGAGACCCTAGCAGGCACAGACAGAGCAGCTGGACATCGACAGGAACCATCAGCAGACAAAGACACAGCAACTGGACCCCAAGAAGACACCAGAGAAAGGAGAGGACAAGGATGGAGGTGGTAGGCTATTCACCACAGAAGAACACGGAGTTCCTCGGGGCTGTGAGAGGAGATCGCTGAGCTGCCCCATTCCAGGGGAAAAGCACCTTCTCACTCCATCTCCTTTCTAGCTCCCCATTCATCTGCTGAGAACTTCCACTCAATGAAACCTTGCACTTACTGTAGAAGCCCACGTGTGAGCCAGTTCTTCAATTACATCAAGGCAGGAAATCCAGGGATCCAGAAAGCCCTCTGTCCTTGCAGTAAGGCAGGGTGTCTAATTGAGCTAACACAACCTGCCTACAGATGAATAAACTAAATTAACGCCGTGTAACATATGCCCAATGGGGATTCAGGAGCTGTAAAAATTCACCCCTGGATGCTGCCTGGGGTCAGAGCCCCACAACCTGTCCTAATTTCTTGCCCAGCAGTGGGGGATAAGAAATATTTTCCTGTTTCAATATGAGTCTGTTTCCAATGCAGTGTGCTTTCTGCAATACTGCAGTGTTACTTCATTGTATATATTTAACAAAATAAGTTACAAACTGTAACTAATATGAGAAGAAAATAAATGGTGGGGAATAAGGAAGAAAAATGAAACATTGTGTTTTACAATGAATGTAAACAATTATAAGTATGATTAATCAATATGTCAGACCAGCCAGGCAGGTGCTTAACGTCATGAGGGGACACTACTTCACCATCTTGGGATTTCATTCTGGGACAGAGAGTGTGAGCAGCAATAAGGTCTGATAGGGAAAGGGATACAATCTGGTGTGGTGTGGATTGTGTCCCACACCTGCACCTGAAAAAAAGGTGAGGACAGATGACACAGAAGTTGCTTCCACCTGCATCCCCACATTCCGTTGATTGCACAAGCAGCCCACACCATGGCCCTGTGTTCAAGTGGGTATTCTCCAACCTGCCATTAACATATGGAGTGCAAACTGGGGTTTTGCACTTTGATGATTTTCATACCCAGGGCCAAATGGGAGTGGGATGGATTGATGTGGGTGGGATGTGGCCTCCACACTTGCCTCTTCATTTTCTGACTTTGTGTTCCTCATCGAATTAGGGTTTCCTTGGTCTGGTTCACCATCTTCCACACAAAACATTTCCCAGTTCATGAAGGATGACCCTCATGGGAATTCATTGCATAAGTGTTTCCTTCTTAACACTCATGTTTTAGATGGCTGGACAGCTTTGATAGTTTTAAAATGTAAATTCCCACACAGCCACCAACAGGGAAACAACTCATCTCCCACTTCTATCGGAGGGTGGCACAATTCCTGTAGGATGAGAAGCAGGTAACAGTGTCTAACATTTGCCTCGTTATCTAGGCTCTGTTTCATTTCATGTGCACATCCTTTCTCATTGTCACAGGGCTCCTTCACTGGGCTGTTGCTGGATGGAACTACTCTCACCACAGATCTTTTGGCTTCCAGGGATTTCAGAGAGGAAATGGGACTTCAGATAGACTGGCTGAACTCCAGGTTGTGGGTCCTGGTTGCGTCTTGGGGGCTGAGGATATTTGCACTTTGAAGGAGGATTTTGGGTCCTCTGACAAGAATCGTTGAACGTTGCTTGGACTCCAGCACAAGGCAGCTCATTCTCATAGGTGAGCATTGATTTTTCTTTGCTTTCCTGGGGTGTCCACATTGCCCATCAATAACATTACTGGACACCTTTTTCAGGCTTGCCATCGCCACAGATGGCCTCTTAGACACTGTCACAAGCTCATCTGCCCACAAGCGAGGCCAGATCAAGGTGAGAGAACACTGCTCAACCTTGGATTTGCCTATGTCGTGGTTCCTGCCTTTCCCAGATAGGCCCTGTGAGGCCGAGGATGAAGGGAGGCAGTGAGGTGAAGTGCCCAGCACCTTTCAACTCTGAGGTCTTAGGTATGATTCCATCACATAAAGAACCCTCAACAACTCATCAGACTCTTCCAATCCCCATCGGACCTGATTCTTGCACACAGACTCTTTCAGGAATGGAGACAGAAGAGCCATCTCCAGCGACCACCTCACAGTCTCGAAATACCTCCTCCTCCACCGGGACCTGACCAGCGAGATGACCCAAAGGGGCAATAAGGTCAAGACTCTTAGGTTCCTGCAGTAGGTTATCACAGACAGCCTTTTTCTCAGTACCAGTCTAGCTCTGCCTGTACCATTTTCATCTGCTTAGGCAGCCTGACAGCTCTGACAGCCAGGCATCCAAGCCTGCCTCACGAATGCGCATATGATAGCCTCAAAGTACCAGACCTGAGAAGGGAGCTATTGCTAGCTTCACAGTGAATGCCACCATTGCCTAGTGACAAGTCCCTGTGGCTTGGCAGAGAAGGAGAACTCCCTGGAGGTGTGTTGGCGGTGGAATCTTGCCTGTCTTGTCTCAGAGATCCACAGGACAGTCCCATGATTCTAGGAGTGAGTAGATGTGAGTCAGCCTGAAGAAACATCAAGCAGAACCCCAGGAAGGAACTGTGAAATCCCTACAGATCCATAAGGATCTGCAGGATGCCTCAGGCCTAATTAGACGTTGTAGGGGTGAGTATTTTTGAAACTCGTCCCACAGTGATTACTAGGTACAGCCCACCTGTGTTCCCCGGGGTTGCTCTCTCCCAGGTGGGGCTTCCTGAAGAACCACTTAGCCTCAGGAGCTGCTGGGCTGTGTTTCTGTTGGAGTGTTGCAAGTGTTGGATGTCTGCTTGCCTGTGTGGCTTTGTGTATTTGTGGGTGTATGTGTGGGTGTGCATGCCTGTAAGTGGAGTCTGCTTATAGTAGTGTGGCTAACACATTGCAGTGCTTCTTTTTTTTCAGTAACTCAACATTCTGGTCGCCTGTGTGTCTGTGGCTCTGCTTGGACTGTGGGTCTCTGTGTTCTTTATTCTTCTGTGGATCGTGAATCTGCAGCGAATTGGGAGTCTGGTTGAGACCCGCCGGAGGCCAAACTACCTCCCCCTGCCAAAAAAGAAAAAGGTACTCTTCTGGAAAGAAGAGGGGCACGTCATACCCAGGAATTGACGCCTCCCAGTGTTTCATTGTCCTGTGGCCAACCCAGGGAGGGACACTAGCAGTCTTGTCCACAGGACCCCTTGAATTTACCTCCAATTCATTTCCCAGCCAAGCAGGTGCTTAACGTCATTAGGGGAAACTCCTCCATTGTCTTGGGATTTCATTCTGAAACAGAGAGTGTGAGCAGCCGTAAGTTCACATAGGGGTGAGCATACAATCTGGTGAGGGGTGGACGGGGTCCTGCAACTTCACCTGCAAAAAAGGTGAAGACAGAGGACATGGACAGTGCTTCCAAATGCATCTCTGCATTCCCTTAATTGCACCAGCAGTGTGCACCATGACCCTGTGTTCACCTGGGAGTACTCCAACGTGCAGGGAACATTTGGTGTGCAAACTGGGGCCATCCTGGCAAACTCCTGATTTGAGGGCTTTCATTCCCATAGCCAAATGGGAGTGAGATGCATTGACGCTGGGTGGGATATAGCCTCCATACTTGCCTCTTCCTTTCCTGTCTTCCATGTTCCCTGTCGGCCTAGGTTTTCCTGGGTCTGGCTAAGGTCTTACACACTAAACATTTCCCCATTCATGGAGGATGACCCTCACTGGAATTCATTGCATGTTTCCTTCTAAACACTGTCACATTTTAATGACTGGGCTCCTTTGATACATTTAAAACCATAAGTCAGCATTACATATGCCATAAAAGAAACTCTTTTTCTCCCACTTCTGTTGGAGGGCTGCATGATTCCTGTAGGATGAGAAGCAGGCAGGCATGTCTGGCTTTTGTTTGGTAATCTAAGCTGTGTTTCATTGTGTCTGCATGTCCTTTCTCATTGTGGAGGAAGTATTTCATTGGACTGTGGCTGGATGCAACTGCCTCTCTCCACAGATCTCTTGGCTTCCAGGGATTTCAGGGAGCAAAAGGGAAGTCGGATAGGCTGGCTGCACTCTAGAGTGTGGATCCTGGTCTCTTTGTGGGGACTGACTTTGTTTGCACTTTGCAAGAGGATTTGGGTCCTCTGACAGGAATCTTTGATCACTGCTTGGACTCCAGCACAAGTCAGCTCCTTCTCTCAGGTGAGTTTTGATTTTTCTTTGCTGTCATGGTGGGTCCACACTGACTTTCAACAACACTACTGGACACCCTTTTCAGGCTTGCAATGGCAACAAATGGTCTCTGAGACACTGTCTCAACCTCCTCTGCACCTGTGAGCACCCACTTTGAGGTGTGAGAACACTGCTCCACCTTGGACTTTCCTTTGCCATGGTCCCTGCCTTTCCCAGAGAGCCCTTGCAAGGTTCAGAGTGAAGGGAGGATGTGAGGTAAAGGGCGTGGCTAACTTTCGCTGACAATGCCTCTGTGGTCTCAGGTATGATTCTGTCAATCAAAAAGAACCCTGAACAACTCACCAGATTATATTCCAAACCCCATGGGAACCAATTCTTGCACAGAGTCTCTTTTGGGAATAGAGTCAGAAGAGCAGCATCCGGCGATCACCACACAGTCTCAAAATTCCTCCTTCTCCAGCCAGACCAGGCCACAAAAATGGCCCGATGGGGCCCTAAGGTCGAGACTTACAGGGTCCCGCAGTGGGTTATCGCAGAAAGCCTTTCTCCCGATACTAGGCTGGCTCTGCCTGTACCATTTTCCTCTGCTTAGGAAGGCTCACAGATCTGAAAGTTGGGCGCCCGCTCCTGCCTCGCGAATGCGCATGCGCTCTTCTCAAGCTACGAGGCCTAAGCTGTGAGCTTTGTCTAGCATCACAGTGAATGCCATCGTTGCATAGCAGCAAGTCCCTGTGGCTTGGTGGAGAAGGAGACCTCCGTGGAGGTGCGTAGGCGGTGGACTCTGGCTGTTTTCTCTGTGGGATCACGGGATAGTCCCATGATCCTAGGAGAGGGCAGACGTGAGCCAGCCTGACGAAAAGTCAAGCAAAGCCCCAGGGATAAACAGTGAAATTCCTAAGGATCCAAGTATATCTGTAGGATGCCTCAGGCCTGCCTAGACGTTGTAGGAGTGAGTCCTTTAGAAACTTGCCCCAATGTGATTTCGAGGAACAGACCACCTGTGTACCCTGTGGTTGCTCTCTCCTTGGTGGGGCTTTCTGCAGAACCATGAAGCCTCAGAAGCTGTCTGGGTGTGTGTTTCTGTGGGATTGTTGTGAGTGTTGGATGTCTGCTTATGTGTGTGGCTTTGCCTTTGTGTGTGAGTGTGTGTGTTAGTGGAGTCCGCTTAAATGAATGTGGCTAACACTCTGTAGTGCATCTTTTGTTTGAGTCTTCCCATCTTTTGGTGGCCTATCTATGTGGCTCTACCTGGACTCTGTGGCTCTGTGGTCTTTATTTTTTTGTGGATAAAGAATCCTCAGTGAATTGGGAGGCTGGCTGTGACCTGACAGGGTCCAAATCACCTACCCCTGCAATAAAAGCCACTCCTCTTCACACAGAAGTAGACATCTCCCGCCATGTTTCATTTACCTGTGGCCAAGCCCGAGAGAGACACTAGCAGTCCTGTCTGCAGGGCCCCTTGAATTTACCTAGAATTCTGTTCCCAGCTGAGCAGGTGCTTCAAGTTGGGAGGGGGCACTCCTCCATCATCTCGGGATTTCATCCTGGGACATAGAGTGTGAGCAGCAATAAGATCAGATAGGAGTGAGGACAAAATCTGGCTAGGGATGGATGGGGTCGCGGAACTTTACCCACACACACACAAAAAATGAATGCAGATGACACAGAAGGTGCTTCCAACTCCATACCCACATTCACTTAATTGCACAAGCAGCCCACACCATGGCTCGATGTTCACGTGGGAGTACTCCAACGTTCAAGGAACATTTGGAGTGTAG
Source organism: Homo sapiens (assembly GCF_000001405.40). Taxonomy (NCBI): domain Eukaryota; kingdom Metazoa; phylum Chordata; class Mammalia; order Primates; family Hominidae; genus Homo; species Homo sapiens. The sequence goes on along the minus strand of NW_025791821.1, from coordinate 158,401 downwards.
GTTTGGGCTATCCTGGCAAACTCTTGATTTCAGGGGTTTCATACCCAGAGACAAATGGAAATGGTATAGCTTGATGTTGGACGGGATGGGTCTTCTGCAAGGCCTTCTCATTGTGGACGAGCTCTTTCATTGGGCTGTTGCTGGATGGGACTGCCTCTTGCCACATATTATTTTGCTGCCAGGGATTTCAAAGAGCAAAAGGGACTTTGGGTAGGCTGGCTGCACTCCATGTTTCAGGTGGTCCTTGTCTCATTGTGGGGTCTGAGGTTGTTTGCACTTTGCAGGAGGCTATTGGGTCCTCTGACAGGAATCATTGAACATTGCTTCAACTCCAGCACAAGGCAGCTCATTCTCTCAGATGAGTCTTGGATTTTTCCCTGCTTTCATCAGGAATCCACAGTGCCTCTCAACAGAACTACTGGACATAGTTTTCAGGCTTGCCATCACCACAGATGGCCTCTGAGATACTGTCTCAACCTCATCTACACCCATGAGAGGTCAGTGCAAGATGTGAGAACACTGCTCCATCTTGGACTTGCCTTTGTTGTGGTTCCTGCCTTCCCCAGAGAGCTCCTGCAAGGCCGAGGATGAAGGGAGGCAGTGAAGTCAAGAGCCTGTCCGTCTTTTATAGACACCTGCCTCTGGGGTTTCAGGTATGATTCTATCACCGAAAGAACCCTCAAAAATACACCAGAATATATTCCAAACTTCACGGGACCTGATTCTGGAATACAGCCTCTTTCAGAGAAAGAGTGAGAAATGCAGTTTCCAGGGACCACCTCATGGTTTTGAAGCACATCCATCTCCAGGGGGACCTGACCACGGAGAAAGCCTGAACATGCTTTGAGGTTGAGACTCTTAGGGTCCCACAGTGGGTTTTTGCAGACAGCCTTTTTCCCAATACCAGGCTGTCTCTGCCTGTACCATTTTTCTCTGTATAGGCAGGCTGACAGTTCTGATAGTCAGGCACTTGTGCCTGCCTCATGAATGGGAATGAGCATGTCTCAGGGCATCATGCCTGATTGTGAGCTCTGGCTGGTGTCACAATGAATGTCACCATTGCTTAGACAAAAGTCCCTGTGGCTGGGTGGAGAAGGAGAACTCCATGGAGGTTCGTTGGTGGTGGACTGTCGCTTGTCTTTTCTGTGGGATCCATGGGATAGTCTGATGAATCTAGGAGATGGCAGAGGTGAGCCAACCAAAAAAAAAAAAAAAAAAAAAAGTTCAAGCACAGCCCCAAGAAAAAACTGCAAAATCCCTAAGGATCCAAAAGTATCTGCAGGATTTGTCAGTCCTGCCTAGACGTTGTAGGGGTAAGTCTTTTTGTAACTTGCCCCACTGTTATTTCTAGGTACAGCCCACCTGTGTTCACTGGAGTTGCTCTCTCTCAGGTGGGGCTTCCTGAAGAACCACACAGCTTCAGGATCTGCTGGGCTGTGTGTTTCTGTTAGAGTGTTGTGACTTTTGGATATCTGCATGTGTTTGTGTGGCATTTGTGTGTGTGTGGGTGTGTATGTATGTGTGCACCTGCAAGTGAAGTCTACTTAAAGAAATGTGGCTAACACACTTCATGGCTTTATTGTTTTGAGTGTCCTAACATTCTGGTAGCCTATATGTGTGACTCTGCTTGGGCTGCGGAGTTCCATGTTTTTTCTCTTTTCTCTTTTTTTTTTCTGTGGATCATAAATCCTCAGTGAATTGGGATAGGGTCCAAGAACCTCTGGCATCCTAATTACCTAACACTGCAAAAAAATAAAATCCGCAACAAAAAAACAAACATCTCCCATTGTTTCATTGTCTTGCAGCCAACCCAGGGACAGACACTAGCAGTATTGTCCACAGGGCCCCTTGAATTTACCTCGAATTCAGTTCCCAGCCAAGCAGGTGCTTCAAGTCATGAGGGGGCACTCCATCATCCTGGGATTTCATCCTGGGACCTAGAGTGTAAGCAGCAATAAAGTCAGATAGTGGTGAGGATACAATCTGGTGAGGGGTGTATTAGGTCCCACAACTTTACCTGGAAGAGAAATGACACAGAAGGTGCTTCCAACTCCATCCCTGCATTTCCTTAACTGTACAAGCAGTCCACATCATGGCCCAGTGTTCAGGTGGTGAGGAAAGATGCCACCTCTCTTATTGTCTCATAAATCAGAAAAAGAAAGAGGAAGTAAAAACTAAAGAAAGGCAGAAATGAGATCAATAGTCAGAAAGCTGGCACCACACTCCAGGCCTGGTACTTAAAAATCAACCCTGACCTAACCACTTGTATTATCTATAGATCCCAGACATTGTGTGATGAAGCATTGTCAAACTTTCTGTTCTGTTCTATTCTGTCCTGGTTACTGATCCATGCAGCCCAGCCACATACCGATGCTTGCTCAATTGATCATGACACTTTCACATGGATCCCCTAGATTTGTAAGCTTTAAAAGCTGCAGGGATCTCTCTCTCAGGGAGCTCAGTTTTTGAGTCACAAGTCTGCTAATGCTCCTAGCCAAATAAAGCCACTTCCTTCTTTAAGCTGGTGTCTGAATGGTATTGTCCATGGCTGCTCCTGCTACATTTTTCAGTTCCTTGACTGGAAGTAACGTGATTAGCATAAGGTTGAGGCAGCCCATTAGGTGGCTTAGGTCTGCCTTGTGGAGCATCCTTGAGGAGGACTCCATCCAGCTTGAGCGATGTGGATCCTGAGAGAGCTCCAGGGTAGGCAATAGCCCCAGTGGAATGCCTCACTAGAGCAGTACACAGCAGGCTCCCACAAAGGATCGATGTAGTGGCTGTACACCAGGAAGGAACTGGTACTTGGAGTCTGGACATCTGGAACATGGTATGGCTGGTCTTGGGAACTTGCCTACTCCAAGTGGAAGCATGGCCTGATACCCACGGCATGCCTTTCTCAGCACTTTGGTTTAGGTTTAGGTTTTGACTTGGATTGAATTACTTGATTTAGTTTGAATAAGAGTGTGTGACCTTTACCCTTTCCTTCTTGCAGTGTGAGTATTGTCTTTTCTTGGGAGAAAAATGAATCAGACACAAAGTAAGTCCAACTTGCTAGGAAATATGTTGAAAAATTTCAAGAAGAGATTTAAAGGAAACTATGGAGTTACTATGACACCAGGGAAACTTAGAACTTTGTGTGAGATAGACTGGCCAGCGTTTGAAGTGGGTTGGCTATCAGAAGGAAGCCTAGATAGGTCCCTTGTTTTAAAGCAATGGCACAAGATAATCTGTAAGCCAGGGCACCCAGACCAGTTCCCATACATAGACACTTGGTTATAGCTGGTTTTAGACCCCCTGCACAGTGGTGAAGAGGACAGACAGCAGCAGCAGTGCTAGTGGCAAAAAGACAGATAGCCAAGGAAGCATCCAACTCCACCCGCTGAAGGAAGTCAGCTCCTAAAGTTCTGTCTGACCCAATATGAGAAGACTCATGGCAGGAAATGGCACCAACGATGCCCCCAACCTTATCAAGAAGAGAGACTCCCTACTCCTGAGCCCACAGCACCTGTGCCTCTGCAGGACACACACCCACCCCTATGCCACCAGAGTAGACAAGAGAGGATGTGAAGCCGTGGGAGAAACCCCACCCTTGGCAGTTCACTGATGACCTAAGGCTGGGATTCAAATTCCCCTGCGGAAGCAGCAGTGTAGTGTGGTAAAGGAGGATGGGCATATGTTGAAAAGGCGTGCCTTCATGTATCAACCCATTACATCTGCTGAACTCCTAAATTGGAAAAATAATACCCCATTTTATACTGAATAGCCTCAAACTTTAATTGATTTACTCCAAACTATTATCCACACCCACAACCCTACTTGGGCCAATTGCTGCCAGCTGCTTATGTACCTCCTTAACACAGATGAAAGGCGAAGGGAGTTTCAGACAGCAACCAAGTGGCTGGAGTGACATGCTCTGGCCAGTTACCAAAATCCGCAGGAGTATGTGAGGATCCAAGTACCAGAAACAAACCCCAAGTCGACCCAAATGAAGGGAAAGGTATAGAAGGGCTAAAGCAATATAGGGAAGGCATCCTGGAAGGGTTAAAGAAGGGAGCTCAGAAGGCCAGAAATGTTAACAAAGTGTCTGAGGTCATTCAAGGAAAAGAAGGGAGTCCAGCACAATTTCATGAAAGACTTTGAGGCCTATTGTAAGTATACACCGTTTGACCTTGAAAGCCCTGAAAATTAAAGCATGATTAACATGGCTTTTGGTCATCAAAGCACAGGAGACATTATAAGAAAACTTCAGAAACAGGCTAGGTTTGAGGGCATAAACACATCACTGTTATTGGAAATAGCCAATCAGGGTTTGTGAATAGAGATGCAGCAGGCCATAGAGAAAGCTGCAAAGAAAGCAAGCACCAAGCCAGGTGAAAGGCTGACCTCCTAGTCACAGCTATTAGAGGGTTTCACCCAAAGGGCCAAAGAAGGGAAGGCCCTGGGAAAAAAACACCCAGTTTGACCAACCGCACCTGCAGCATAACAAGTGTGCATACTGTAAAGAAATAGGGCATTGGAAAGACAAGTGCCCCCAGTTAAAAGAGAAACAAAATGGCTCTGAGCCAGAGGTCTCAAGCAAGGATGAAGTGGCCTTGTTTAATTTGGCAGAAGAGTTACTGGACTGAGGGGAACTGGGCTCAGGTGCTCCCTATGAGCCCACAGTCAGTATGACAGTCAGGGGCAAAGTTTCTTGTCAATACTGGTGTGGAACATTCAGTAGTAACCACCCCGGTCACCCCTTTATCCAAAAATACTATTGATATATTCAGAGCCACAGGAGTCTCAGAGAAACAAGTTTTCTGCTTGCCCCAGACTTGTACTGTAGGGGGACATGAATCCCTGTTCATTATGGCCCTTATGGTACCCTGGGAGGAGGAATGGAGACTTTTCTTAAGTAAGTCAGGCAAAGAGATAGGACCAGCTCTGGCTAAGTGGTAGCCAAGTGTGTGGGCAGAAGATAAACCTCTAGGACTGGCAGTCAACCAAGCCACCATACTCATAGAAGTTAATTTTGGGGTCCAGCCGGTCAGGCAAAGACAGCGCCCAGTCCCCAGACAAGCTCTTGAGGTTCATCTCAAATGTCTGAGAGCCTTTGGAATTATAGTCCCTTGTCAGTCGCCATGGAACACTCCCCTCCTGCCTGTTCCTAAGCCAGGGACTGAGGACTACAGGCGAGTACAGGACTTGTGCTTGGTCAGTCAAACTACAGTGACTTTACATCCAACAGTACCTAACCCATACACATTATTGGATTATTGTCAGCTGAGGACAGGTGGTTCACTTGTCTAGACCTGAAGGACACCTTCTTTAGCATCAGACTATCTCCTGAGAGCCAGAAACTGTTTGCCTTCCAGTGGGAGGGAAGATCTGGGGTTAGGTGTCACCACTCAGTACACTTGAATCCTGCTTCTCCAAGGGTTCAAGCAGTCACCCACCACCTTCTGGAGGTGCTGGCTTGAGACCTCAAAAAGTCCCCCACCAAAGACCTATGCTGCATTTTGTTCCAGCACATTGATGATCTTCTGCAGGCTCACCCCATGGCAGTTGGGTGTGCCAGAGGGACAGAGGCCCTCCTTCAGTAGCTGCAGGAGTGTGGGTATAAGGTGTCCAAGAAGAAAGCTCAAATCTGAAGACAGCAGGTAAGCTACCTGGGATTGACTATCCAACAGGGGGAACACAGCTTGGGGTCAGAAAGAAAGCAAGTCATCTGCAGCCTATTGGAGCCTAAGACCAGAAGGCAAGTGAGAAAATTCTTAGGAGATGTGGGGGTTCTGCAGACTGTGGATTGCAAACTTTGCAGTACTAGCCAAGCTTCTGTATGGGTTTACAAAGGGGGAGACCAGGAAGCTTTTGAATGGGGGTCCCAACAAGAGCAAGCCTTTTATGAGTTAAAAAAGAAACTCATGTCAGCTCCAGCTCTGGTTCTGCCTGACCTGACAAAGCCATTTACACCATATGTGTCAGTGAGAGAAAAAATGGCAGTTGGGGTTTTGACTCAGAATGTGGGGTCCTGGCTGAGGCCAGTGGCCTACCTCTCTAAAAAACTAGACAGGGTTTCTAAAGGTTGGCCCTCTTGTTTGAGGGTCTTAGCAGCAACTGTCCTGATAGCACAAGAAGCAGATAAACTAACTCTTGGGCAAAACATGAACATAAAGGCCCCACATGCTGTGGTGACTTTACTGAATACCAAAGGATATCATTGGCTAATGAATGCTAGCCTAAGCAAGTACAAAGCTTGCTCTGTGAAAATCCCTGCACAATCAATGAAGTTTGTAACAACCTGAATTTTGCCACCTTGCTCCCTGTATAAGAAAGCCCTATTGAGCATAACTGTGTAGAGGTGTTGAACTCAGCTTACTTTAGCAAGCCTGACGTGTATGAACAGCCTTGGGCATCAGTGGACTGGGAGGTATATGTGGGTGGGAGCAGCTTTGTCAACCCACAAGGAGTGAGGTATGCAGGATATGGAGTGGTAACCCTGGACGCTGTCACTGAGGCCAAACTATTGCCATAGGGTACTTCAGCCCAGAAAGCCAAGATCACTGCTTTAATTTGGGTGTGAAAACTCAGTGAAGGTAAGACTAAAAACATTTACACTGACTCTTGGTATGTTTTCTCAACCCTCCAAGTACATGGAGCATTATATAAAGAAAAAGGGCTGTTAGTCTCTGGAGGAAAGGACATAAATCATCAGCAATAAATCTTGTAATTATTAGAAGCAGTATGGAAACCCCAAAATGTGTCAGTCATGCATTTCAGGGGACACCAGCAAGCTTCTACCGTGGTTGCTTTAGGGAACTCCAGAGCTGACTCAGAGGCTCAAAAAGCAGCCTCCACCCCTACCAGACATTGGTCTCAACCCCCATGCTTCCTCAGACACCTGACCTTGTACCTACTTGTTGTAAAGAGGAGAAAGACTTCTTTCAGGCAGAAGGAGAGCAAACAGCAAAAGAGGGATGGATCCAGTTACCAGACAGAAGAATAGCCATGCCACAGCTGCTAGGAGCCACAGTTGTACTGGCTGTGCATGAAACTACCCCTCTAGTTCAGGAGTCACTTAAAAAATTGTTAGGCTGGTACTTCTACGTCTCATATTTGTCAGTCCTTTCCAAAACCATGGCATAGCGATGTATTTTATGCTGACAACAAAATGTGAGGGAGGGTCCAGCAATTCTGCCCAGCATACAAGTTTATGGAGCAGCCCCCTTTGAAGATCTCCAGGTGAACTTCACAGAGATGCCAAATTGTGGAGGTAACACATATTTACTAGCTCTTGTGTGTACATACTCTAAGCTGGTAGAGGCTTATCCGACACAAACTGAAAAAGCTCGTGAAGTAACATGTGTGCTTCTTTGAGATCTTATTCCTAGATTTGGACTGCCCCTACGAATCGGTTCAGATAAACGGACAGCGTTTGTGACTGGCTTGGTGCAGAAGACAGCAAAGGTATTGGGGATCACGTGGAAACTACATGCAACTTACTCACCTTAGAGTTCCAGAAAGGTGGAACGAATTAATCAAACTATTATAAATAGCTGAGGGAAAGTGTGTCCAGAAACAGGATTGAGATTGTTACAGACTCTCTGTATGGTATTCTTTAAGATAAGATGTACTCCTTCTAAAAGAACAGGATATTCCCCTTATGAAATATTATATCATAGACCCACTCCCATATTATGGGGACTCCCAGGCACTCTTCGAGAGTTAGGTGAAGTTAAGTTACAGCAACAGCTACAAGATCTAGGAAAAATTACACAAAAATTTCAGGCTGCGAAAATGGAAGGGGGCCAATTAGTTTATTCTCCCCAGTTCACAACTTCTCCCCAGGTGATCCCATATGGATCAAGGACTGGAATGCAGCCCCCTACGTCCATGGTGTAAGGGACACCAGACTGTCATTTTGACCACTCCCACCTGGTGAAGGTAGAAGGAATCCCAGCCTGGATCCATCACCATCGTGTAACACCTGCAGTGCCTGAGACCTGGGAGGTAAGACCAAGGCCAGACAACCACTGCAAAGTGACACTCAGAAAGATGACAAGGCCTGCTCCAGTCACACTTTTAAGCTGACTGGTATACACATGGTTGAAGCATGAGAAAACTCATCGTGGGACTTACTCTTCTTAAAATTTGGACTTGTATAATAAAGACTGATTATACAATGCTTACTGTGTATGTCTTCCACATGAAAAGTTTCCCAGTTCATGGAAGAGGATCCTCAAAGAATCCATTGCATGAGTGTTTCCTTCTAAACACTGTCATGTTCCCAAAATGGAGGACTGTTCCCTGTGTAATCATCATGTTACTGAGGTAGGGAAACAAGTTAAAACAATCTTTCGGTTTATAGATATTATGAATGCCTAGGAACTTTAAAAGAATATTGCCTGTATAACTTCACTCGGATATGCTATAACACATCTGAATCTCCTATGAACACAGTCTTTGAAATAAGATTAAGAACTCTCCCTTTTCTAAGTGATACAAGTAAAATAATAGCTAAAACAGAAGAAAAATGAATCCCCAAACAAAAAATCTTAAATTCTGATGCTGGTGTCACCATTAATATTAACCATTAAGGATAAGGATGTGGCTCTCTGGACTGAGAAAAAAGTTATCCAGCAGAGAATAAGTATATTTGCCACGAGTTAGGCCAATATGATAAAGCTTGTAATTGCTGGTCTTGTGTCATTTTGGCTACCTGGAAAAATAATGAAAAATATCCAGTATGGCTTCAGAAAGGAAAGGGTGATTCCTCTTGCACAAGCAGCCACAGTAACACCTTAGAACCAATAATCACCAGTCCCCTAGTCCCCCCATTGGAAAAAGGGAAAACATGTAACTCTTGGGATCAATGTAGCTGGACAGGATCCTTGAGTAAATATTTCAGTCAGACAAGAGGTCAAAATGTGTTCTTACAAACCAGTGTTTCAGACTTTCTGTGATGAATTAAATGTGCCCACACCAGAGTTCCCAGGGAAGACAAAGAATTTGTTCCTGCAGTTAGCAGAAACTGTAGTCCATTCCCTCAATATTTCTTCCTTTTATATATGTGAGGGAACCACTATGGGAGAGCAATGGCCTTAAGAAACCTGAGAATTAGTGCCTACTGATCCAATTCCTGATATGATTACAATCCAGAAGACCAACACTGGCAACTTCTGTGTCCTAAGAACCTCAATTGTTGGGCAGTATTGCATAGCTATAGAAGGAAACAACTTCATCCTCCCTGTGGGAAGGTTCACCTGCCTTGGGCAAAACTGTATAACAGCACAGTAAAAACAGCCATATGGTGGGGTTCAAACCACACTGAGAAAAATCTGTTTAGTAAATTTCCAAAGTTGCAAACCATGTGGACCCACACAGAGTCTCAATGGGACTGGACAGCCCATGCTGGACTATGCTGGATATCTGGGCATACAGCCTACACGATGTTACCTGAAAAATGGGCGGGTAGTTTTGTTATTGGCACCATTATACCATCCTTTTTCCTACTGCCCATGAAAACACATGAAATCCTGGTCTTCCAAGTCTATGCTTCCTGAGAAAAGAGGAGCATAGCTATAGGCGAATTGAAATATATTGAGTGGCTCCCTAAAAGAATCATACAATACTATGGGCCTGCCACTTGGGCACAAGACAGCTCATGGGGATACTGAACCCCCAGTTACATGCTCAACCAAATCATACAGTTACAAACTGTCTTAGAAATAATCACTAATAAAACTGGCAAAGCTTTGAGTCTTTTAGCCTTGCAGGAAACCCAGAGGAGAAATGCTATCTATCAAAATAGATTAGCCCTAGACTACTTGCTAGCAGCTGAAGGTGAGGTCTGTGGAAAATTGAACTGAACCAATTGCTGTCTGCATATAGATCATCAAGGGCAAGTGGTCAAAAATATAGTTAGAGATAGGACACACCTTGCACATCTGTCATCATTTTGGCTACCTGGAAAAAGAATGAAAAATATCGATTGACATTGGTTTGATCCTGGATCAATATTTGGAAAATGGTTTCCAGTGCTAGGAAGATTTAAAACTCTTATAGTAGGAAGAATAATAGTAATAGGAACATGCTTATTTCTCCCCTGCTTGCTACTCATACTCCTTCAAATAATGCGAAGCTTTGTTACTGCCTTTGTCCACCAAAATGCTTCACCACCAGTATATTACATGAACCAATATTGATCTGTCTTGCAGGAAGACCTAGGAAGGGAGGATGAGAATGAGAACTCCCAGTAATAAGTGAGATTCTCAAAGTGGGGAATAAGGAGGGAGACCACCTCTCTTATTGTCTCATACCTTAAAAAAAGAAAAAGGAATCAAAAACTAAAGAAAGGCAGAGATGAATTCAATTGCCAGGCAGAACATGCACGGCACTCCAGGACTGGCAGTTAAAAATCAACCCCTCGCCTAACCGCTTGTATTATCTATAGGTTCCAGACACTGTATGAGGAAGCATCGTGAAACTGTTTTGTCCTCTTCTATCCTGATTACCCATACATGCAGCCCCAGCCACATACCCCATGCTTGCTCAATCAATGACGACCCCTTCACAGGGACCCTCTTAGAGTTGAAAGCCTTTAAAAAGGGCAGGAATCTCTCTCTGGGGAACTTGGTTTTTGAGACAGTTGGCTGATGCTCCCAGATGAATAAAGTCACTTCCTTCTTTAAGCCAGTGTCTGAAGGGTTTTGTCCATGGCTTATGCTGCTACAATGGGAGTACTCCAATGTGCAAGGAACATTTGGAGATTTGGATTGCCAATTGGTGCCATCCTGGCAAACCCCCATATGAGAGCTTTCATACCAGAAGCCAAATGGGAGTGAGAGAGATTGATACAATATAGGATGTAACCTCCATACTTGCCTCTTATATTCTGACTTACCTGTTCCTCATCAGCCTAGGGTATCCTGGGTCTGGCTCAATGTCTTCCTCACTAAACGTTTCCCTGTTCATGGAAGGTGACTCTCAAAGAATCCATTGCATGAGTGTTTCCTTCTAAACAGTGTCATGTTTTAATGACTGGGCATCTGTGATAATTTTAAAACCATAAATTCCTGTTACAGCCACCAACAAGGAGACTCTTGCTCTCCAGCTTTTACAAGAGGGCTGCATGATTCCTGTAGGTGGATAAGTAGGCAGCCATTTCTGGCTTTTGCCTGGTAATCTAGACTCTGTTTCATTCCATCTCCATGTCCTTCCTCACTGTGGAAAGCGTCTTTCATTGGGATTTGCTGGGTTGGGCTACCTCTCACTGCAGATTTATTGGCCTCCAGGGATTTCAGGAAGGACAAGGGACTTTGGGTAGGCTGGCTGCAACCCAGGTTGTGGGTCTTGGTCTCTTAATGGGGGCTGAGGTTGTTTGCACTTTGCAGGAGGCTTTTGGGTTCTCTGACAGAAATCATTGAACATTGCTAGGACTCCAGAACAAGATAGCTCATTCTCTGTGGGAAAGAGAGTTTCTGGGATGCCAGATGACTTCTTCTCCCCTGTGTGAGACACCCATGGGAGCCATGGGTGGCCTCTGAGGAGAAAAGTCTCCTTATTGACTTCATGTCTTTATTCTCAAGAGCATAACAGCTCAGCAGCATGCTACAGGTTGCTCAGGGAAATAACACTCCCTTGAAGCAGTGGTGTATAATCAAACATCTTGTCTTCTACTGAAACCCACTCCCACCCATTTCAGTCCTGATAAGTTATTTTTATTATTTCTATTATAATGTTTTTGAGATGGAGTCTCTCTCTGTCACCCAGGCTGGAGTGCAGTGGTGTGATCTTGGCTCACCACAAGCTCCACTTCCCATGTTCACACCATTCTCCTGCCTCTGCATTCCGAGTAGCTGGGACTACAGGCACCCACCACTGCACCCGGCTAATTTTTGTATTTTTAGCAGAGACAGGTTTTCACCGTGGTCTTGATCTCCTGATCTCGTGATCTGCCCTCCTGGGCTTCCCAAAGTGCTGGGATTACAGGCGTGAGCTACTGTGCCCGGCTGTTAAAAATCTTACATAGTTTAGACACATGCCTTTGCAAGAGGAAATTCACAGAAACCACCACTGCTACACATCTTATTGAATGACTCACGAGTTCTGCTTCACTGATTAATCATTTTCCTCATCCCTTCCTACCCCTCCCATCTGACCTAAGAACAAAGAGCTTGTAAACCAGTAAATTGGGTGGAGATTGAGAGCTCGGGTCCGTGAGCAAGCCTCCAATTCTCTGGTCCCCTGGACCTGCTTTTTAAACTCTCAATCTGCCTCTTTCTAATTCCATTGTCTCCGCTGGACACGGGGTACCTGCCCAGTGGTGTGGGGCTTGTTTCCTCAACATCTGGTGCCCAACACAGTACTCCCTATATCTCTACAAATCATCCAGTGAGGGAAAACCAGAGCGTAGAAAGTGCAGGATGACTGACAAAGGATGTCCGAGTACCTTTTCCCTTCATGCTCTACAGGTAAGTGGGGCACTCAGAGAATTCCAGGGCAACCTCAGGAAAATATGAGTCAGGCTGGAAACAAGTTTGATAATTACTCAAGCCTGGTGCAGCAGTTATTGAGCCATAAAGGAGTAATTATGAGTACCCAAAATCTCACATCTTTTTTCCATCTCATAGAAAAGTATTCTCCTTTGTTCTCAGAATATAGAACCATGAATATAAAAGACTGGAACAAGATCAGATCAGACTTACAAGGAGCACAACAAGAGGGCTGCGATATTCCCTTCTCCACTTGGTCTGTGTGGTCAGCAATTAAAACAGCACTGGAGCCCTTCCACCCTGAGGAGGAGGAGGAGAAGTTTCAGGGTGACATAGAAAAGTTTAATAATCAGGAGTCTGATAATCAGCACAGTGAACCATCACAGTCTAGTTTAAAAAAGGGGGAGAAATGGGAAGGTGTATATGCTAACCTCCAAAAACTTATGAAAGAAAGAGTTCCCCCTACTGCATCTTTAGAGGAAAGTGCAGAACAGCCACCTCCACCTCAGCCTTATGAATTTTTGGAAAGAGGTACTGAGACACAGCTTGCCACTCCCATTGTTGCACGGCCTACCATTGACTATGGTAAAGGGAAGCTTCAACAGCCCAACAGCCAATTACGGTGAGGGAATGATCCAGGCTTGTCCACCTGTTAATTGTGGGAGAAAAATGCTGTGAGCCAGTCCAAATACAAATTATGGTGCAGGGGCAATTCAGGCATCCATTTGACAGGCACAAGAAATGGGGGATTTGGATGCTTGGCAGTTTCTGGTAATTATTTCTCCAGCTCAGGAGCCCAGAGAACATGCTCGGGCCTGCTGGGAGCCATTTTCTTTTAAAATATTAAAAAGCAATTGGACAATATAGGCCAAATTGGACAAGCAATTTAAGCAAGCAATTGGACAATATAGGCCAAATTCTTCTGAGGTTCATTCCTCATTATAATTTGTGGCTTATAACAGGCCCTTAATACCTATGGATTGGGAGTCATTAGCTCAATCCACCCTGTCCCCATCTCAATTTCTCCAATTTAAAACCTGGTGGACAGATGAAGCAACAAGTCAGGCAGGCAGAAATGCTCAGGCCCAACCTCTTATTAATATCACATCTGATCAATTGCTTGGAATTGGACAGGCATTGGGTACTGTAAATCAACAGATGGTAATGGGTGATGAGGCTGTTGATCAGCTCAGAACTATATGCTGAAGATACCAGGAAAAAAATTCATGACCCTGTTACTATTTATCCTTCTTTTAACTCAGTTTGACAGGATCCAAGGGAGATTTATCCAGATTTTATCACCCCATTTGCAAGAAGCTGCTCAAAAGACTATTTCAAATTCTTGTGCCAGGAAAGTGATCATTCAGCTGCTTGCTTATGAAACTGTGAATACAGAATGTCAGGCAGAAATTAGATCTATTAAGGTAAAGGCAGATCTAAATGAGGAAAAAACTGTAAGTGAATATATTACAGCCTGTGATGGCATTGAGGAGCCCTTATATAAGGCCAGCCTCCTTTCTCAGGCAATGGCTGGACAAAGGGTAATAAAAAACACATGAGTGTTCTCTGGATCTTGATATACTTGGGGAAAGATAGGACATGCAAAAAGAGAGTGTACAAAGAGCCAAAAAAGGCAAAACTCAAAACAGGGCATTCCCAATTCAGGGTGGGTCATCCCTGACTCCAAACAGAGTATTCCCAGCCCAGTGTATCCCTGTACAAATGCAGAGCAATTGTCCCCCTCCACAGATAAAAGTGGGGCAGTAGATTTATGCTGCACAAAAGCTCTATCCCTCCTTCCTGGGGAGCCTCCTAGGAAGATCCCAATGGGAATTTACGGCCCATTGCCAAAGGACATGGTGGGACTTATACTGGGAAGGTCCAGCTTAAAATTAAAGGGAATTCAAGTACATACTGGAGTAGTGGGCTCTGATTGCCAGGGAGAAATTCAAATTGTTATCTCCTCCACTGTTCCCTGGAGTGCTAACAGGTGACAGAATAGCTCAACTGTTGCTTTTACCATATGTTAAGTTAGGAGAAATCTCAGAAAAAAAGGATATGGAAGCACAAATTCAGCAGGCAAGGCTCCCTATTGGGTAAATCAAGTCTCTGACAATAGTCCTATTTGTAGGTCACTATTCAAGGAAAACAATTTGAGGCTCTGGTCGATACAGGAGCAGACGTGTCATCATAGCTTTTATCAACGGCCCAAAAACTGACCCAAACAAAAGGCCCCAGTGGGTCTTGTTGGGATTGAGGATTTGCTTATATCTCACCAGGAGAGAATCAACTTCTTGTCTGGGTACCCACAAGACATCTTAAGCTGTGCCAGGAGCCAGAATTCAAGGAAGAGGAAAAGACCTCAGAAAGTCCCTACACCCCCAGTTCATCAGATGGTTCAGATGAACATCTCTGTTGAGCAGATGGAAACCAGTGAAACTTACCAAGCAACTCCACCGACCTGGGGGCAGATGAAGAGACTAGCTCGCATTGAAGAAAAGAACCTGTGGTCTCAGCACAAGCTGCTGACCACCAGTAATCTAATGGTAGCTATGATGGTGGTAATCTCCTTGGTGGTGAGTCTCCCTGCAGAGGGGCAGATCAAAATTACACTTATTGGACCTACATTGCATTCCCACCACTGATTAGGCCTGTTACAAGTTTAGATGCCCCAGTGGAGGTTATGTTAATGATAGTGTCTGGATGCCTGGACCAATAGATAACCAAGGTCCTACTCATCCAGAAGATGAAGGAATATTAATGAAAGTTTCCAGTGGTTATCACTTTCCTCCCATCTGCCTGGGTCCAGCAGCAGGATGTTTAAATTGGATGGTTTATGTCCCTGAACATAATGGATGAAAGACCTCTATTCATGTAATCAGTGGAAGAACATTTCAGTCTTTGGACACTATTAAATACCTTGAGCATGGCTATGTTATGACATATCATCAGATTAATAAATTTAAACCTAATAAGAAGTCCTGCACCAGGCAGGCCACTAAATGGTCTGAAAATCTAGAGGTGCTAACCTGGGAAGTTTGTATTGTAAACAGCACTGCAGTATTGCAAAATAATTCCATTGGAATCATCACTGATTGGGCCCCTAGGGGTCACTTTGCTGTAAATTGTACTAGACACAGCAAAGATTTTGGAGAGGCTCCTTTGCAAACGACTTCCCAGATAATGCACTAAAATTATATAGAAGAATTGAAACAAATTGCCCTATTAAGTGGGAGGAGAATGGTATGGCTCCTCCAAAGCCAAAAATGATTGATCCAATTATAAGTCCAGAACATCCAGAATTGTGGAAATTAATGTTGGCTCAAACCCCAGTTGGGATTTGGAAAGGAGAATATAAAACACGGACTCATAGTGAAAAACTTTGATTTGTTGTAGCCATGATCTCTAATAAGACAGTTCCATTGCAGAGTTGTGTTAAACCTCCTTTTATGTTAGCAGTAGGAAAAGTTAATATCCTACTTGACTCTCAAACCATATCATGCCTCAGCTGTCATATTTTTACCTGCATTAATTCTACCTTTAATAAAGATAATAGCATTTTACTGGTTAGGGCCTGAGAAGGAGTTTGGATACCTGTTTCCCTCAATAGACCTTGGGACACCTCTTCCTCCATATATATTATCACTGCAGTACTAAAAGAAATACTTAATAGATCAAAGAGATTCATATTTACCTTAATAGCTGTCATCATGGGCCTTATAGCGGTCACAGCTATAGCTGCTGCTGTTGGTATAACTTTGCATTATTCTATTCAAACTGTGAGCTCTGTGGATAGTTGACAGGAAAATTTTTTCCAAGCTTTGGAATTCCCAAAGCCAAATAGATCAAAAATTGGCAAATCAAATTAATGATCTTCATCAAACAGTAATTTGAATGGGTGGTCAGATTATGAGCTTGGAGCAGAGAATTCAAATGCAAAGTGATTGGAATACTTCTGATTTTTGTTTCCTCCTAGCTCTTATAATACCACTGAACACCATTGGGAGATGATTAGACATCACCTACCAGGAGAAGATAATTTAACATTAGATCCTGCTAAACGGAAAAAACAACTTTTTGCAGCATCTCAGGCTCATCCTAGCTTGTTGCTTGGAGATGATATTCTTGCTGGAGCCACTGATGGCCTTTTTAACAATAATCCTTTAAAGTGAATTAAAACCATAGGTGGATCATCAACTGAAATATTATTTTGGTTTGTGTCTGTTTATGCTTTTTTTTTTTTTAGTCTACAGTTGCAGACAGCACCTTGGGAGAGAAGACAGACACCGTGAATGAGCTATGATAGCAATGGTGGTTATTAATTAAAAAAAATGGAGACAAAAAAGTGGGACATATGGGAAAGAGAGTTTCTGGGATGCCAGATGAGTTGGTCTCCCCCATGTGAGACTCCCATGGGGAGCCATGGATGGCGTCTGAGGAGAAAATCTCCTTATTGCCTTCATGTCCTTATGCCTGGAGAGCATAACAGCTCGGTGGCATGCCACAGCTTTCACAGGGAAATAACACTCCCTTGAAGCAGTGGAGTATAATCAAATGTCCTGGATTCTCCTGAAACCTACTCCCACCCATTTCAGTCCTGATAAGTTAAATACATTAAGTAGTTTAGACACACTCCTTTGCTCAAGGAAATTCACAGAAACCGCCACTTCGCTATACATCTTATTGAATGACTCATGAGTTCTCCTTCACTGATTAATCCTTTCCCTCATCCCCTTCTACTCCTCCTATCTGCCTATGAACAAAGAGCTTGTAAGCCAATAAATTGGGTGGAGGCTGAGAGCTCCAGGCCATGAACAAGACTCCAATTCTCTGGTCCCCTGGACCTGCCTTTTAAACTCTCATTCTGTCTCTTTCTAATTCCTTTGTCTTCGCTGGACTCGGGGTACCTGCTGGGCAGTGTGGGGCTGGTTTTCCAACAATTCTCTCAAGTGATTTTTTCTCTCTGAGTATAAGGAATCCACAGTGCTCTTGCAACACTACTGGATACCCTTTCCAGGGTGGCAATTGCCACAGATGGCCTCTAAGACACTGTCTCAACCTCATCTGCACCCATGAGAGGCCAGTTCAAAGTGTGAGAACATGTCTCCAACATGTGGTTGGAGACCTTTCTTGTGGTTCTTGCTTATCTGAGAGAGCCCCTGTGAGGCCCAGAATGAAGGGAGGCAGTGAGATTAAGGGCCTGGCCATCTTTTGCTGACACCTGCCTCTGGTGTCTTAGATATAATTCTATTATCCAAAGAACACTGAACAACACAACAGACTATATCCTGATCCCCATAGGATCTGGTCCTTGCACACACATTCTCTTTCAGGAATAGAGTCAGAAGAGCAGTTTCCAGCCACTACCTAAGAGTAATGAAATGTGTACTCCTTCAGCGGGATGAGACCATGGAGGCTGCCCATGGGGCCCTAAGGTCGAGATGTTTAGGGTCTCACAGTGGGTTTTCACAGGTAGCCATTTTCCCGATATGAGGCCAGCTTTGCCTGTGCATTTTCCTCTGCCTAGGCAGGCTGACATCGCTGACAGCTGGGTGCTTGAACCTGCCCCAAGAATGTGCATGTGCTAGTTTCAGGGCACCAGGCATGATGGTGAGTTCTGCCTAGCCTCACAATGTCACCGTTGCCTAGCAACAAGTTCATGCAGCTTGGCAGAGAAAGAGACCTGCTCGGAGGTGCATTGGCGGTGGACTCTCCCCTGTCTTTTCTGTGGGATGCCTGAAGAAACCTCAACCATGATCAGAGGGCTTATGGGAGTCAGCCTGAAGAAACATCAACCACAATCCCACAAATAAACTGCAAAATCCCTAAGCATCCAAAAGGATCTGCAGAATTCCTCAGGCCAGCCTAGAGGTTGTATGTGTTTTGAAACTTATGCCAATGTGATTTCTAGGTACAGGCTGCCTGTGTTCCCTGGGGTTGCTGTCTCTCAGGTGGGGCCTCCTGCGGAACCATGCAAGCTCAGGATCTGCCATGCTGTGTGTTTCCGTGGGTGTGTTGCGAGTGTTTGACGTCGAGTGTGTGTGGCATTTTGTGTGCGTGTGTGCCTGTAAGTGGGGTCTGCTTAAAGGAATGGGGCTAACACACTTCAGTGCTTCTTGTTTTTAGACTCACTACCTTTTGGTGGCCTCTCTGTGTGGCTATGCTTGGGCTGCATGGCTCCGTGTTATTTTTCTGTGGATTGTGAATCCCCAGTGAATTTGGAGGTGGGCCAAGACCCGCCAGCGTCCAAAATCACCTCCCCCTGCAGAAGAAACTACTCTTCTAGAAGAGGAGCACACCACACCAAAAACCAGGCATCTAACAGTGTTTCCATCATCTTGAGGACAACGCAGGGAGAGACACTAGCAGATCTGTCTGCAAGGCCACTTGGATTAACCTCGAATTTGGTTCCCAGCTGCGCACATGCTTCACATCATTGGGGGACACTTCTCCATCTTCTTGGGATTTTATCCTGGAACATAGAGTGTGAGCAGCAATTAGGTCACATGTGGTGAGGATACAATCTACTGAATGGAGAATGGGTTCCAGCAACTTCACCTGCAAAAATAATAATAATAATAAAGACAGATGACACAAAATGTGCTTCTAACTCCATCCCAACATCCGCTTAATTTCAAAAGCAGTCCACACCATGGCCCAGAATTCAGGTGGGAGTATTTCAATGTGCAAAGAATATTTGGAGGGCAAATTGGGGCCATTCTGGCAAACTCCCAATGTGAGTACTTTCATACCCAGAGCCAAATGGGAGTGGAATGGATTGGTGCTGGGTAGGATGTGGCCTCTACACTTGCCTCTTCTTTTTCTGACTTCCATGTTTCTCTCCAGCCTAGGGTTTCCTGTGCCTGGCTCAACGACTTCCACATTAAATGTTTCTCAGTTCATGAGAATGACCCTCATGGGAATCCATAGCATGAACGTTTTCTTCTAAAAATTCTCACTTTTTATTGACGGGGCTGCTCTGATACTTTAAAAACCGTTAATTCCTGTTACAGCAGCAAACAAGGAAACACCTATTCTCCCACTTCTGTCAGAGTGCTGCATGATTCCTGTAGGATGAGAAGCTTGCAGCTGTGTCTGGCTTTTGCCTGGTAAACTAGCCTCTGTTTCATTTCATCTGCGTGGCCTTCTCATAGTGGAGGGGCTCTTGCATTGTTCTGTTGCTGGATAGGAATGCCTCTTCCCACCAATTATTTAGCTGCCAGAGATTTCAGAGAGCAGAAGGGACTTTGGGTCATCTGGCTGCACTCCAGATTATGGATTGTTGTATTGTTGTGGGAGCTGAGGTTGTTTGCACTTTGCATGAGTCTTTGGGGTCTTCTGACAGGAATCATGAACATTGCTTGGACTCCAGCACAAGGCCACTCATTCTTTCAGGTGAGCCTTGATTTTTCTTTGCTTTCATGGAGAATTCACAGTGCTCCTCAACAGCACTACTGGACATCCTTTTCAGGCTTGCTGTCACCACAGGCAGCCTCTGAGATGGTGTCACAACCTCATGTGAACCCATGAGGGGCAAGTTCAAGGTGTGAGAACAGTGTTCATCTTATACTTGCCTTGTCTGGCTTCCTGCCTTTCCCAGAGAGCCTATGCGATGCCCCAGATGAAGGGAGGCAGAGAGGTCAAGAGCCTGGTCATCTTTTGCTGACACCCACCTGTGGGGTCTCAGGTATGATGCTATCACCCAAAAGTACCCTCTAGAACACACCAGACTATATATCAATCGTTATGGGACTCAATTCTTTAACACAGCCTCCTTCGGGAATTGACTCAGAAGAGCAGTTTCCACGACCACCTCATGGTCTTGAAATGCCTCCTCCTCCAGTGGAACACAATCATGAAGATGGCTTGAATAACCCCCAAAGTTGAGACTTTTAGGGTCCTGCAATGTGTTTCACAGGCAGCTTATTTCCTGATACCAGACTGACTCTGCCTCTGCCATTTTCCTCTGCTTAGGCAGGCTGACGGGTCTGAGAGCCAGCGCTAAAACCTGCCTCATTAATGTGCATGCACTAGTCTCAGGGCACCAGGCCTGATTGTGAGCTCTGGCTAGCTTCACAATGAATGCCACCTTTGCCTAGTGACAAGTCCCTGAAGCTTGGCAGATAAAGAGACCTCTGTGGAGGTGCATCAGCAGTGGACTCTTGACTGTCTTCTCTGTTGGATCGATGGGATAGTCCCATGATCCCAGGAAAGGGCAGGCATGAGGCAGCCAGAAGTAACATCAAACAGAGCCCCAGGAATAAACTGTGAAATCCCTGAGAATACAAAACAATCTGCAGAATTCTTCAAACCTGTTTAGACTTTGTAGGGTTGAGTCTTTTTGAAATTGCTCTACTGTGATATCCAGGTATAGTGGCTGTGTTCCCCGAGGTTGCTCTCTGCCAGATGGGGCTTCCTGCAGAACCACACAGCCTCAGGAGCTGCCAGCCTGTGTGTTTCTGTGAAAGTATTGAGAGTGTTGGATGTCTGTGTGTGTGTGTGTCTGTGTGTGTGCGTGTTAGAATATAAGTGGAGTATTCTTAAAGGAATATGGCTAACACATTTTAGCACTTCTTTTTTTTGAGTTTCCCAGCTTTTTGGTGGCTTGTCTGTACAGCACTGCTTGGGCTGTGGGGCTCCATGTTCTTTAGTTTTCTGTGGATCATAAATCCCCAGTGAATTGGGAGGCAGCCTGAGACCCACCAGTGTCAAACTCACCTCTCACTCCAAAAGAAAGCCACTCTTAGAAAAAAGGGGAGCACACCACATGAAAAAACAGTCATCTCTGAGTGTTTCATTGTCCTGCAGCCAATGCAGGAAGATACACTAGCAGTCCTGTCCACAGGGCCCTTGAATTTACCTCAAATTCAGGTCCCAGCCACGCAGTTGCTTCACATCATAAGGGGGCAATACTCCATCGTCTTGGGTTTTCATTTTTGGACATAGAGTGTGAGCAACAATAAGGTCAGACAAGAGTGAGGATAAAATCTGGTGGGAATTGGATGAGATCCCACAACTTCACCTGCAAAAAAATGAAGACAGATGACACAGAAGGTACTTCCAACTCCATCCCAACATTCCCTTAATTGCACAAGCAGTCCACACCATGGCCCGGTGTTCAGGTGAAAGTACTCCAATGTGCAAGAAATATTTGGGGTGCAAACTGGGGTCATCCTGGCAAACTCTCAATTTGCAGGCTTTCATACTGGGAGCAAAATGGGAATGAAATGGATTGATGGTAGGTGGGAAGTGGCCTCCACACTTGCCCCTTCTTTCTCTGACTTCCATGTTTCTTGTCAGTGTAGGGTTTCCTGTGTCTGGCTCAATGACTTCTACAAAACATGTTTCTCAGTTCACAGAGAATGACCCTAATGGGAATCCATTGCATGAGTGTTTCCTTCTAAACCCTTTCACAATTTAATGACTGGGCAGCTTTGATACTTCTAAAACGGTAAATTCCCTTATAGCCGCCAACAAGGAAACTCTTGTATTTTTCACTTCTGTTGGCATTCTGCATGATTCCTGTAGGGTGAGAAGAAGTCAGCCCTGTCTGGCTTTTGCCTGGTAGTCTAGCCTCTGATTTTTTTCATCTGCATAGTCATCTTACTGAGCAGGTATTCTTTCACTGGGCTGTAGCTGGATGGGACTGCCTCTCACCAAAGATTATTTTGCTTCCCGGGATTTCAAAGAGCAAAAGGGACTTTGAGGAGTGTGGCTGTGCTCCAAGTTTCGAGTTGTTGTCTCATTGTGGGGGCTGAAGTTGTTTGCAATTTGGGAGGCTTTTGGGTTCTCTGACAGGAAGCATTGAACATTGCTTAAACTCCAGCTCAGTGCAGCTCATTCTGTCAGGTGAGCATCGATTTTTCTTTGCTTTTATGGGCAATCCACAGTGTCCTTCAACAGCTCTACTGGATATCCTTTTCAGGCTTGCCATCATCAAAGATGACCTCTGAGACATGGTCTCTACCTCATCTTCACCCATAAGAGGTCAGTCCAAGGTGTGAGAATATGGTTCAAACTTTGACTTGCCTTTTTCATGGTTCCTGCATTTCTCAGAGAGCCCCTGCTAGGCATAGGATGATGGAGGTAGTGAGGTCAAGAGCCCAGACATCTTTACTAAAAAATGCCTCTGGAGTCTCAGGTATGATGCTATGACCCAAAGAACCATCAACAACACACCAGACAGACTATATGCCAATCACCATGGGACCCGAGTCTTGAAGACACACATTCTCTTTTGGGAATGGATTTCAAACGGCAGTTTTCAGTGACCACCTCACAGTCTTGAAACACCTCATCCTCCATCAGGACGCGAAGACAGAGATGGTCCAAATGAGTCCTGAGGTTGAGGCTTTTATTGTCCCGCCATGGGTCTTCACAGGCAGCCTTTTTCTTGATAGCAGGCCAGCTCCGACTGTACCATTTTCCTCTGCTTAGGCAGGCTGAACGCTGTTACAGCAGTACACATAAGCATGTCTCAGGAATCCACATGAGCTACTCTCAGGGCACCAGTCCTGAGTGTGAACTCTGTCTAGAGTCACAGCGAATGTCACCGTTGCCTAGCGACAAGTCCCCGCGGCTTTGTGGAAGAGACTCCCAAGGAGGAGACCTCCATGGAGGTTCGTCGGCTGTGGTCTCTCACCTGTCTACTCTGTGAGATCCACAGGATAGTCCCATAATCCTAGGATAGGGAGGACGTGAGCCAGCCTGAAGAAACATCAAGAAGAGCTCCTGCCAAATCCCTAAGGATCAAAAAGCATCTGCATGATGTCTAGATGTTGGAAGGGTGAACCTTTTTGGAACTTGTCTTACTGTGATTTTTAGGTACAGCCCATTTATTTTCCTTGGAGTTGCTCTGTCTCAGATGGGTCTTCCTGCATAATCCCACAGCCTGAGGAGTTGACAGTCTGTGTGTTTTTTTGGGGGTGTTGCAAGTGTTGGATGTCTGCCTGCGTGTGTTTTATTGTGTGTTTGTGTGTGTGTGTGACATTAAGTGGAGTCTGCTTAAAGGAATGTGGCTAAAGCACTTCAGCGGTTCTTTTT
Organism: Homo sapiens; assembly: GCF_000001405.40. Classification (NCBI taxonomy): domain Eukaryota; kingdom Metazoa; phylum Chordata; class Mammalia; order Primates; family Hominidae; genus Homo; species Homo sapiens. The sequence continues at coordinate 134,885 of NW_025791821.1, read as the reverse complement.
TTTTTTTTTTGAGTCTACTAACCTTTTGGTGGCCTGTCTGTATGACTCTTTTGGGCTGTGGGGCTCTGTGTTATTTATCTTTCTGTGAATAATGAATCCTCAGTGACTTTGGAGGCGGACCAAGCCTGCTGGGGACCAAGGTATCTCCCTGTGCAATAAAAGCCACTCTTCTAGAAAGAAGAGGAGCACACCATACCAAAAAAACAGACATTTCCAAGTGTTTCATTTTCCTGCAGCCAACCCAGGGAGAGACACTAGCAGTCCAGTCCTCAGGGCCCCTATATTTACCTCAAATTCAATTCCCAGCTGAGCAGGTGCTACACCATTGTGAGGGGACACTCCTCCCTCATTTTGGGATTTCATCCTGGGACACAGAATATGAGCAGAAATAACATCAGATAAAGGTGAGGATATAATCTGAAGACAAGGGGAAGGGGTCCTGCAACTTCACCTGCAAAAAGATGAAGACAGATGACAGAAGGTGCTTCCAATTCTGTGCCCACATTCCCTTAATTTCACAAGCAGTCTACACCATGTCCCGGAGTTCAGGTGGCAGTACTCCTATGTTTAAGGAACATGTGGAGTGCAAATTGAGGCCATCCTGGCAAACTCCCGATTTAAGGGCTTTCATACCTACAGCCAAATGGAGTGGAATGGTTTGATGCTGGGTGGGATGTGGCCTCCATACTTGCATGTTCTTTTCCTGACTTCCATGCTCCTGGTCACCCTAGGGTTTCCTGGGTCTGGCTAAATGACTTCCACACTAAACGTTTGCCTGTTCCTGGAGAATGACCCTCAGTGGAATCCACTGCATGAGTGTTTTCTTCCAAACACTGTCACGTTTTAATGACTGGGCAGTTTTGATACTTTTAAAACCATAAATTTCCATTTCAGCCACCAACAAGGAAACTCTTATTCTCCCACTTCTATCAGAGGCCTGCATGATTCCTGTAGGAGGAGAAGAAGACAGCTGTGTGTACGTTTTACCTGGCAATCTAGGCTCGGTTTCATTAAATCTGCATGGCTCTCTCTCACTGTGGAGGGGCTCATTCATTGAGCTGTTGCTGGAAGGGACTGCCTCTCACTACAGATTGTATAGCTTCTTGGGGTTTCAGAGAGCGAAAGGGACTTTGAGTAGGCTTACTGTGCTCCAGGTTTTGGTCTATGGTCACGTTTTGGGGGCTGAAGTTGCTGGCACTTTGCAGTAGGCTTTTGGGTACCCTGACAGAAATCACTGAACATCGATTGGACTCCAGCACAAGGCAGCTCATTTTCTCAGGCAAGCCTTATTTTTTTCTTGCTTTCAGGGAAAGTCCACAATGCCTGTTAACAGCACTGCTGGACACAATTTTCATGCTTACTATTACCACAAATGGCCTCTGAGACACTGTGTCAACCTCATCTGCACCAAGGAGAGACCAGTCTGAGGTGTGAGACAACTGCTCCACCTTGGGCTTTCCTCTGTCATGGTTCCTGACTTTTCCAGAGGGCCCCTGTGAGGCCCAGAATGAAGGGAGGCCATGAGGTCAAGCTCGGGCATCTTTCACTGATGCCCATCTCTGGGGTTTCAGGTATAATTCTTTCACCCAAAGAACCCCAACAACACAACAGATTCTATTCCAATCTCCATGGGACCAGATTCTTGCACACAGCCTCTTTGAGGAATAGAGTCTGAAGAGCAGTTTCCAGTAACAACCTCACAGTCCTGAAATGCCTCCTCCTCCAGTGGGAACCAACCATGGAGATGGCCCAAAGGGGCCCTGAGGTTGAGACTTTTAGAGTCTCACAGTGGGTTTTCACAGGCATCGTTTTTCTTGATACCAGGGCGGCTCTGCCTGTAGCATTTTCCTCTGCTTAGTCAGGCTGAGAGCTCTGACATCTGGGTGCCAGAGCCTGCCTTATGAATGTTCATGAGCTAAGCTCAGGGAACCATTCCTGATTTTGAGCTCCAGAGGAGACCTCTGTGGAGGTGCATTGGCGGTGCACTCTTTGCCTGTCTTCTATGTGGGATCCACAGAATAATCTCATGATCCTAGGAGATGGCAGATGTGAGGGAGCCTGAAGAAATGTCAAGCAGAGCCCTAGGAATAAACTGCAAACTCCCTAAGGATCCAAAAGCATCTGCAGGATTCCTCAGATCTGCCTAGATGTTTTAGGGGTGAGTCTTTTTGAAACTTGCCCCTCTGATATTTTTAGGTAAAGCCCTCCTGTGTTCCCCGGGGTTGCTCTTTTCCAGGTGGGGCTTCCTGCAGAAACATACAGCCTCAGAAGCTGCCAGGTTGTGTGTTCCTTTGGGAGTGTTTTGAGTGTTGGATTTCTGTGTGTGTGTGTGGCATTGTGTGTTTGTGTGTGTGTGCCTGCAAATGGAGTCTGCTTAAAAGAATGTGGCTAACACACTTCAATCCTTCTTTATTTGAGTCCCTCACCTTTTCTTTTGGTTGCTTGTCTGTGTGGCTCTGCTTGGGCTGTGGGGCTCCATGTTTTCTATTTTTCTGTGGATCATGAATACGCAGTGTCTAAATCACCTTCCTCTGGAAAAAAATAAAAAAAAACACTCTTCTAGAAAGAAGAGAAACACATCACACCAACACACCAAAAAACAGATGTCTCCCAGTGTTTCACTGTCCTGCGGTCAACCCAGGAAGAGACACTAGCAGTCCTGTCTGCAGGACCTCTTGAATTTACCTTGAATTCGGTTCCTAGCTGAGCAAGTGCTTCAGGTTGAAGGGGCACTCCTTCATCATCTTGGGATTTCATCCTGGAACATAGAGTGTGAGCAGAAATAAGGTCAGATAGGGATGAGGATACAATCTGGTGAGGAGTGGATGGGGTCCTGCAACTTCAACTGCAAAAAATATATGAAGACAGATGACACAGAAGGTGCTTCCATTCCCATCCCCCTATTCTGTTAATTGCACAAGCAGTCCAACCATGACCTGGTGTTCAGGTGGAAGTAATCCAACATGCAGGGAATATTTGGAGTGCAAATTGGGCCCATCCTGGCAAAGTCTGGATTTATGTTTTTCATACCCATAGCCAAATGGAAATGGGATGGGTTACTGCTGGGAGGGCTATGGCCTCCAAACTGGCCTCTTCTTTTCTTGACTTCCATGTTGCTTATCGGCCTAGGGTTTCCTGGGTCTCTGCCCAGTGACTTCCACACTAAACCTTTCTCAATTCTCAAGAACCACCCTCATGGGAATCCATTGCGTGAGTGTTTTCTTCTAAACCCTGTCAGGTTTTAATGACTGGGCAGCATTGATAATTTAAACCTGTAAATTGCCTTTACAGCTGCCAACAAGGAAACTCTTGTTCTTTCACTTCTTTCAGAAGGCTGCATGATTCCTGTAGGATGAGAAGCAGGCAGCCGTGTTTGGCTTTTGCCTGGTAATGTAGCCTCTGCTTCGTTTCATCTGCATGGTCTTCTCATTGCTGAGTGGATCTTTCATTGTACTCTTCCTGAGTGGGACTGCCTATCACCACACATCTTTTGGTTGCCAGTAATTTCAGGGAGCAAAACGGACTTTAGGTAGGCTGGCTACACTCCAGGTTTTGGGTGGTGGTCTCATTTTGGGGGCCAAGTTTGTTTGCACTTTGCCAGGGGCTTTTGGGTCTTCTGATAGAAATCTTTTAACATTGCTGTGTCTCTGGCACTAGTCAGCTCGTTCTCTCAGGCGAGCTTTGATTTTTCTTTGCTTTCACTGGGGAGTCCACATTGCCCTTCAACAGTGCTACTGGACACCATTCCAGGCTTGCATTCGCCACAAATGGGCGCTGAGACACTGTCTCAACCTCATTTGCACCCGTGAGAGGCCAGTTCGAGGTGTGAAAACACTTCTCCAACTTGGACCTCCTTTTGTCATGGTTCCAGCCTTTTCTCAAGAGCCCCTGTGAGGCCAGGATGAAGGGAGGCAGTCACATCAAGGGCCTGGCCATCTTTCACAGACACCCTCCTCTGGGGTCTCAGGTATGATTCCATCACCCGAAGACCCCCGGAAACTCACCAGACTATATTCCAATTCCCATGGGACTTGATTCTTACACACAGCCTCTTTCAGCCATGGAGTGAGAAAAGCAGTTTCCAGCGTCCTCCTCACAGTCTCAAAATGTGTCCTCCTTCAGCGAGACCAGACCACAGAGAAGACCCGACAGAGCTCTGAGGTCGACGCTTTTAGTGTCCCACAGTGGGTTACTGCAGTCAGCCTTTTTTCCCATAACAGGCCGGCTCTGGCTGTACCATTTTCCTCTGGTTAGGCAGGCTGACAGCTCTGACAGCCAGGCGCCCAACCTTGCCTCGTGAATGCGCATGCGCTAGTCTCAGGGCACCAGACCTGAACTGTGAGCTCTGGCTGATGTCTCAATGAATGCCACCACCATTGCCTAGAGACAAGTCCCTGTGGCTTAGCGGAGAAGGAAACATCTGCGGAGGTGGGTCGGCCACAGACTTTCGCTTGTACTGTTTGTGGGACCCTCAGCATAATCTCATGATGCTAGGAGAATGCTGATGTGAGCCAGCCTAAGGAAACCTCAAGCAGAGCCGCAGGAATTCACTACGAAATCTCTTAAGTGTCCAAAAGGATCTGCAGAATGCCTCAGGCCTACCTAGACTTTGCAGGGGTGAGTCTTTTTGAAAATTATCCCACTGTGTTTTCTAGATACAGCCTGCATGAGTTCCCCAGGGTTGCTGTCTCCCAGGTGAAGCTTCCTGCAGAACCACGCAGCCTCAGGAGATGCCGGGCTGTGTTTTTCTGTCAGAGTGTTGTAAGTTTTGGATGTCTGCATGTGTGTGTGGCTTTGTGTGTTTCGCTGTGGAAAAGACTGCTAGTGTCTCTCCCTGGGTTGGCTGCAGGACAATGGAACACTGGGAGACCTGTTTTATGGTGTGGTGTGCTCCTCTTCTTTCTAGAAAAGTGGCTTTTTTTGTTATTGCTGTTGTTGTTCTGCTGGCAGAGGTGATTTGGACGCCAGCGGGTCATGGCACGCCTCCCAATTTGCTGCGGATTCACGATCCACAGAAAAATAAAGAAAACAAAGCCCCGCAGCCTAAGCAGAGCCACAGAGACAGGACAACACTAGGTTGGGAGACTAAAAAAAAAAAAAAAAAAGGTGCTTAAGTGTGTTAGCCTCATTCCTTTAAACAGACGCCACTTACTGGCACATACACACACACACATACACACACAGGCAAACATCTAACACTTGCAAGTCTCCCAGAGAAACACACAGTCCAGCAGCTGCTGAGGATGCGTGGTTCTGCAGGAAGCCCCATCTGGGAGACAGCAAACTCGCGGAACACAGGCGGGCTGTATCTAGAAATCACAGTGGGGCAAGTTTAAAAAAGACTCACCCCTACAACGTCTAGGCAGGCCTGAGGAATCCTTCAGATCCTTTTGGATTCTTAGGATTTTGCAATTTATTCCTGAGGTCGTGCTTGAGGTTTCTTCAGGCTGGCTCACGTCTGCCCTAGGATCATGGGAGTATCTGGTGAATACAACAGACGAGACGCAAAAGCCCACTGCCAAGGCACCTCCACGAGGTCTCCTTCGCCGCAAAGCCGCAGGGACTTGTAGTTAGGCAACTGTGACATTCGATGTGACACAAGCAAGGGCTCATAATCAGGCCTGAGTCCTTGAGTCTAGCGCATGCGCATTCGTGAGGCAGGCAAGGCCTCCAGGCTAGCAGAACTGTCAGGCTGCCTAAGCACAGGAAAATGTACAGTCAGAGCCGACCTGGTGTTGAAGTAAAGGATGCCTGCAAACACCCACTGCAGGGCACTAAAATTCTCGACCTCAGGGCCCCTTGGGCCATATCTGTGGTTGGGGCCTCCTGGAGGAGGAAGCTTTTTGAGACTGTGAGGTGGTCGCTGGAAACTCCTCTTCTGACTTTATTCTCCAAAGGGGCTGTGTGCAAGAATCAGGTCCCATGGGGACTGGAATATAATCTGCTGTGTTTTTGAGGGTTCTCTGGGTGATAGAAACGTGCCTGAGAACCCAGAGGTGGGTGCCAGTGAAAGATGGTCAGACTCTTGACCTCACTGCCACCCTTCATTCTGGAGCTGTCTGGGAAAGGCAGAAACCATGACAAAGGCAAGTCCAAGGTGGTGCAGTGTTCTCACACCTCGGACTGGCTTCTTGTAGGTGCAGATGAGGTTGAGAGAGTATCTTGGAAACGTCTGTGGTGGTGCCAAGTCTGAAATTGTGTCCAGTAGTGCTGTTAAGGGGCACTGTGTATTCCCCTTGAAAGCAAAGAAAAATCAAGGCTCAACTGAGAGAAAGAGCTGCCTTATGGTGAAATCCAAGCAATGTTCAAAGACTCCTGTCAGAGGACCCAAAAGCCTCCTGCAAAGTGCAAACAACCTCAGCCCCCACAATGAGACAACAACCCACAACCTGGAGTGCAGCCAGCCTACCCCAAGTCCCTTTTGCTCCCTGAAATCCCTGGCAGCCAAAAGATCTGGGGTGAGAGGCAGTGCAATGCAGCAACAACCCAATGAAAGAGCCCCTCCACAATGAGAAAGGACTTGAAGATGAATTGAAACAGAGGCTAGATTACCAGGCAATATCAGACATAGCTGCCTGCTTCTCATCATACAGGAATCTTGCAGCCCTCTGAAAAATAAGTGGGAGAATAGGAGTTTCCTTTTTGGTGGCTGTAACTGACATTTACAGTTTTAAAAGTATCAAAGCTGCCCAGTCATTAAAACACGACAGTGTTTAGAAGGAAACACTCACACAATGGATTCAAATGAGGGTCGTCCTCCATGAACTGGGAAACCTTTATTGTGGTAGACATTTAGACAGACCCAGGAAAACCTAGGCCAATGAGGGAAATGTAAGTGAGGAGAAGAGGAGACAAGTGTGAAGGTCACATCCCACCAAACATCAATCCATCCCACACCCATTTAGTTCTGGGTATGACAGCCCTGAAATTGGGAGTTTGCCAGGATGGCCGAGTATGCACTCCAAATGTTCCCTGCACGCAGAAGTACTCCCAAGCCATGACATGGACGGCTTGTGCAATTAAGCAAATGTGGGGATGCTGTTGGAAGCACGTTCTGTGCCATCAGTTCTTTACTATTTTTGCAGGTGAAGGTGCAGGTCTGCATCCAAACCTCACCAGATTATATCCTCACCCCATCTTACCTTACTGCTGCTCACACTGTTTGTCCCAGAATAAAATCCCAAGACGATGGCGGAGTGCCCCCTCATGACACGAAGCACCTGCTCTACTGTGAACCAAATTCAAGGTAAATTCAAGGGGCCCTGCCTTCAGGACTGCTGGTGTTTCTCCCTGGGTTGGCCACAGGACAATGAAACACTGGGAGATGTTTCTTCTTGGGTGAGGTGTGCTCCTCTTCTTTCGAGAAGAGTGGCTTTTTTTGCAGGTTCAGGATATTTGGACCATAGTGGGTCACAGCCAGCCTCCCAAATCACTGAGGGTTCTTGATCCACAGAAAAATAAAGAACACAGAGCCCCACAGCCCAAGCAGAACCACACAAATAGGCTACCAAAAAGTTGAGAGACAAAAAAAAGCACTGCAGTGCGTTAGCCTAATTCATTTAGTTAGACTCCATTTAACACACACACATACACACACACCACAAAGCCACACACACATGCAGACATCCAAACTTACAACACTCCCACAGAAACTACAGGCCTGCAGGTTCTGAGGCTGGGTGGTTCTGCAGAAATCCCAAACTGGGAGAGAACAACCCCAAGTAACACAGGAGGGCTGTACCAAGAAATCACAGTGGGGCAAATTTCCAAAAGATTCACCCCTTGAACATCTAGGCAGGCCTGAGGCATCCTGCAGATTTTTTGAATCCTTAGGGATTTTGTGGATTATTCCTGGGCTCTGTTTGACCTTTCTTCATGATGTCTCACATATGCTCTCTCCAAGGATAATGGGACTATCCTATGAATCCCTCAGAGAAGACAGGTGAAAGAAAGTTCACTGCCAACACCCATACACAGAGATCGCCCTCTTCACCAAGCCTCAGGGACTTGTTGCTAGGCAATGCTGTCATTCATTATGATGCTTGCCAGAGCTCAGAGCTCTGGCCTGGTGCCAGGAGACTAGTGCATTTGCATTCTTGTCACAGGCTCAGCAGCCCATCTGTCAGAGCTGTCAGCATGCCTAAGCAGAGAAAAATGGTATAGGCAGAGCTGGCCTGGTGTTGGGAAAATGGCTGCCTGAGATAATCCACTGAGAGACCCTAAAACTCTTGACCATAGGTCTTCTTCAGGCCATCTTGCTGGTCAGGTTTCACTTGAAGGAGGAGGCATTTCAAGACTGTGACCTGGTCACTGGAAACTGCACCTCTGACTTCATCCCTGAAAGAGTGCAGAAATCAGGTCCCATGGTGATTGGAATATAGTCTGGTGAGCTGTTGAGGGGTCTCTGGTTCATGGAGTCATACCTGTGACCCCAGAGGCAGGTGTCAACAAAAGATGGCTGTGCCCTGAATATCATTGCCTGCCTTCATCCTGGGCCTCGCAGGTGCTCTCTGGGAAAGGCAGGAACCACAACAAAGGCAAGTCCATGGTGGGGCAGTGTTCTCACACCTCCAACTGGCCTCTCATGGGTGCAGATGAGGTTGAGACAGTGTCTCAGAGGCCATTTGTGGCAATTGTAAGCCTGAAAATGGTGTGCAGTAATGCTGTTTAGGGGCAATGTCTACCTTCCATGAAAGCAAAGGAGTGAGTGAGAGAATAAAGGCTCGAGTGAGAGAATCAGCTAACTTGTGCTGAAGTCCAAGCAATACTGAAAGGCTTCTTTCAGAGAACCCAAAAGCCACCTGCAAAGTGCAAACAACCTCAGTCTCCAAAATGAGACCACAACCCACAACCTGGAGTGCAGCCAGCCTACCTGAAATCTCTTTTGCTCCCTGAAATCCCTGGGGGCTAAAAGATCTGTGGTGAGAGGCAGTCCCATACAGCAACAGCCCAATGAGCAAGGACATGCAGGCACAATGAAACAGAGTCTAGATTACCAGGCAAATGCCAGACATGGCTGCCTCCTACAGGAATCATGCAGCCCTCTGATAGAAGTGGGAGAACAAGAGTTTTCTTGTTGGTGGCTGTAATGGGAATTTACAATTTTAAAATACCACAACTGCCCAGTCATTAAAACATGACAATGTTTAGAAGGAAACACTCACACAATGGATTCTCATGAGGGTCATCCTTGGTGAACTGGGAAATGTTTAGTGTGGAAGACATTGAGCCAGACCTAGGCTCCCAGTATGAAAGCCCTCAAATTGGGAGTTTGCCATGATGGCCCCAGTTTGCACTCCAAATATTCCCTGCATGTTGGAGTACTCCCACCTGAACAGCAGGCCATGGTGTGGACTGCCTGTGCAGTTAGGAGAATGTGGGCATGCAGTTGGAAGTACTTCTGTGTAATCTGCCTTCACTTTTTTTCAAGTGAAGGTGTGGGACCCCATCTACCCCTCACCAGATTGCATGTACACCCCTAACTGACCTTACTGCTGCTCACACTCTGTCCCAGAATGAGATCTCAAGATGATAGAGGAGTGCCCCCTCATGAAGTGAAGCTCCTACTCAGCTGAGAACCGAATTTGATGTAAATTCAATGGGCCCTGCAGACAGGAATGCTAGTATCCCTCCCTGGGCTGGCCGCAGGACAATGAAACACTAGATGTCTCTTCATGGGTGTGGTGTGCTCCTCTTCTTTCTGGAAGAGTGGCTTCTTTTGCAGGGGAAGGTGACTCCCATGGAAGTTGTTGCATATGACTTGTTTGTTCCATATGACTCCCATGGAAACACATGGACTTCTTGTTCCATATGACTCCCATGGAAACACACCGCCTGGCAGCTTCTGAGGCTGTGTGGTTCTGCAGGAAGCCCTAAACAACTTCCATATGGAAGTTGTTCCATATGACTTGTTTGCTGATGCTAATGTTAAGTATTGTTGTGAAACTGATGCCTGCAGTTTCCTGAGCCAAAAGAGGAAAAATCTTCTCCTTAGAAATTTTTCAACAGAAAGGCCATCCAATTAATTAGAAGACCCTTAGCAAAAATACTGTTGATGCATGTGGCCTTTTCTGCAGAAAGATGCGCAAGATATGAAAAGAACAATAGCCTCAGGCAGTACACTCAGCAGATCAGACTGTAAAATGTGAAAAAACTCACTCTGAATATTTCTAGCATAGGCTGGCTCCCTGCAGGTCCTGATATTGACCCTGAATCATGCTGCTTAGACTTTCATTGCAGATGAAATAAGTGGCCAAACACGTATGTATGTGTATGTATGTGTGTATTTTTATACACACACAGATATATACATATATATGTCATATATACACACACATATATGTCATATATATGTATATATGTCATATATATGTGTGTGTGTATATATATATATATATATATGACAGAGCCTCCCTTTGTTTCCCAGACTGGACTGGTTGGCAGCAGCTCAATCTCTGCGCACTGGAGCCTCAGCCTCCTGAGCTCAAGTGATCCTCCTCAGCAATTCTCTAGCCTTAGCTTCCAGAATAACTGGGACCACAGGCACACACCACCAGGCCTGGATAATTGTTTGTATTTTTTTGTAGAGACAGGGTTTCACCATAGTTTCAAACTGGTCTGGAATGCCTCAGTTCAAATGATCCACCCACCTCAGCCTGGAAAAGTGATGAGATTACAGGCATGAGCCACTGCACACTACCACACATATTTCTAAATATTTTAAAATATTAATTTTGGCTGGGCGCGGTAGCTTACATTTGTAACCCCAGCCAACATGGGTGGATCATGAAGTCTGGAGTTCCAGACCAGCCTGGTCAATGCAGTGAAACCCTGTCTCTACTGAAAATATAAAAATTAGCTAGGCAGGGTAGTGGGTGTCTGTAATCTGGGCTATATGGGAGGCTGAGGCAGGAGAATTTCTTGAACCTGGTAGACAGAGGTTTCAGTGAGCAGAGACCATGCCAATGCACTCTAGCCTTGGTGACAGAGCTAGACTCCATTTCAACAAAACAAATTAATTTTTACTTGTATCATGCTGCATGAGAACAATGCAATATAATTAAGGGCAGATGAGTAGATAGAAACTTACTTTCATGGATTATCGTTCTTAACCCAGTAATTCTCAATTTTGAATGCATATTAATGTTATCTGTTATCTAAAGCTTTCAAAAGTTCAGTTGTCCAGGATCCATTGATCACCATACATTCTGATTTAATTGGTCTGGGATAGATCTCAGATGTGGTATGCTTTTTGTAAACTCCCCAAGTAAATCTAAATTTTTTCTATGATTGAGAAACATTTCTACTCATTGAAGACTGCCATTCTGTTGTAAGCTATTAAGGAATCAAACAGTTCATGTAGTTGTTGAGGAGCTTTTTCTTCCCTTCTAACATTGATTTTTCTTTTACGAAGCTGTAAGCTTGAGGTTTGAGCACTCCACACTCAACATCTACAGTGAATGCTAGTGAAACCTTACAGTCAGAATGTTTTATAATATTCCATTGGGTGCTAACTGTTCCACTTGTATTTGTTAACAGTTAGAAGAGGGTGGACATAAAATGCATAATTTTAATCAATCATGGTCTTGTCTCTGAGTAAACAAAGTGCATGACTGACATTTGTGATACTTCATGCTTTATCCCAGGCTATCTTCTTATCTTCTATTTTCTTTTTCTATTTTTTTTTTTGAGGTTGAGTTTCACTGTTGTTGCCCACGCTGGAGTGCAATGGTGTGTTCTCAGCTCACCGCAACCTCTGCCTCCCAGGTTCAAGCAATTCTCCTGCCTCAGCCTCCTGAGTAGCTGGGGTTGCAGGCACCTGCCACCATGGCTGGCTAATTTTTATATTTTTAGTAGTGAGGGGGTTTCTCCTTTTGGGCCAGGCTGATCTCAAACTTCTGACCTCAGGTCATCCACCAGCCTGGGCCTCCCAAAGTGTAGGATTACAGGTGTGAGCCACAGGGCCTGGCCTTCTATTTTCATCTTACACCATGTCTGGTTAATCTTCCAGCTTATGCTTCAGGCACCCTGAATTATGTTTTAGTCAAGCTGATTCCAATAATGCACAAACTTTTGTGTCTCCACATTCGTGCACTTGCTGTTTCTTCTGTTTGGCCTCCCCTTCCCTTTTTGTTTGCCTAAAACATTCCTACTCATTCTCCTCTATCCAGAGCTCTTGATAATGCACATTCTGTGTTAGTAAGTAAAATATATGTGTAGTTTTGTTATATAAATTTTTACTGAAAGAATCATCATAAATTTCATTACATCCTTAATAAGTGTCTATGACCCCATACATATTAAGATTCATTTGTTTCTGCCTTTAGTCAAATGTGACACAAAGAAAGGATACCCTGAGATCTCCTCATTTTCAACTGCCCAAAACAAGTTACCTGTCACAGATATTCTGTCCCTTTTCTCAGTTTTTATGGCACTTTACATAACCCTCCTTTTTTTTTTTGAGATGAAATCTCACTGTGTCACCCAGGCTGTAGTGCAGTGGTTTGATCTTGGCTCACTGCAACCTCCACCTCCCAGGCTCAAGTGATTCTCCTGCCTCAGCCTCCCAAGTAGCTGGGACTACAGGCGTGTGCCACCACACCTGGGTAACTTTTTGTATTTTAACTAGAGATGGGGTTTTACTGTGTTAGCCAGGATGGCCTGGATCTCCTGACTGCATGATACCCCCACTTGCCCTCCCAAAGTGTTGGGATTACAGGCATGAGTCGCCATGCCTGTCATACATATCTCTCTTCGTACATCATTTTTATTTGTCTCCCTTTGGACTGAGCTATCACTGAAGGCAGAAACAAGGTCTTATTCACCTTTGATCCCAGAACTTAGCACAAATAGATCATTTCAGCTGGGAGACTGTTGAAGCTTAAGTCAACTTGCCTGGAATTTAAAGGTTTTCATATACTAAATTTCTGAGGATACAGTGCTTTCATCTTCTAACTGTTACTCATACATTTCAATTTCTGACCAGTCATTGCCCTTCTTCTTGTAACAATGTGAATACTAAGAAATACAACATTTCTCCATAATAAAATATGAAAATCTTGAACTGTGATAGTTTGACACAAACAGAATCAGTATGGTGCTATTTTCTTCTCCAAGATAATTTCTTCCAATACTTAAATTGTATGTGTTATAGAAAGAAAAGAAATAAGTGAAACAAAGGGGAATAAATTGTTGGCAAAATAATTCAATAAAAAGTCTCAGAACTTAATGATGCTCAATTTGCAGATTAAAAGGCTAGCACCTAGAAAAACAGATGAAAATAGACTCATGTCAAGATATATCAATGTAAAATTTGAGAACACTGAAAACAAAGAGAAAATTGAATGTTTCCAGAGGGGTAAAAATAGGTCAGGTACAAAGGATGAGGAATCAGATGATTTGAAAATTTGCAACACTGGACAGGAGTGGTGGCTCATGCCTGTAATCCCAGCACTTTGGGAGGCCAAGGCACACTTTGGGAGGCTAAGGTGGGCAAATAACCTGAGGTCAGGAGTTTGAGACCAGCCTGACCAACAAGGAATAACCCCATCTCTACTAAAAATACAAAATTAGCTAGGTGTGGTGGCACCTGCCTGTAATCTCAGCTACTCAGGGGGCTGAGGCAGGAGAATTGCTGGAACCCAGGAGGTGGAGGTTGCAGTAAGCTGAGATCACACAATTGAACTCCAGCCTGGCAACAAAAACAACACTCCACCTCAAAAAAAAATTCAACACCATCACTGTAAACCAGAAGGCAATGGAGTTATGCTTTGAAAATTCTAAAGGAAAATGATTTCTGACATATGTTTCTATTTCCACATAGACTACAATTAAATGTCCAAGTAGAAAACATACATTTTTCAGACATATGACATCTCTAAAATTGTGTCTCCCTGTGAACCTTTTCTCAAGATGCTACTAGAGAATTTTTCCTACCAAAAGGAAAAAGTAAACCAAGAAAGACAAAGATGTGGAATGGCAAAAATAGGAGACATAACACAAGAGAGATAAATTCTTTAAAGTGTGGTGAAGGAAAATCCTAGGATGAGAAAATTGAATCACGCCTAGAAGGCAACCAGTCAAGACTGTTGCAAGGAAGCAGCCAACAAGAGAATGTTCTTCAAGGTGAGAGCATTTATAGAACAAATGATGTGAATAAAAGTCTTGATATGAGATTTTAAAATTAGTAAAGAATTTTTGATTGAGTTAACACAAATTAAAATAAAATTAAGTTGAAATGGAACAACAAAATTAATGACAAATATTTCTCAGCAATTCATTACACAATAGAAATTTAAAAGTACTTAGAACTTAATGATATTGAAAATATTACAGATCAAATTTGCGAGTAGCAGGAAAAGTGATATTGCAATAGGAGTTTATACACTTAAGTGTTTTTACAACAACCTCAAAATTAATGTACTATGTATTTAAATAAAGAATTAGAAAAGAAACAACAGAATCAATTCTGAAAAACTAAAATGAGGGGATAATGATGTACAGAAAATTAATAAATCATACAAAGATAAGGTTTGATTGTTGGAGAAACATAATAAAAGGTGCAAACCTCAGGCAAGTTAAGAAAAAAAGGGAGAAAGCACAAATAAAACTAAGAATTAAAAAGATACATAACAATAGATACAGTACAGGTTAACAAGCTAATAAGCAAATATGATTAACACTTTATGCTACAAAGTTGAAAACTTAGATCAAATAGACTTTTATAAATATATAGCTAAGAAAAATTGATAAAAGAATAAGTGTGTAATCTGAATAGTCTCATAAATGTTAAGGGAAATAAAGGATTGTTCCTACAGATAAAACACTAGGCCCATATTTATTTTCCCAGACAGAGCATTTCAATATATGTGAAGAACTCTATAAAATAAAAAAGGGAAAATCCTAAACTTATTCTGTGAGGCAAGCAGAACTTTGACACCAATGTCACATAAACTGAGTATACAAAAAGATATTTTTTAAAAAGTCCATTATCATTCATGAAATAAATGGTAAAATCCCAAAAGTGGATTCCTTGAGGGTTAGGATGAAATTTACTATTGCCAGATCCTGCTACTTTGGGATAGCTCACACACAAATTGATGTTTTGAGTTTTTCTGCAATACCCAAGCAATATGGAACTGGCTTGACAATCTGTGTGATGGCCAGCCTGTGGCCATGACTTCTCAGGCACACAATTTTTTTTCTGTTTTCCTCCTTATTCTACTCATCTCCAAGATAACTTTGGCCAAAGTTCTTTGAGCTTGGAAATAGGAATGGGTTTACTTCTGTTTCACACTTACCATGAAGATACAGTCCTATGGAATTCCAGATCCATTTGGAGAGAGTTGGCTATTAAACTCTTTTCATAAGTAGGCCCTGGGCCTTGACTACAGTCTTTCTTGAGATATGAGGCTGAGAGTTCCTTCCTGGCCTGACAGTTTTTGACATGATGAATGTTCTTTCCATTCAGAATTTTTAATTGTTTGGGAGGTGATATAGTTTCATGTGCCTCCCTTCAAATCACAACTTCAATTGTATGTCCCAGTATTCTCATGTTTTGAGGATGGAACCCAAGGAGAGGTGACTGAATCATAGGGGCTGGTCTCTCAAGCTATTCTTGTGATAGTGAATAAGACTCACAAGATCGATGGGTTTAGCAGGGGTTTCTGCTTTTGCTTTTTCCTCATTCCCTCTTGCCACCGCCATGCAAGAAGTGCCTTTATTCCTATGCCATGATTCTGAAGTCTCCCTAGCCACGTGGAACTGTAAGTCCAATTAAACCTCATTTCCTTCCCAGTTTCAGATATGTCTTTATGAACAGCGTGAAAATGAACTAATACAGGAGGATTGGTCCAAATAACCTGAGCTTCCAATATAGAATGTGGAAGTTGGTGAAGTTTTTATCATTTCTGTGGCAAATTTTAGTAGTGGGTATTATTTTTCTAATTTTTTTTTTTGTTCTTTTCACCTTTGTTTCTCATAGGGTACTGTCGCTCTGTAGCACAGGCTGCAGTGAAGTGGCACAATCTTGTCTTACTGAAACCTCAGCCTCCTGGGTTCAAACAACAATCTTACCTCAATCACCTGAGTAGCTTGGATTACAGGCATGCATCACCATGCCCAGCTAATTTTATATATTTTTAGTAGAAATGGGGTTTCACCGTGTTGGCCAGGCTGGTCTCAAAATCCTGACCTCTGTTGATCTGACCACCTAGGCCTCACAATGTGCTGGGAATACAGGCATGAGCCACTGTGCCCAGCTGACTCCAATATTTTTACCTAAGTTCTGTTGCCTTATTTTATTTTATGAGACAGGTTCTCACTCTGTCATGCAGGCTGGAGTGCAGTGTTGCGATCTGGGCTTACTGCAACTTCTGTCTCCCAGGTTCAGGCGGTTCTCCTGTCTCAGCCTCCTGAGTAGCTGGGACTACAGGAAAGTGCCACCAGGCCTGGCTAATTTTTGCATTTTTCATAGAGACATGTTTGCCATGTTGCCCAGGCTAGTCTTGAACTCCTGACCACAAATGACCAGCCCACCTCGGCCTCCCAAAGTGTGGAAATTACAGCCATGAGCCACCACGTCTGGGCTGGAATAGCCATTTTTTGACATAGAAAATCTCTGGAGGTAAAAGTTTGGTTTGTGGGAGCACCTGAGCTCAGTTTGGCCCATAAGTTTGGGACACCTATTATTTACTGTCAGTGATGATATATTGTTAATGTACAATATGTTCATGCACATAGCATATGTATATGCTTATCAGATATTTTCAGGTGAAAAATAGTCAGTCCCATAGTTTGAGCCATTATAACAATTTCTACCTAGGGATTTCACAGTCAGATTCCAGTTCTGGGCAACAGTGCTTAACATAATGGTTATTAATGAGAAGAGATTTTGAGATGTCCAGCCATGTTTAGATGTCAGTGCCTTGAAGGGATGGGTTTGCAATATTATTAAGAAAGAGTGCATTGGACTGCATATTAAGAAACATATTGAATTTTTTTTCTTGTCCTCTATAACATGAAAGGTCAATTAGAGATATAGAAACAATTGAATATTTCACAGCATGGCTTGACATTTCACTGAACTTTTATCCTTTTAACCATGTAAAAAGTTTATTAAATATGCAAAGGTAGGACTTCTATAGGAGGAAAGAGGAGTCAGAGGTCACAATCCACAGCAAGGTGACTGTCTCTTGTGGATGGTACCCTGAGAAATGAATTCGAGTGAGCATCAAGTTTCAGGTTGCCAACAGGGATCAGGGAGAATGAAGCTATCAGCAGTTAACATTATTGGATTAATTGAAATATTGACAGAGACTTTGTTTGCTTCCCATCGAATTGAGTACAGATAAGGTAACCTCATCAAATTTCACACATGAAATTACATAAATTTTTATGTACATGTGCAAACTCGCAGTGTGCAAATGTGTGTCTATATCTAAAGATATACAAATCCATTGACCAACAGAAAGTTAGAAATTTTCTCCCATTTTACCATTCCCTTTCCAGGAATTTTGTCACAAGTACAATTTTTCTATGTTTTAAGCCTACTCTGTGGAGGCATGAAATATATGGATACAGTAAAGCTATAAGATATCACAGTGTTTGTATCAGAGAAAAAAAACACTGGTGTTATAAATGATTCATTGTGAGGAGAAAGTTATACTTCACATTACTACAAATACAGAAGTACGATTTCTTCAAAAGCTGAAATCTGTCAATAAAATTTGTTTTTAATGCTTTATTTAAAATACTTAATTTCAAAAGTATTACTCAAATGGAATAAAGGTATTGGTAATAAATACTTTTGAAGAATTCCTTTTAATATGTTGATTATTCAAAATATAACTAAAATACTAAAAAGTACTGTACAATGTAGTTTCATGAAGCGTTCTTTATGGTTTTCATAAAATTAATAGTCAATGGAATATTTTGAGACTGAGAAAGTTCCATATATTATTGCAATGTACTTTCACTTTATTACTTGCTTGCATGTCATAACTGATGGAAATGAAAATATTTATATTTACACATATAAAAATGTATTTTTGTTCATGTTTTCTAGTGAGATAAAGTTGCCAATAATTTTATCAATCTAGGAAAATTTTTATAAGCCCAAAATTCTTAACTTTCTTTTCTTTTGAAATTTCATATTTCAGTCTAGGTATGAGATGGAATTGACTGTGATCATTCTTTGATTTCACTATGATTACCAAGTTTCTGATACAGTGCTAGGAACATATAGACTTTAAATCTTGCTTTCTTCTTCTTCTTCATCTACCGTTGGAACTGTATATATGATTTCTGCAGTAATGGGCATCATTATCTGACATATGGTTGCTGAAAGATACAAGCATAAATAGAATTCTTAGTTTCAGTGAATCTTTAGGAACAGACAATTAAAACTGAAAGATAATTATGGTATGAATGTTAGTAAGCTCTTTATCACAGAGGGTGAAAATAAATTTAAAAACACATACCTCATGCAGAACATGAGGTAGTAAAAATAAAAAAATTAATTTGACATAAAGAACAGTTTAAAAGTTGTGATTATTTCTGGTGAGAGCAAGTAGCTCAGAAACTATGAGGAAGTCCTGCAAAGCTACATGATGGATTTGCAAGTGAGGATGGGGAGCCTGGTTCTGGGGGAGGGTTCCAAGTCCTGGTCAGGTTGAGGTCTTTCTGGGGTTCAGGGATGTCTCAATGGGAGAGCTGGGAAGGGAAATCGCATGCTTCGCCCCAGCCAGCAGGCCCCCTCAGCTGACCTAGATGAAATTGTCCCTTGACCATCCTCTTTCTCCTTCTTGGACAGGCAGGTGGAGGAACTCAGCCATCCTGAGTAGTGGCAGAAGGATGAAGTATGCCTTTCATCACAACATTTACTTCCACAATGAAGTGATCATTAAGGAGTATTGCATTGGAATTCTCAATAAGGAGTGCCTCCCCGCATGGTAGAGGGGGTGGTATGTGGGAAGCTAGGTTTGGCATGAGCCTTCCCAACTTCTCTCACTCCAGGATAGAGGGTGACTGGCTCCACTGTGTCCAGTGGTTCTAGGATCATGCAGGTGAAGGCCCCAGTTTCAGGCAGGACACACCTAACTGAGTTTCTTCAGCTGGTTGGCTGATGGTGACTGCCCAGGGTATGATGGGTTGCTGAGGTGGGGTGGTGGTGGGGCATCATGGGAAAGGACCTTGCTGGTCCACTTGGCATCGGAGGAATTGGCTTTGAACCAGAACCTGACCTGTCATGACCACTTTGCCCAGTCCCCCAGATCATCAGCCAGGGCCTGTGGCTCAATCTCATGCAGCGCTACCCAAGGGAGTTAGGCCCTCAGAGAGGGAACAGAGAGGAGGCTGGGGAGCAGCCTCCTGTGGGATGAGAGGCCTGTGGGTCCTGGAGCTAGGACACATAGCGAAGCCAAGGCTCAGGGACTGCGGTAAGCATACTCAGACCATGCATGGGCTGGGGGAGAAAGGCCCATCAGGGAACTGTAGTACCCACATTTCAGGATTGGGGAACCCTAAGCTGCTTAAGAGGCATAAGTAACTAAGGTCAATGGGTGAGAAGCCAGGCTCAAGGAATAGCTGCCTCATTATCCCTTGTAATCTCACTTCCCTGCCCTGAGGACTGCTACCATCTAAGGCTCAGTTTGGACTCAACCAGGGTGCTCTCACCCTCCACACAAATGCCCACCTGAGGCCCATCTAGGTCTACATCCTCCCAGAATAGCTCTCCCAGACCTGTCAAGTTCTGTGTCAATGACTCCACGGTCCCCTGACATGCTGTTTCCCCTCTAGCATCCTCATTCACCCATCCTCTGCCATGGCCAGAAAAGACAGGTCACCACACAAGGAATTTGGAGGATGACACATGTTTCACAGGGGAGGAAATGTGAAGAGATGGCAAAATGGAAGGGGACCTTCTGTGTGTGTTCAGGAAGGCAATCCTGCTGGACATTAGGACCCACCTAAGTATTAGTGAGGACACCGCGTGTCTCTCGGCCCTGAGCATGTGCACACGAAAACAGACATTGTCTAAATGGCATTGACATCACTACTACCTAAGTGGTCTACAGATTCTGTACAACCCCTGTAAAAGTATCAATGACCTACTCTTCATAGAAAAACAATCTGAGAAGCCTAAGTTTGCTATGAAATGGTAGAAGATCCTGAAGACCCAGAGCAATCCAGTAAAAAGCACAAAGCTGGAGGCTTCACACTACCTAACTTCACAATATGCTACAAAGTTTTATGCACCAAAATAGAACAGCACTGTCAGACAAGCAGAGACATGAGCTAATGAAAAACAATCTGGTCCCAGAACCAAGTCACTGCATTTGCAGATCAGGACCTTATCCCAAAGAAGCAAGAACGCACAATGCAAAATCAGGTATCTTCTATAAACTAGGTTGGGGAAAACCTGAATATCCACATAAAGGATTTTAAGAGTAGATTATGTCTCACAGAACTCGAATGTCAGACCAGAAACCATAAAAATACCAGAAGAAATCACAAGGAAGAAGCTCTATGACATCGGTGTGGGCAATGGTGGTCTCAAAGTGACTGCAGGAACACAGTAAACACCTTCAAAAATATAAAATCGGGTTATGTCAAGCTAAGGTGCTTCAGTACACCAAAGGAAACTGAAGAGAGGGAAGGGACATCCTACAAGATGGGTGAAATTATTGAATCACTATACATCTGTTAATGGGTGAATATTTACAGTACATAAGGAACTCCAACAATTCAATAGCATGAAAACAAATGGACTAAGGATATGAATGCTCATTTGTGAAACTAAGACATACAGTTGCCCAGAGGACACAGTAAAAAGCACTCAGCATCAGTAATCCATCAGGAAAATGCAAATCAAAACCACAATGAGATTTCATCTCACTTCAATCAGAATGCCTACATGAGTATGTAATAAAAAAGCCAAAGTTTTCACTTACCCTTTTTAATTGCTCTCCCAGAGGGCATAACTGAGAAGTCATGGTGTAAACTTTCATTATTTTTCTTTAAATATACATTGACATATTCATACAAATATGCATGAATACCTAAAATATATTGCCATGAAAATAAGAACATTTTATGAGATCCAAAATTCTGGAGGACTAAGCAGGGAGAAAAAAGATACATGTGTTCATGAAAGGAGTCAAACTCTGCAAAATATTTAAAGAGATTTTTTCTGAGCCAAATATGGGTGACCAATGGCCCATAACACAACCCTTCTCAGAAGATCCTCAGAACATGTGCCCAAGATGGACTGGGAACAGCCTAGTTTTCTGCATTTTAGGGAGACACGAGATATCAATCAAATACATGTAAGATGTACATTTGTTTGGTCCAGAAAGGTGGGACAACTTGAAGTGAGTGGTGGTGCGGGGCTGGGCTTTCAAGTTATAGGTATATTTAAATACATTCTGATTGGCAGTTTGTTGAAAGAGTTATTTTCTGTAGACATAGAAACAATGGATAGGAATGACTGGGTTGCAGTAAATAATAGGGAGCATAGAGACAAAGTTTATCAAGATGAGGAAGACTCCATGTGGCAGACTTAAAAGAGAATAGGTGGTAAATATTTCTTGTCAAACTTAAGGTCTGTGTTGATGTTAATGATGGTCAACTTTCCCTAAATTTCAAAAAGGTGGAGTGTATAATGAAGCATGTCTATCCTTCTTTCCTCTCAGGACCTGAACCAATTTTAAAAGGCCCTTGGCCAAAAGGAGGGGTCCATTCAGATGCCTGTGGTGGGCACGTTTGAGGGGAAACTTAAAATTTTATATTTGATTTGTAAGTCTTTCACTTATGTCTACAAAAATGTAATCTATTAAATAGTTAGCCTAAGAGAAAAAATGGGGATTCTTAAACACAGAAAAATAGAATATTAAAAAACCAACAATTTGCCAAACCAAAAACAAAAGCTGTAAAATAATCATTCTTCATCAGCTCATTAAATACCATGTAATTGATTCCAGTCTTATTTGATTTTGTATTAGCAGTTCCATGAGACCATCAGTTTCTCCACTAGAGTTCTGGATATCATTACTCAGTCCCATAGTATAACCATAAAATTATTGAATCTTTGACATCAGATGCTTGTGCCCAGAGGACCCATTACAGTTGTTTCCATGGGTCTCAGAGGCAGTGCTTTGTTGGAGACAAACATTCTGACCTCTAGCCAATGCAGATGCAAAAGGAAAAGCATGATATTGAAATAATAACTACCTGCAAATTAGAAAAGGTGCAAAATGGCCATGATTAAAAATCTAATGACACTCATTATGTTACAATGAGCAAGAAAATTTGTTTTCTTCTATGGCAAACAACATTTAAAATAATGACTAGACTTATGACTCAAGATATTATCTTAGGACATGTAATAGATAGGTCATTCACAAATTTCCAGGAATTCCATACAGCTTCCAAAACAAATAACATTTTACCAAAATATCTTTACCGAAATATAACCTAGGGAATATTAAGCATATTTTCTTACTTGTATATTGTGTGCCAAGACCAGCTTAGCTGGGGAGACCCTAAGCCGGTGGCACTACAGGAAATAAAGACACACACACAGAAATCTAGAGGTGTGAAGTAGGAAATCAAAGGTCTTACAGCATTCACAGCTGAGAGCCTCAAACAGAGATTTACCCACGTATTTATTAACAGCAAGCCAGTCATTAGCATTGTTTCTATAGATATCAAATTAACTAAAACTATCCCTTATAGGAAATGAAGGTATTGGCTGAATTAAAGGTATAGATTGGGATAGTTAACAGCAGCAGGAGCATATCCTTAAGGCACAGATCACTCATGTTATTGTTTGTGGCTTAAGAATGACTTCAAGTGGTTTTCTGCCCTCAGCAGGCCAGGTATTCCTTGCCCTCATTCCCATAAATCTACAACCTTCCAGCACGGGCTTTATGGCCATCATGCACATGTCACAGTGCTGCAGAGATTTTGTTTATGGCCAGTTTTGGGGCCAGTTTATGGCCAGATTTGGGGGGGGCGCTTGTTCCCAACATGCCCCCTTCTTTGATTTTCAAATTGATAAGAGCAAAGGCAGCTTTGTCATGGTGAGCTAATTCTTGAAGGAGTCAGGGTCCACATCTGCAGACTATACAAAGAAAAACAACATAGATTAAAAGCACAACCATCATTAAAATCACAGAGCTTCCCAGTGTTTTTATCCATTTTAATGGGTTACTAGCTGTGAATCTGTCTGCAGCTCCTTTAAGCACTCCAGTTCCTGGCATTAAGGTCAGGTGTGCCTGGGATGCTTTAAATATTTGTACTCTTAATTTTGCAATATCCAAAAATAAGTTTGTACAGCGTCCTTTTGGATACTATTTTTATTCTTTCCCAAATCTTGATCTTATTAAGAGCTATTAATAGTTTCCATAAATCCTTATGTTTAGTTTCTATGATGGGCCATATCATTTGAGGTAGATGTGCCACTATACTGCCATGGTTCCAGATAACAGGAATTCTTGCAGTACCTCTTATCATTTCTATCATCTGACCATTTTGTTCAGACAAGCTGAACATAGTGTGGCCATGGCACACAGACTGAGAGGTGTAATTCAAGCTAAACCTCCTCTTAGGGGACCAATCAATCATGATGCCATAGGAATCATTGTGCAGCACTCTGCCTCTTCTGCAAAGCAATCTTCATAAACAAGTAGGTTCATTATTTTTGGCCACGTTCTGTTTTGTTTACAAATAGGTTTTTGAAGGCGGTATGCCTCAATTATAGGAGCGGGTTTATTATGGTAAATACTGAGATCAGAAAGCATGAGCTACTGTGTCATAGATTGATTATATCCAGGCATAAGTACCAGCCAGGATTGATAAATATGCCCAATAAGTATAATTGCTCTCTGTCTCAACCCTTGTTGAAGGAATACTCATGGCAGTGGTGATAACTGCTATCATAGCTACCATTAAATTACTTGTTGTGACTGGTTGTCCCACTTTCCTCAGGTTTTCTTCTGCCATCAGTGACAGCTTCTTGATCTGTCCCCAGGTAGGTGGCTGTGTTCAATGGGTGTTTCTCATGACAGTTGGAGTCCTCCTCAGCATCAGCCTCAACATGGCTGCAACTGAGGGGTCCTCAGGGTCCTCCCAGAATCTGGCTCATGATAGGGTTTCAGGTGTCTTGATGGTGTCCAAATTGGCTGTTGATTTTGGCCTGGAGAAACACAAGCATAACCTCTACCGCAAGTTATTATTTTACCTATTTCCCAACTTCTTGTTTTTGTATCTCTCCACCAAATCAATTGTTCTCCTTCTGTCTTTGCAGCTGGTTACTGTAGATGCTGTTCAGCTGCTGATAACATCTGGCCTTTGGGCAGGTTCAAAAATTTTAAAGTTAATAATGCTAGATTCGGTTGCATCTGTGGGGTTCTGTATTCTCTATTTCCCTCTTTCTGCTTTTGCAACCGCTGTTTTAGGGAAAGATTTATTCTTCCCACTATGGCTTGTCCTTGAGAATTATATGGGATACCAGTAATGTGTTTAATATTCCACATAGAGAAAAATGTAGCTAGAGTTTGGATAGTATAGCCTGGGACATTATCTGTTTTCCTAGAAGCTGGAATGCCCATCACTGCAAAACACTGCAAAAGGTGATGTTTAACACAGGCAGAAGACTTTTCTGATTTGCACATAGCCCAGAAAAAGTGAGAAAATGTGTACGCACATACATGTACATAAGCTAGTCTCCCAAACGAGGGTGTATGTGTGACATCCATTTGCCAAAGACAGTTAGCTTCCAATCCTCAAGGATTAACTCCTGTAAAAGATGAGGAATGTACCAATTGGCAAGTTGGGCATTGCTGGATAATAGTTTTAGCTTATTTCCAGGTAATACTGTATCTGTGTTTGAGACCAGAGACATTAACATGGGTTAAACTGTGAAAGTGTCTAGCATTTGAGACTGGAGGCATTAAAATGGGTAAAATTGTGAAAGTGTCTAGCATTAGATATTGCATTAGCAACTAGGTGGTTAGCCTTTTGATTCCCTTCAGTTAAAGGTCCTGTAAGAGGTATATGAGCCCTAATGTGAGTGAGGTAAAAAGGGTGTATTGTATTCTACTTCTAACTGCTGTTTGCAATTGGGTAAATGAAGTCATCAGTTGTTTATCTGTATGAAATCATAACTGAGCATTTTCAATTAACTGTGTGGAATGAACCATGCATGAAGAATAAGAAATCACATTAATAGGTATTTCAAAAGCAGTAAATACCTCAATTACAGCTACAAGCTCTGCTTTTGATCTGAAGTATAGGACATCTGGAAAACTTTGCTTTTTGAGCTAGAATAAGAAGGTTTACCATACTAGACCCATCTATAAAACAATGAAAACACTTAGCAGGCTGCGGGTTGTTTACTACATGAATTGTAAATGCAAACCATTCACAGTCTTGCTCAGCTAAAGGGATAGTAAAGAAACAGTCTTTCAAATCTAGACTATTAAATGCCAATTTTTTGGAATTATAGCAGTAGAAGGCAATCCTGGCTGTAATGTTCCCATAGGTTGTATAACTGAGTTGATGGCTCTTACGTCAGTTAACATTCTCCATTTACCTGTTTTTTCTTAATTATGAAAACTGGAGAATTCCAATGGAAAAATTTTCAAGTCATGTGCCCATTTTCTAATTGTTCAGTAACTAATTTCTCTAAAGCCTCCAGTTTCTCTTTACTTAGCAGCCACCAGGGGCATACCCCATTTCATGCATTGCATGTTGACTTTCAGGGCTATATAATTATTCTGAAATTAGAAATTGTGGTCCTCATTGTTGTAATAAACATCTTCCCCATAAATTTATAGGTACAGAAGTTATAATTGGTTGAACAGTCCCAGGTTGTCCATTGGGCCCTTCACACTGTAAAATAGAGCTACTTTGATATACTTCAGGGGCTTTACCAACTCCAACTATGTTAAATTGAGCTGGTTGAATTGGCAATCCAGACAGCCAGTGCTGTAGAGAAATGACTGAAATGTCCACTACTGTATCTACCAAACCTTTAAATTTCTTTCCCTTAGTAGTTATTTCACAGGCAGGATGTTTATCAGCAATTTGATTTACCCAATAAGCTGCTTTGCCTTGTTTATTTGTGCTTCCAAATCCTTCTGTTCATTTAATTTCAGATTTTCCCATTCTCACATATGGCACAATCAGGAGCTGTGCTATGTGCTCTCCTGGCTCTGCTTTCCAGGGAACAGAAGTAGACATGATAATTTAATTTCCCCATTTATCAGGGGAAATTCAGCCAGATATCAGGCAAAATTCACCCCCAATATTTCACATAGATTTTTTTCTGTTTTCCCTAAGTGTCAGCCAGTCTGAGAAATAAAGGGACAAAGTATAAAAAAGAGAAATTTTAAGGCTGGGTGACAGGGAAGACATCATCACATGTTGGCAGGTTCTGTAATGCCCCCTGAGCCATAAAACCAGCAAGTTTTTATTAGTGATTTTCAAAAGGGGAGGGAGTGTATGAATAGGGTGTGGGTCACAGAGATCACATGCTTCACAACGTAATAAGATATCACAAGGCAAATGGAGGCAGGGTGAGATCACAGGACCACAGGACTGGGGCAAAATTAAAATTACTAATGAAGTTTAAGGCATGCGTTGTCATTGATAACATCTTACCAGGAGACAGGGTTTGAGAGCAGACAACCAGTCTGACCAAAAATTTATTAGGCAGAAATTTTCTCATTCTAATAAGCCTGGGAGTGCTATGGGAGACTGGGCCTCATTTAATCCCTACAGCTTCTACCATAAAAGATGGCCACACCCCCAAAGTGGCCATTTTAGAGGCCTACCCTCAGGGATGCATTCTCTTTCTCAGGGATGTTCCTTGCTGAGAAAAAGAATTCAGTTATATTTCTCCCATTTGCTTTTGAAAGAATAGAAATATGGCTCTGTTCTGCAAGCTCACCAGCAGTCAGATTTTAAGGTTATCTCTCTTGTTCCCTGAACATTGCTGTTATCCTGTTCTTTTTTAAGGTGCCCAGATTTCATATGGTTCAAATATACATGCTATACAAATAATGTGTGCAGTTAACACAATCATCACAGGGTCCTGAGGCGACATACATCCTCCTCAGCTTAGGAAGATGACAGAATTAAGAGAATAAAGTGAAGCCAGGCATAGGAAATCACAAGGGTATTGACTGGCGAAATAATAAGTGTCCATGAAATCTTCACAGTTTATGTTAAAAGACTGCAGTGAAGACAGTTGCAAGAAATTATAGAAGTATTAACTTGGGGAATGAATAAATGTCCATGAAATCTTCATAATGTGTGTTCTGCCATGGCTTCTGTGGGTTCCTCTGTTCGGGGTCGCTAACTTCCTGCAATGCCCATTATAATCTGAATCAATGACTCCTGTATGTATTTGTACCCCTTTTAAACTTAAAGTAGACCTGCCTAGAAGTAATCGTATTGTCCCTGCTGGCAAGTGTCCACAGACTCCTGTTGCGATCTTTTGCAGGGGTTCCCCAGGCAGAAGGCTCACAGCTTTTGTGCAGCATAAATCTACAGTGGCACTACCAGCTGTGGTGGGGGACAGACACTGTACAGTGGTGAGGGAATGGCCAGAGTTGAAAATGTGCTGGTTGACAATGGGCCCGGGATGGGCATCTCATGGCATTTCCCAAAATTGGGTTCCCTTCTTTATCAAACTTAGAGTGACACTGATTAGTCCAATGTTTTCCTTTTTTACATTTTGGACATATTTCAGCCTCAGCAGTTTTCTTTTTTCTCCTATCTGGTGTCCTGACTCGCTGATTTTTTTCTACATTATTTTTTAGTATGACCATGCTTTCCACAGTTAAAAGAAGCTCCAGGAAATGGAGTATTTCCTTTATCCACTCTCAGTCCTGCCACTGCCTGTACCAACACAGTAGCTTTATGCAGATTACCTCCGATACCATCACAGGCCTTGATATAGTCAACTAAATGTGCTTTCCCTCTGATAGGTCACAGAGCAGCCTGGCAATCCGGATTACCATTGTCAAAACTAGTAACTGCAACACTATATCCTAAGCAGCCAAATCTGCAGTCATCTTTTTAAGAGACTAAAGGAAGGATATTGTTCTCCACTTGAAGTTATTTTCTCCCAAGCTCTAATGCACCCTCCTCTAAGCTGTTCTATGGCATCATCCTGCATGACTAGTTGTGAATCTGAACCAGCCCAGCCACCAACCCCCAAAGTTGGTCTGCAATTATATTAATTTGAGGTTGGGCATGGGCATTGCTAGCAGCCTGAATGGAAGCTTCATCTGCCCACCAAGTTTTAAATGGTAAGAACTAAGCAGGAGTTCGACAAGCTTGAGTAAGAGCATCTCAGTGAGTAGGAATCATCTGACTGGAAACAGCAACATTCTTTAACAGTCCCATTACAAAAGGAGAACCTTGTCCATACTGATTTATAGCTTGTTTAAATTATTTGAATAATTTAAAAGGAAAAGCCTCAAATGTAACTATTATATTTCCCTCTTGATCTGGGGAGTGTATTCTAACAGGGAACTGTCAAGCCTCTAAATCACCCTCTTGTCTGGCTTGCTGAATTCCTGCCTGAATAGAACTAAGGGTGGTCACTCAAGGCGCTGCTCAAAGTCACTGGGGCAACTACTTTTAGCCCAGTGTCCTCCAGAAAAGAAAGATCTGGAGGGTCTTTTTCTTCAAAATAATAATGAGGGAATGCAGAAGGGTAGGGATGAACCTCTCCTTCCTTTGCCGCTTTAGCTTTAGCTGGCAAATAAACATGCTCTGTAACCTCTTCTTTTACTTCGCTATACTCTCCTTCCTCCTCATCAGCAGTGTGAAAAGTTCCAAGGTGAAATGAACCAGAACCCACACTTGTCCCATTGTTACCCTGATGATTCTGAGCTCCCCTTCTTACTCACCATGGGGATTGGCTAAGAGTACTCAGGTGTCGTCCAGCTAGTTTCACATTCTCCAGCCATCACTCTGGTGACCTTCCAATCTGGATTTGAGCCCCAACAATGGATGCCACTTGCTGATACCAGTTTGGTCGGGGAGACCCTAACTCAGTGGCGTTAGACGAATTAAGGACATACACACAGAAATATTGAGGTGTGAACTGGGAAATCAGGGGTCTCATAGCCTACAGAGCTGAGAGCCTCAAACACAGATTTACCTACATATTTACTAACAGCAAGCCAGAAATTAGCATTGTTTCTATAGATAGTAAATTAACTAAAAGTATCCCCTATGGGAAACAAAGGTATAGGCCTAATTAAAGGAATAGGTTGGGCTAGTTAACTGCAGCAGGAGCATGTCCTTAAGGCACAGATCACTTATGCTATTATTTGTGGCTTAAGAGTGTCTTTAAGTGGTTTTCCACCCTGAGTGGGGGTGGGGGGCTAAGTGTTCCTTGCCCTCCTTCCAGTAAGCCCACAACCTTTCAGCATGGGTGTTATGGCCATCATGAACATGTCACAGTGCTGCAGAGATTTTGTTTATGGCCAGTTTTGGGGCCAGTTTATGGCCAGATTTTGGGGAGCTTGTTCCCAAAAAAACTGTTTGTCATGTATTAGCATTCCAGAGTGGGTTACATAATTTTTGAACAAACCATCTCAATTTTTAGAGGCATATATTTTCTCATAGTATAATGTCTCATTATTGTAGAAAGGATGTTCGTAAACAGATAAAAATATCTTTTAGTCTCTCTCAAAGTAAGAAGCTAGAGCACTGGGAGTGGTGGCTCATGTCCGTAATCCCAGCAGTTTGGGAGGCCAAGGTGGGTGGGCCACCTGAGGTCAGGGGTTTGAGACCAACGTGGCTAACATCCTGAAACCCTGTTTCTACTAAAGTTACAAGAAAATTAGCTGGGTGTGCCTATAATCTCAGCTACTAGGGAGGCTGAGGCAGGAGAATCATTTGAATCTGGGAGGCAGGGTTGCAGTGAGCTGAGATTGTGCCATTGCACTCCAACCTGGGCAACAAGAGAAAACTCCATCTCAAAAAAAAAAAAAAAAAAAAGATAAGAAAAGAAGCTATAGTATATAAGCTTCAATTTATGTTTTGTAATTACTGGTTTTTATTTTGTTTTATAAACCTATTTTGTTTATCATAACTTTAAAGTTACAAATTACCAGAAAGATTTTATAAATCAGTATTAGATATACTGTAACACATTATTATTACAATAATGTTGGTCATAAGAATGGCAACTTAATTAGCATCAAACTATAAGATTTAAGATTTTAAATATTGAGTGAATATAATATCAATTTGTTTGGTAAGTAAATGAAATAAAAATGTACGTCTGTTTCATATTGAATAGTGACAACTCTAAATACATACTTGTTTTATTAAGCAAAAAATATTAGATAGTTTTACTTACCAAAGGTTTTTCAAAATAATCTGCACTTGAAAAACATTTGGATTAGTTGCTCTATTTTCTGCATGTTTTAGAAATATTTATCCTATAAGTGCTAAGTTTTTTCCAAGCCAATCTAGAATAGAGCACTTTTAAATGATTTTAGAGATTAATTTTGCACTGACATTCAGAGATGTGAAAGTATCACATATAAAAAAATACAAACATACGTAAGACATATCTAAGTATAAATTTTATAGAATTCATTCTAAAACTGTAGCCACAAATCCAGCACAAATACTGTAATGGCTAATTTTAAGTGTTCGCTTGACACAATTAAGGGATACTCACATAGCTGGTAAAGTACCATTTCTGTATACATTTTTGAGGGTGTTTCTGGAAGTCTCTTAATAAGAACCTCTATGGATTTCATCATCTTTCTCTTATTGGTATTGAAAGGGAGTCTTGGCCGGGGTTTCTTCTCACACTGTAATCCCAACGCTTTGGGAGGCCAAGTTGAGTGAATCATGAGGTCAGGAGTTGGAGACCATCCTGTCAAACATAGTGAAACCCCATCTCTAATAAAGATACTAAAAATTTAGCCAGGCATGATGGCACATGACTATAGTCCTAGCTTCTCCTCAGGCTGAAGAAAGAGAATCTCGTAAACCCTGGAGGTGGAGGTTGAGGTGAGCTGAAATTATGCCATTGCACTACAGCCTGGGCAACAGAGTGAGACTCTGTTAGAGAGGGGTGTGGCTAAGAGAGAGAGAGAGAGAAAGAGAGATAGACAAAGAGAGAGAGAGGGAGACTGTTGGAAAGAGAGAAAGAAAAATAAAGAAAGAAAGAAAAAGAAAGAAAGAGAGAGAGAGGGAGGGAGGGATGGAGGGAGAGAAGGAAGAGGGAGGAAGGAAGGGAAAGAAAGCCTCATTAAAATGGAGATTTCCTTATTAGATGTAAATTTCCCTTACAAAAGGGTAACTACTTCTCTGCTTTCAGAAGTTCCCCTGTGTCTGCATTTTCTGAAAATGGTGAGTTTAAAATAAGCCTTATACCAAAGAAGCATAGTTTCTGGTCATGTATTCTGATCTCCCACCATCCTGCATTCCACCAGAAATGAATGAATCCCTGTTTATCCTCCAGAAAATCGTTTGTCATGTTTTAAAAACAGTTTAGCAGTACTAGCAAATATAGATGGGGCCTGCTATCTCATCCTTGTGATTTTCAGTCCTGCAATGATATGAAATTGAATATCTTTTTGTTTCCTTGTCATCTCTTTGTCTTCATTGGTGAGTTATCTGCTCAGCTCTTGACCCATTTTTATTTGGATAGTCTATTTTATTTTTGAATTTCGAACTTTCTTTGTATATTTTGAGTGCAAGTTCTTGCTTAAATCTGTCTTTTGAAGATATTTCTTTTCAATCTGTGGCTTGTCTATTTACTGAACAATATTTTTCACAGAGTGCAAACTTTTAATATGAGAAAGCATTTTTTTTTTTTGCATTTTAAGTCTCAGGACTATGTTGAGGACATTTTTGTTTAAGAAGTAAAGTTTGCGTCTGCATTCACGTCATTTTCTGTGGTTTCCAGTTATTGGTTCCTTCTCATTTTTAGAAAAAAAAAAAAAAAGGATAATAGGCTCCATTTCCGTTTGAATTGTCAAAATGATGGGCGCAGAACAATCTGAACTCTGCCTTTATTTGATGCCGCAGGCCAGCCAGGAGGGAGCGCACAGGGCCGCCCTGGACCACGTGGGTCTTGCAGTTCCTCCGTCCACCTGCACAGCGGCGCGCGAGCACCCTTTTCAGACCTTGTGAGTGCTCGGGTGTTCACCGCCTGCTGCGGCGGAGGACAAGAGCTGCATTCCCCTCAGCACACACGCTAGCAACTCCGCCTCGCTCAGGGACAGCCTGAGGCAGAGATAAGTAAAAACCTTCCTATGACTGTTGAGGATCAAGGGCTTAGTAAAATGGCTTTGTGTGGAACATTAGAAGTAAAAAAATATATGTTTTTTAGTGCTACCCAAGGTCCGTCCCCACACAAGGCGCGGTGGACGCAATGCAAAGTCAACGCCATGGACTTGTGACACATATATAACATTCTTCATAAATTATATCATCTCTACTACAAATGTAACATCAGTAAACTAACACAGCACCTATAATACAGATGCAACAGTACTACAAATGTAACACCTGTAATACTCATATAACACTTATCTTACAAGTGTAATACTCATAACAGTAATGAAACACTCATAATACCAACGTACCATCCACAATAAAAATATAACAACCATAATGCTAATCTAACACTCACGATACAACTGTAACACTAATAATAACGATACATGATCCGCAATACAAATAAAACATCGGTAACACTGATGTAACACCTGTAAAGCTGTCCTGACACCTGTAATACAACTGTAACACTCATGATACCAATATACCATGCACAATTCAAATATAACAACTGTAATTTTGATGTATCAACTGTAATACCGATGTAACACCTGTAATACTAAAATAACACTCATGATACTCATATAACATTTGTAATACAAATAGAACAACTGTAACACTAATATAACACCCATAGTTACTATTGTAACACTCATCATACAGATGTAACACATGTAATACATAAGGTTTCTACTCTTACCAGGGCCCTTAGTTTTACACCTTCCATTGATCTGGATTTGCGTTGGATTTCCCTCTATAATGAAATTTGGGTTAATGTCTCTGCTTTAGTTTCATGGTATTGACATGGTTGTTTTCATTTAAAAGTAGTTTACTTCCCAATAATTTCATACTTCTAAGGAACTTGCAGTAGCAGTTAGTATACTTCATCCTTTTTTCCAGATTTCTCAGCAGTTAGTGCTGTGCCGGATTTGCAGTTTCGTGCAAAATATCCCAGTGTGTTTTACCAAAAGCGGGAACTCTCTCTCAGGTTACCACCACATAACAACCATATCAGGAAATACACTATTTCTACATGAAAGTCCAATCCACAGACCTATTTCACTTTAACATTGGCTTCACCTGAGGGAAAAACGTCTCCCAAATTCTTGACCTCTGGAGGCTGAGGTACGAACGGTAACATTTATTGGAAACTCTAGTCCATCAGGAAAGTCTTCATTTCAGAATGTCATTTTTGCTAATTTTTTTTTCATCTGAGGAAACTTACCCCCAAGCAGTATTGCTACCTTGTCTGTTCCTCAGGTAGAGATAAAAAGTAGTAATTTTACCACACAGCATCACATGACTATGAGAAAAGCTATTATATGAAACATTTGATGGAGTAGAACTTATATATTTTACTGTTTGTATTTTTATGTGCTTGTTTTCCATACGCATGTTTTTTGGCGAAGTGTGTGTTCAACTATTTCTTCATTTTGTAATTGGATTGTTTGTCTTTTATGTTGTTGTTGAGTTATACAATTTCTTTATATATTGTGGATAACACACTATTGTCACATATATAATGTGCAAATCTTTCTGTGACATGTCTTTTCACTTTCTTGTCAGTGTCTTCTGTTGCACAAAAGTTTTTGAGGAAATTATTTCTTTATTTGCCTGTGATTTTAGTGTCATATCTAAGAAACTACTGCTAAATCCAAGGTTATGAACATTTATCCCTATGTTTTCTTCTAGAGTTTACATTTTTACCTCTGTTTACATATTAAACTTTTTGAACCATTTTGAGTTAATTTTTGAGGCTTCTGAAGCATTTTGAATTAACTTTTCTACATGTTATGAGGATAGAGTACAATTTATTTGTCTGAATTTTAGTAGTCAGTGGTCTAACACCATTTGTTGAATTTAATGGTCTTGGCTACATGTCAAAAATCATTGACTATAGAGGTATTCTTGGACTCAACATTCAGTTCCATCGATCTATATGTTTGTCCTTATGCTAGTATTATGGTCTTTTTATTACTGTTCCTTTGTAGTAATATTTGAAATTGAGATCCAAGTTGGTTTTTGTTTTCAAGAATATTTTGGCTACTCAGAATCCCTTGAAATTTATATGAATGTCATGACTGGCTTGCCCATTTCTGCCAAAAGAATTTTGGTATTTCGTAGGAATCACAGTGAATTTGTAGATTGCTTTGTGTATTATTGCCATCATATAAAATATCACCTTTTAATCCAGAAACATGGAATGTCTTTACATCTATTTAGG
Source organism: Homo sapiens (assembly GCF_000001405.40). Taxonomy (NCBI): domain Eukaryota; kingdom Metazoa; phylum Chordata; class Mammalia; order Primates; family Hominidae; genus Homo; species Homo sapiens. The sequence goes on along the minus strand of NW_025791821.1, from coordinate 100,333 downwards.
GTTTCTGAAATTTATTTCAGCAATATTTTATAATTTGTCATGTCTAAGTCTTGCACCGTGGTTAAATTTAAGCTTAAAATATTACTACCACTGATTTTGTTGTTGTTTGAGGAAGCGTCTCAGTCTCTGGCCCAGGTGGCAGTGTGGTGGGTGGTGTGCTCACTGCAGCTTCAAACTCTTTGGCTCTAGCAATCCTTACACATTTCACTCCCAAAGAAATGGAATTACAGGCATAAGCCACCACACCACACCTAGACTTTTTTTTTCCTGTTTTGAATATTGCCAAGGAATGTTGCTTTACAGTCAATAAAAATACAGTACTTTCAGTTTCCCAAAAGGTATAATGTACAAGAAGTCTTAAGTCATATAGTTGACTTGTTGACCCTGTGGATATCATTCAGTTACTTCTTCAAAAATTGTACCTAGTAACCTTCCAAAATTATTTTTTTAAAGTTCTTAAATTGTAGCGATAAACAAAATGTGAAAACTAGACATTTTTATTTTATATTATTATTATTATTATTATTATTATTATTGAGATGGTATCTTGCTCTGTCACTCAGGCTGGAGTTCAGTGGCACCACCTCAGCTCACTGCAACCTCTGTCTCCAAGGTTCAAGCAATTTCCCTGCCTCAGCCTCCCGAGTAGCTGGGATTACAGGTGCCTGCCATCCTGCCTGGCTAATTTTTGTATTTTTAGTAGAGACGAGGTTTCGTCATGTTGGCAAGGCTGGTATCGAATTCCTGATCTCTGGTGATCCATGCACCTCAGCCTCCCAAAATGCTGGGATTACAAGCCTGAGCTGCTGCTCCTGGCTGACACTTTTAAGGAATACTGAAGTTTATTTAAAAGAAAATAAGAAATTTCAGATTGTATTCCTTTTTTTGAGACAGGGTCTCTCTGTTGCCCAGGCTAAAATGCAGAGATGCCATCATGGCTGACTGCAACCTCTAACTCCCAGGCTCAATTAATCCTTCCTCCTTAGCCTCAGCCACTATACCTGGTTAATTTTTTTTGTATTTTTTGTAGAGTACCCACTTGGCCTCCCAAAGTGCTGGGATTATTGGCATTGATAAAACATTTAATATGTTAGGTTTAGATAAAAATCAACATTCTGGCTAAGCTATGAACATTTTTATAATGCAGTTATTCATTTATGCCTAATTTTCAGCATTTTTGTGTTACCATTGCTCATTTTAAGAGACATACACAAAGCATAAGGCAAACCCACTTATGAGTTGCATATTTGTTTCACAGTTTGTGAAAATGTCCTTAGTTTGTTCATATTGCAAACACATTTCAACTCTGCTATGCAAATAACAAAAGTCAACCTTATTTAAAATTAATTTTATAGTTACATTGCATACAGGGAATGCACTGTCTAGAAGAAAAATAGTATCTCAACTACGGGTCTTAAACACTGACAATAGTTAACAGCTGGCCAGGCTCAGTGGCTTACACCTATAATCCCAGCACTTTGGGAGGCCAAGGCAGGTGGATCGTGAGGGGAAGAGATCGAGGCCATCTGGCTAACATGGGGAAACCCTGTCTACTAAAAATGCAAAAAATTAGCCAGGTGTGGTGGCAGGTGCCTGTAGTCCCAGCTACTCAGGAGGCTGAGGCAGGAGCATGGCGTGGACCCAGGAGGCAGAGCTTGTAGTGAGCTGTGATCGTTCCGCTGCACTCCAGCCCAGCTGACAGAGTGAGACTCCACCTCAAAAAAAAAAAGGAGTTGACAGCTTATTATAATTTATTTTATTATATCAATTCATTTTATTTATATACAATCAACTGTATTTACATGCAATCTAGAAAGTTCACAGCCATCAGCAGTTCTAGTGCAGCTTCAGGTAAAATGGGAATTTAGGAATCTCTGTTGAACTGTATGTTTAGTGAAATATTTAGGTAAAATACGTGCATGCTTTTGGCTGCACTTGTGAAGGGATATCTCTTAAATTGACCTCAATGCTTTCCTCCTCAGAAAAATGACCTGGGTCACTCAAATGGGTTTCATTGTTGTTGAGGTTTATGCATGTTCTCCTTTTACAACAAATTCATGACTCAGAAGATATCTATTTGATATCATGGGATTAGGACTTTCACAACCATTGTAGGTTTTCTCTTCTTCACATCCATTATGTTTTTAAGTAATTCTACTTGAATCCCCAGGAACTTGAATAGTTTTTGTTAGCCCCACAGCCACTGCAGCCCAGGACCCAATGTAGCAACACAGCCTCTGCTCCAAGGCCTATCTACCTGCCCCTATGGGTTTTAGAGCCGTTGGAGTAATTCTAGTCCTGTAAGTTTTAATTTGTTTACAAGATTTCATAATTTATTGTTTGTTCCTTATGATTTTCTGCATATATGATTATGAGATCTATGAGTAGATAGTTTTACTTTTTTCTTTCACATATGAATGTGTTGGTATATATTTGTCTTTTCTAATTGTTTTGGATGGAAGTTCTAGAACAGTGTTGAATACAGTGATGAAAGTGGGCATCAGTGCTGCATTCCTAATCTTAAAGCCTTGCTTCCCAACAACTCAAATGATGATTGTTATGTGCTTTGCATAAAGATGTTTTATCATATAAAAGAAATTCAAACCCACTTTTTGGATGTTTGTATTATTAAATTTGTTGACTATATTTAAGTACTTTCTGTAACAGTTGAGATAAACATGTAGTGTTTTTTCATCATTTAATTTACATGACATATTGAAAAGGGATGGCTTTAGAATGTTGAAAAACCCTTGATTTTCTGAATAAAGAACTTAGTCATTCTGGTGTGTAATGTCTTCACTATGTACCTAATTCCATCTACTAGTATTTGTTTAAGCATTATGACGTCTATAATTATCAGATTTGTTAATATTTAGTTTTTTGTCCCCGTGATATCATATGTTTAATTGAATACTCAATTGGAATTACAAAGAAGTATTGCTTGATGTACTCTTATGGGCATTAGGACTTAGAGGTTAGAGTCATCGAGGATATATTTAAATTTTTTTGAAGGATGATGGGGTAACATTAAAGACAGGATAGAAGTTGGGTATTAGGGAAGGGGTTTACAATTGCAGAAGAAATGTTAGTGTTAGATTGAGGGTTAGGGCTGGGGTTGGGTTAGGGGCTAGTGTTGTGGTAGGATTAGGGTTAGGGTTAGAATTAGGATTAGGGTCAGGGGTCAAGGTTAGTGTTAAGTTTAGGGCTAGAGTTAGAATGAGGTTTAGATGTTAGGTTAGGTTAGGTTTGGGGTCGGATTATGCTTAGGTTTAGGTTAAAAAACAGGCTTATACTTAGAGGTTAGGAGCTGGGGTAGGTAGGGTTAAGTTCTAGGTTAGGGTCATGGCCAGCGTTATGGTTAGTGTTATGAGTTAGAATTAAGGTGAGGGTGAGAGTGAGGGTAATAGGGTTAGTGTGTTACTGTTAGGGTTAGGGCTTAGAGTTAGGGTTAGGATAAGGATAAGAATTCAGTTTAGGTTTTAGGGTTTGGGCTCAGGTTAGGTTTTCAGGTTAGTGTTAGTGTTAGGGTTAATGTTTAGAGTTTAGGGTTAGTGTTTAGGATTTAGGGTTAGATTTAGGGTTATTGTATAGCATTTAAGGTTAGGGTTAAGGTGGCTTTAGGGTTAGGATAAGGGGTTACGGTGAGGCTCAGTGTTAGGTTTGCATTAGGTTTAGGGTTACAGTATAGGATTAGGGTTAAGTTTGGGTTTAGCATTTTTGTTTATGCTTAGGGTTAGGGTTTATGCTTATGGTTAGGGTTAAATTCTGTTAGAATTAGGGGTTAGGGTTTGTGTTTAGGCTTAGGGTCAGGGTTTAGTGTTAGGTTTACATTTAGGGTTGAGTGTTTGGATTAGGGTTTGTGTTAGGGGTTATAATTAGGTTTAGCCTTAGATTTATTTTTTAGTGTTAGCTCTGTTCTATGATTAGGTTGAATTTTGAGGAATAAGGTAGGATTTAGCATTTAGGATTAAGTTTAAGTTTAGGTTTAAAATGTTTGAAGGTTATTATTAGGTTTATTATTAATTGTTATGTTTACGTCTTGGGTTTAGGGTGTATGGTTAAAGTTGATGTTAGCATTTACAGTTTGGTGGTAGCATAGGGCTTGCTTTTAATTTTAGCTTTATGGTTATGATTATGTTACAATTATGGTTAGGTTTATGTTTAGGTTTCTTGTTTGGAGTTTTGGTCTTGGTTAGAGTTTGTGTTAGGTTTAGTGTTGGAGTTGGGTTTGTAGTAGAGATAGGGTTAGGATTAGTGTTAGGGTTATGGGTTAGGGTTATCATTACCTGTTAGGGTTATTGTTTGAAGTTTAGGGTTTAGGGCCTAGTGTTAATGGTTAGGGTTAAGGTTCAGCCTTAGATTTTGAGTTAGGGGTTAGGCTTAGGTCTACTGTTCACCTTTGGTTAGCATTTGGGTCAGGGCCTTGGTTTGGCATTAGTGATTAAAATTTAGATCTAGGATGTATTGTTTTGGCTAGTTGTTACAGTCTTTATTAGGTTTAGTGTTTTATGGTTAGGGTTGTTGGTCAATTTGTGGTTGTTTTTGGGGTCACAGTTAGAGTCTGGGTTAGGGTTAGACCTCAGGGTTTGGGTAGTGTTATGGTTTTGTTAAGTGTTATGTTTAGGTTCCGGGTTAGGGATTAGTGGTTAGGGTTTGGATTGGGTTAGTTATAGGCTTCGGTGTCAGCAATTATAGTTACAGTTGGCATTGCAGTTGGGTAGGAATAGGGTTTTAGGCTTAAAGTTAGGGTTAGTGTTTTAGCATTATGGTTATAATTAATGGGGAGGTTTGTGGTTGAGGTTGTTGTAGGACTGGGGTAGGTTTAGGATTAGTGTTATTGTTTATGGTTGGAGTTGAGATTAGAGTTTATATGTTTGGGTTATTTTCAGTGTTAGGGTTAGTGTTACAGGGTTAGGGTTTGGATTATAATGTTAGCTTTAGGATTTGGTTTAGGGTTAGTGGTAATGTGAGGGTTAGTGTTTAGCATCAGTGTTAGGGTTTCAGTGTTAGCTTCAGATTTATATTTAAGTTTGCGTTAAGATTGGCTTAGGGTCATGTTTAGAGGCAGTGTCATGCTCATTTTCAGGATTATGTATTAGAGTTAGTTTTAGGGTAACAATTAAGGGTCCAGATTGGATTTGGGCTTGGGGTTAGGGTTGGGGATAGGGTTGGAGTTGCAGTTGATGTTGTTCAATATATGGGTAGTGTTAGTGTCATGGTTTTAAGGTAGGGGTAGGGTAGGTTTAGAGTTAGTGTTGGGGTAGATGTGGGAGTTAGGGTTATGTGTTAGGTGTTAGAATTACAATTTTAGGGTTAGGTTTTTTTGTTTTGGGTTTAGGGCTAGGATTGCATTTAATTTAGGTTTAGGGTTTGGGTTAAAAGTTGGGATTTGGGTAGGTTTAGGACTAGGGGTAGGTTTAGGATTGGGGATAGGTGTAGTGCTACATTTAAGTTTAGGGATGTGGCTAGTTTATGGTTTTGGTTGGGGTTAAGATTAGGATTATAGTTAGCATTTTAGGGTTATTTTTAGGGTTTAGTGTTAGTTGTTAGGGTTTGGATTAGATGTCTTTTTCTGTCTCACTCGTGTTCTCCAATGGACCAGTCATCACACTCTTTCTGTCCTCTGAAGTCCATGTGAACTTCAGACTTATTCAGATTTTGAAATAACTTGTCTTCATGGTGGAGCCACCAACTGTGGGCCTCCTCTAACTGAGACTTATACACTTACTGGGATTGCCTGCCTGCAGATAGATAGGTCTCCTCCTAACTAAGGGATGTAGAGACATCTCAATAACCTTCCTGCTGATAGAAGCTACCCACTGTGAATCCCCCCTCCACTAAGGGCTTCAGAGGTGTTTACACAACCTTTCTGTCTACTGAAATTTGTATCTCTGGGTCTCCTATTTACTGAGTGTTTCGCAGATGCAGGTATGTCCTCTTTGTAAAATGGAGTTACCCACTTTGTGTCTCCTGAGATCGGTATCTTCACCCAATAAAGCATCTATTTACCTTGGTTACCCTCCATTGTCCCACATATGTCATTCTTTCTGGACATGGGACAAGAACTCAGGACCCTCTTAATGGCACAACTAAAAGTACAGTAACAGAAACAGGGTTGAAACACTCAAACCCACACTTGCCACATTGTTAGAAGAATTTTTTTTAAAAAAAGGATTAGAAGGGCTTAACCCTTACAGAAGCCCAGACCTAAACATGTTCCAAGTCAGAACTGTGACACCATCACTGGGGCTCTCCAGTTTCTGGCATTTCTAAGCTTTTGGATGCCACTGCATTCTCCAGTGCTTTTGGAGGAAACAGCTTGTGGTATGCCTGATTCAGCCAAAGACTTGCATGGTGTTGGCACCTGTTCTAGCACTTGTATCAGCTCACCTTATCACAGCCAGTTTGTTTAGCTATGTGCAGTGGCTGGACTCAAGAGTCACTCAGGCACCTCTCTCTACTCTGTGTCTGGCTCACCCATTGCAGGAATAGAATCTGAGCTGATATTTCAGCTAAGCACAGCCTGTCAAGCTGAGTCAGTAAAATTAGCTCAGCTGCCCCAGGAGAAACTTGGGCAATGCTGCCACCATCTACAGAGATTTTTCGCTGGTGAAGCAACAGCCTAGAGATACTGTGACAAAAATCAGATGGTTCACCTGTGGCCAGTAGATTATTCAATCATGCCTATGTAATAAAGCCTCAATAAAAATCCAAGAGGACAGGCATAAGAGAGCTCTGGATAGCCACTGCACTCCAGTCTGGGTGACAGAGAGAGACTCCGTCTCAAAAAAAAAAAAAAAAGAATGAGCCAGGCATGGTGGCTCATGCCTGTAATCCCAGCACTTTCGGAGGCTGAGGTGGGTGGATCATGAGGTCGGAAGATCAACACCATCCTGGCTAACACAGTGAAATCCCCGTCTGTACTAAAAGCACAAAAAATTAGCCAGGCATGGTGGTGTTGTGCTTCTAGTCCCAGCTGCTGGGAAGGCTGAGACAGGAGAATGGCATGAACCTGGGAGGTGGAGTTTGCAGCGAGCTGAGATGGCGCCACTGATCTCCAGCCTGGGTGACAGAGCAATACTCCAACTATAAATCATGCTGCTATAAAGACACATGCACACGTATGTTTATTGTGGCACTGTTCACAATAGCAAAGACTTGGAACCAACCCAAATGTCGAACAATGATAGACTGGATTAAGAAAATGTGGCATATATACACCATGGAATACTATGCAGCCATAAAAAATGATGAGCACATGTCCTTTGTAGGGACATGGATAAAATTGGAAATCATCATTCTCAGTAAACTGTCACAAGAACAAAAAACCAAACACCACATGTTCTCACTCATAGGTGGGAACTGAACAATGAGAACACATGGACACAGGAAGGCGAACATCACACTCTGGGTACTGTTGTGAGGTGGGGGAGGGGGGAGGGATAGCTTTAGGAGATATACGTAATGCAAAATGACGAGTTAATGGGTGCAGCACACCAGCATGGCACATGTACACATATGTAAATAACCTGCACATTGGGCACATATACCCTAAAATTTAAAGTATAATAATAATAAAATAAAAAAATTCACTTTTTTTAAAATAAAATTCTATTGTCGATTTTGTGGAGAGCAAATTACGAAGATGCACATTGTTAATTTTTTCTCTTTCATAATTGATAATAATCACATATTTATCTTTACCGTAATCTTTATTTATTTATACTGCTGTTCAGTGTCCTTTCATTTTATCCTGAAATACTCCATAGAGCATTTCTTAAAGGGTTATCTAAAAAGACCCCAGCTTATATTTTGGAATGTCATAATTTCTCCCTCATGTTTGATGGACTTTATTTGGACGTAAGATTTGTATTTGAAAGTCTTTTCTTACATTACTTGGAAAATATTAGTCTTCTGCTTTCTGACCTCTGAGTTTCTAGATAAGAAATCTGCTGATTATTTTTGAGGGTTCTTTTTACATGACTAGTCACTTCTCTTGCTGCTTTCAAGATTCTCTTTGTCTTTGTTTTAGTATAATTATCATGTAGGTTTGAGTGTGTTTCTTTGAGTTTATCTTAATGGGAGTTTGTTGCTCTTCCTAGATGTTTATTTCCTCAAATGTGTTATATTCTTGACCACTGTATTTTTAGTCTCCCTGTTTCTTTGTCTCTTCTCTTTGAACTTTCAAAATGCATAAGTAGATCTCCTTGATCGTGTCCTACTGGATCTAGGCTGTGTTCACATTTCTTTATTTCTTTTTCTCTTTCTGACTTAATAATTTCAACTGCCCTTCTTCTAGGTTTGCCAACATTTTGTTCTTTTATCTGCTCAAGTCTCCTTTTAAATGTATGTAGAAAATTTCTATGTCATTTGTTTTCCTTTCTAGGTCCATAATTTTTTCTTAATTTTAAAAATAAGTTTACTCTCTCTTTATTAACATTTTTTGTTCATGAATTTCTTTGTTTTGGAAGGTCGAGGCAGGAGAATCATTTTGTTTATTCTAGTAGCTTCCTAAGGACATTAATTTTTAAAATTATTTTTTAGAAAGCGTGCCATTTGAGCTTTCTATGAAAAGCTTCTGTTAGTGATTTTTCTTTTCTTAGGATGATCCGTACTTTCTTATTTAACTTTTTGCTTTGTGATTTTGTTGGTGTTGAAAAGAGGCGTTCAAATTTTAAAACGCTAAAACTTTGAAAATCAGATTTTCTCCCCCTGTGATTTGCTAGGGTTTTTTTTTATTCCTCATGTCAGTTATTTCTGTCCTGGCAGTCAGTCTTACTCAACTTATTCTTGGGTCTTTCTTGAGTGTGCACCATTTGGGGGCACATATGGTTAACAACAAATTTTATTCTAAAGTTTCATGTACATATATTTTCTTTTTAATATTTTTGTCCATAATTGTAGGTCTCTTAAGATAAAAAAATGGAAAATTAGAAAAAAAAATGTTCTGGCTCTTTAAATCTTCTGAAAGTTGCTTGAGGAGGAGGAGGAAAAGCCTGCGAAAGGTTTGGGGAATGAAATCATGACTTGTTCCCTGTGTCGGGACGGCCATAATCAGAAGCAGCAATTGATGCCCAAGTCCTCCTGAGATTTGGAGGACTGAGTTCTTTTTGTTTATCCTGGCTCTTGCTAGCTGCTCCAGAAGTATTTGCAAGGTAGCACATCACTGCAGTAGCTGATAAAAAATAAATAGCTGCTGGTGATCTACACTAAAATATGATCAAATTTAATTGTTTACTATGCAAAGCTTCTTTTGGAAATGGTATACCTTCAGATAGACTCTGGAGTTCCAAACTAATTGCATCATACCGAGTCTGCCACTTGAAGAGACAGATATATAGTGTTCTATAGTCCACTCTCATGCTTTTCCCAGAACTTGTATCATTTTACTTTAAATCTCCATGTCTTTGCACCTAAAGTAAGACTTGGGTAGAAATCATATAAGTTAAGTCCTTCTTTAAAGGTGCATTTTCACCATTCTTTGCCTTTGTTATGCAAGAGCTCATATTTAAAGTTATTACAAGTAAAAAAAATAATTACTCTAACATTTATTTCCTTGTTTCCCATATGTTCTCTATCTTATTGGATCCTCAGTTCCTCTGTTGATCATTTTAAAAATTTGGTTATTTTCTTAGTTTATTCTTTTCAGTATTTTTATATTATAATTAGTTATATTTGGGACTTCTTGTAATATTCTACACATTAAATCACCTACTTTGAAGAATATTAAGTCAATTGAATTATCTAAAATTTAATTTTAATAATAAAAGTATGCTGCTCTTGGGCTTTTCTATCCTTCTCAATTTATATTATTATCTCAGATTGTATCTGTACACATTGAGTGTCCATTAAAATAGATTTGTAGTTTTCTATGTAATAGCTGCCTACCAGAAGTATAATAGTAATAGCTAACTTTGCCAGTGTTGTAAAAGTAACACTACTTTCCTTAGAGAAGGATTAGTCACACATTCCTTTAGCTTTTATCTACACATTTTTTGCCTGAGTATTATTTTACCAGTTATATATTTTCTTCATATCTCCAAGGTGTTTTCTTAGTTATTGAAAGCTTAGCATGCATTCCATTATCATTCTGAATGAGAGCAATATGAAAACTATCATTAAAAAATCTGAATCTCTATTAATCAATTGTCTATTGTATGAAATAACTGTATTCTTTTCTCTCAACAACATAAAGATTTGTGACCAATTCTTGGCATTTTCAACCAAGAGTGGGTTCTTACTTAGGCAAAACTGAAATAAATGTGTTTTATCAATTCTTCATTACCTCCTAGGTAAACACAATAAATTAGCACATAAAGACTTCTTTACTTGTTCCTGAATCAGGAATCTGGGCCTCAAATTAAAAATACAAATTTCAGTTTTGAAGGCTTTATATGTGCCTAGGAGGCACTATGGCAATAAAAAAAAACATTTATAATTTTAAAATTGTCTCCCTTGATTGTGAGCTTGGTTCATAGAAACTGTTGATTTCCAGGTTCCAGACACTTTTTTATTGGTTTGATGTTTCTTTGAATGGTTTGAAGCTATCTTCCCTATAGTTTTGCTTTCATTTTTATTTATAAAGCACTGATTGTTTTCTAATCTCAGAGTCCATTTTTATTTAGATCTTATTTTTGTCCCATAAAAAATGTTATTTAAAACACTTACATTGAATATTACACTTATAATTTGGGATCCTGGAAGTTATGTTTTTGTTTTAGTGGTTATGGTGCATATAAAGTTTTTTGTTTGCATTTGATTAATTGAGGTTATCAATTCCATATAAAATGCATGAGGCAAGATTCTCTATTATAAAGTACATTTTGGTTTTATGTAAAACAGGTATACAGTAATTTGTCTCCAAAGTGACTTGCAAGTTCATATCTAAATAAAATAAGAACATAATTATGTAAGTATGCAGCAAGATTAAGAGGCATGATGATTTCTGGCAGAGTTCTGCTTAGATTGCTTGCAAAACAGCCAGGTCACTGTGGTCGTAGCTGACTGTGGAAGGGGAAGGATTATAGATGGTAAGCCAACAGAGGTACCAGACAGTCCATGTGAATGTCTAGGGTTTCTGTAGGTCAGTAGGTTTAAAATAGTTTTACTTTATGCCTCTTGATGACTGGAAGTGGAATTGGTAAGGTTGTTACTAGCATCTAGTGCTGAAAGGCTAGAAATGCTGCTAAATATCTTAAAATCTAGAGTCTTAGGCACCTTTGAGACATTAACAGTGTTGAAGCATCTTTACAGAAAATTATTTTTAAAAGCACAGTTTCAGAACACTTTGATTTTATATTTTTAAGATTTCTTAACTCAATCTTTGCTTTCTGTAAATCAGAAGGATTTTAGGAAGCTTTTGTAAAGTTCTGTTGATTCAAGTTAGGGTAAGTGTTAGCAAAGTGAGGTCACTTCAGTTAATCAATGGGTAGAAACTAAAGCATATATTTCTTTTTCTCCCCTTTTCATTCCAATTACTTTTAAAATATTTCCATAAAATGCTAATATAGCAAAATAAAACCCTAAGCCACCTCTGTTTTGGGGTACTGAGGGAGAAAACTCAATCAGTGGCTTCTAGGATAGAACTAATCTTGACTACAGCTGGAAGACATACATAATACACATGCACACATGTGCATTGGCACACTCCATTATGCACACACATTCTTCATATTTATCATATGACAAATATTAAATGTGTCTTATGACACAAAAGTTGCTAAGATATTACAATAAGCAAGCCAAATGAAAACTAAGATTTCGAAGAATATGCCAGTGTTACAGAAATCGTGCTTTTGCTAAAGTTGTTGAAGAGACTTAATACTCAAGTACCTTCTTCTGTTTAAAAAATTACTTGATAGAAGATTGCACAGTGGGCATCTTTGATCATAATAACTTATGCTTTGTCTTGTTTTAAAATAACCCAAAATAAACACATTCAGAAAAATTTATATTAGAAAATAAGATAAAATAAAAACAAATAAATGAGGAAATTGCTGTAATATAAAAATATAAGGAATATGAAAAATATATACATTAAGATAAATCCAAAAAGGAGGTTTGTTCATACAATGTCAAATCTTTTACGTTTGAATAAAAATTTGTTTCAGGACCTTAGCAGCTAGCAGCAACATAGTAGTTAACCACATTTATAGTGCTCAATTAGTTTACATGTGGAGCATATCATATATGAGGAGTTTATTAAGTATTAACTCTTACACGAGCACAAAAAGCTGCCTACAAGCTGAGCAGTGAAGAGGGCCAGTTTGAGTCCCAAAACTGATGAACTTGGACCTCAATGTAAAAGGGGAGGAAGCATCCAGCATGGGAGAATGATGTGGGCTTGGAGCTAGGCCTATTTCTCCTTTTCACATTTTTCTGCCTGCTTTATATTCACTATAAGCTGATTATATTGTGCCCAGTAGATTAAGGTAGATCTGCCTTATTCAGCCCACTTACTCAAATGTTAGTTTTTTGGGGGAAACACCCAATAAACACACCCTGGATTAGTACTCTGTATCCCCCAATCCAATGAAGTCAACACTCAGTTTTAACTATCACAACTCCACTTCTTGTCAAGTTGAACCCATACACATCTCCTAAGATCATACATAATCTTCAAATAAAGACAGTAATGAGGTCATAATTACACCTAACATAATACAACTATCCTTTGTACAACCAGGAGCATCCCAATCCTCAACCCAAATACTATTATGTAAAGTTAAGAATACTTCAGTACTAATGTGAGGCCAATGAATCTTATGTCAAATGATAAAGAAAATGAAAAATAAAGGTATTTGTACATGTGTATACAGGCACAAACATTTTTTTAACAAAAGGAGGAACTACTTAGGGCAATTAAAGTCCTCATTTCTGCAGCTGGTCATGTGGTCATAGCTGGTATTGATGACCACCTTATTCTACCAACTTTTCTGTGTTTCTTTTGCCTTCAGCAAGCACCTAAGCAGGTGTTGTTTGTTCTTTTTTCTTTTCTTTTTTTTCCTGGTGGAGTGACCCAAACCTTAATTCCCGAAGAGTCTGGACCATTTGTATTCCTGTCATGATTAGGCTGCTGTAGTTATCCACTGACCTTAATCACAGGGCATGTTAATATTAACAGGCACCCTGATGGATTTCCTATATTACATGCTTACTCTTCCTTGCCTCCACTGTAGAGTAGTAGACTGATTTTATCTTGATAGTTCAGGTCAATCACCACAGCCAAAACTGTAACTCCTTTCTTAGCATGATAGCTGAAAAGTAGGAGGATCCCAAAATGCTAAGGGGGCAATCTTAACTTCCAGTTTAATGGAATCATTCAATGGATCCCATTCAGGATGATGAGAAACATGGTGAGACCAGTGAATTCCATAATCAGAAGCCTACTGCCACAATTCTTTAGTCATAAAGTGGGTGCCTTGGTCAGAGCCAATGTTTTGTGGAATAACATGATGGTGGATAAGGCATTTTATGAGTCCACAGATGGTAGTCTTGGCAGAAACATTGCATGCAGGATAGGAAAACCCATATCCAGAATAAGTGTATATTACTTTGAGTACTAACCTCTTCCCTTTCCATAATGGAAGAGGTCAAATGTAATCAACATGCCATCAGGTAGCTGGCTGATTACCCTACAAAAATGGCACCATATTGAGGGCTCAGTGTTTGTCTCCATTGCTGGCAAATGGGGAATTCATCAGTGTCCATACCCAAGTCACCCTTGGTAAATAAAAGTCCATTTTGCAGAGCCCATGCATAACTTCCATCCCTGCCATCATAGACGCTTTGTTTATGGGCCCATTGGGTGATGACAGGAGTGGCTTGGGACAGAGTCTGAGTGGTGTCCACAGAACAGGTCATTCTATCCATTTGATAATTAAATTCCTTCTCTGCTGAGGTAACCTGCTGGTGAGCACTCACGTGAAACATAAATATCCTCAGTTTCTGACCACTCAGAGAGGCCCCTGCACATACCTTTTCCCAAAATTGCTTTGTCACCAATTTTCTAATCATGGTTCTTCCAAGTTCCTGATCATCCAGCCAAACCATTTGCTATAGCTAAAGAATCAGTATATAATCATACATCTGTTTGAAGTTCTGCCCATTGGGAAGATTTCCCTTTACCACTGTCTTTTAGGAACATCCTAAAAAGGAGCTGTAGTGCTGCAGCTGTCTAATTTCAGGCGGTGGCTGCATATTGTGCAGAACCAAATGGAACCTGGCCATAGTCTTCTCTCATTTTGTCAGTTGATCATAGGGAAATCCTCTTGAGACCATGATTGCAAGTTGAAGGAGAAAAGGCAGGGTGGCAGGAGTGGAGACATGGACTTTTGATCCACTTCCTTATATAACTTACTTGTTCTTTCAGGACCTGTTCAAGCATGGTCACATATATGCCACTTCCATTTGGTGATGAAATGCTGCTGTGCACAACCCATTTTGTGGCTAGATGGTTAAGAAATCAAGCACTTCATGATAGGCCATTTAGTTCATATGGTGACTTGATGACCCATAGTCAAACGTTCAGTTTCCAACAAAGTCCAGTAACAGGCCAAGAGCTGTCTCTCAAAAGGAGAACAGTTATTTGCAGAACATGATGGAGCTTTTCTTCAAAACACTTGAGACCAATCCTGTGATTCACCTGTGGGAGCCTGGCAAGGCCTCCAGACAGCAACCTTATCTACCAATGATGCCTTAAGCACCATTAGATCTGCTGGGTCATATGGCCCAAGTGGCAGAGAAGCTGGCATGGCATCCTAGAACTGCAGCAGATCTTCCTCCTGTTCTGGACACTACTCAATACTGGCAGGCTTTCAGGTCACTAAATAAATGGGCCAGAGTAAGATACTTGAATGAGAAATGTGTTGCCTCCAATATCCAAATAGGTTCCCTAGACATTTTGCCTCTTTCTTGGTTGTAGGAGGTGCCTAATGTAGCAACTTGTTATTTACCTTATAACACCTAGAAATTTTACTGAGATAAAGTGTCCCTGAAATTTAGTCAGATTTATTTCCCATTCTCTGGTACAAAAATGTCTCATAAATAAGTCCAGTGTGTTTGCTACTTCTTGTTCACTGGGTAAAATCTGCATAAAGTCATCAATGTAATGGACCAGTGTGCTATCTTGCAGAAGCCAAAAGCAGTCAAGAGCTCTTTAAATAAGATTATGACACAGAGAGAGAGAGTTGATATACCCCTGTGGTAGGACAATAAAGGCATATTACTGGCCTTGCCAGCTGAAGGCAAATTGCTTCACGTGAGCCTTATGGACAGGAATGAAGAAAAAGGTATTTTCCCCAAGTGAATTATTGCATACCAAGTACCAGGAGATGTATTAATTTGCTCAAACAATAAAACCACATCTGGTACAGCAGGTACAATTGGAGTCACCATGCAGTTAAGCTTACGGTAATCTGCTATTATTCTCCAAAATCCATCTGTCTTCTGCATCAGACAAATGGGAGAGTTGTAAGAGGATGTGTTGCTAATTACCACTCCTATGCCTTTCAAGTCCTTGATGGTGTCACTAACCTTCACAATCTCTCCAAAAAATTGATATTGTTTTTGATTTACTATTTTTCTAGGCATAGGCAGCTCTACTGGCCTCCATTTGACCTTTCCCATTATACTAGCTCTACCCTACAAGTCAGGGAGCAAATGGTGGATTCTGCCAGCTGCTAAGTATGTCTATGCCAATTATGCCTATGCCAATTATGCATTCTGGCACTGGGAAAAGGACCACAGAATGAGTCTAGGGACCCATTGAACCCCTTCTAAGTCTGACTGAAGCTAAAACTTTATTAATTACCTGACCTTCATAAGGTCCTACTTTAACTGAAGGACCACAGTGATGTTTTTTGTCCCCTGGAATCAACATCAACTCATAGACTGTGTCCAGCAGTCCCTGAAAAGTCTGGTCATTTCCCTTTCCACATCAGGATACAATTATTCCCATTGTGTTTAAATTTGGTAGTTTAGTTACTGTAGTTTCCACCCTTAGATCTGACATACAGAGAAGAAAAATTACAGGCCTCTTCAAAGATGCAGGCTCTGATCTCACAAGTCTATTTCACAAGGGACTGATCAAGGGTGTATCTTTTGAACCCTCCCAACTGGGGTGAGTATGTCTAAAGTGACAAATCCACTCCACCATCCAAATCTCCCTAGGCCTTTGGATGTCTTCCTTTACATTAAACCAATAAAGAGCAGACATTTATAGCCCACTCACAGTAGGCCATCTTTTTATTTATATTTCATTTAATCAAGCAAATAAATTATTAGAACTTGTTTTAAACTCCTTGAGCTGCAGCTTTAAATGCAGAGAGCCTACTTAGTGAGCCCTGATCAATAAATTCAGCCTGACACAATTCTGGTTTTTTTTCCACTATTTTCTCATACCTATACTATCTGTTCCCATGCCTGTTCCCAGACTATTTATATACATTTGAAAACTCAAACAGTTCTTTTCATGTGTACCACACCTCCTCAGAGGTCACATTCTCAATCTCACCTCTAGGAGCCCACCAGAACTTTGTAGGGGTTCAGTCAGGATGGTGGGGAAAATTATAAGTCACAAACCTTCTTGCAAAGCCTGAAGGATTTTGTAAAAGTCTCAGGATAAGGTTATGGCTGAAGGCAAACTAATCCTTACCTTGAGTAGATAGGTTAAAGTGCATACAAAGGAAGGTAGGGTAGTTTATCTAACTGGCTTCTTTACTCATGTGGTAAGAAGACTAACTTTTGATCTACTGCAGGTGCTTAATTCCTTTCTACTTGGGAAGTCTGCAATGTCAATTACCCTCTAGTGGTGTTTACTCAGACCTTTGTCAATTAATCTTTACTGTACAGATGAAAGTCTTGCTGGCTGTTTGAGGCTGCAGTTGCAACTGTTTAGTGCATTCTGTGTGGATACTCTAAGTGGCCCAGATGCTTAGTTGAACTGACAAAGCAGAATATCTGTGTGTCAGTGTACTTTATTCATCCATCACTGAGTCAGGGTCTGCAAGACAGACCCCCACAGCCAGCACCCCCATGTGAAGAACATGGCAAAGGAGGTGCAATGGACCCCCTGAAAACAAAGGTTGAAGAAGACAGTGTGGTTAAGTCAGTAAAACAGGAAGTCATTGGTGTCCACTTGGGATTTCCAAGTTCGGAGGGGATTGGTCAGGCTGAGGTTTCATCATGGGACAATAGTTACCAGCTCTACAGAAACAGTATATAAAATGTTGAAATAGTTGCTTAATGCTACCAGAGCATCAGCTTCATGGACTCACTTAAGAAAACTAATGCAAACTACTGTCTCACATAATCCATGGTTCCCAGAAGAAGGAATGCTAGAGGTAGAACTCTGGTAACAGGTGGGGAGAAATCTTAAACAGCATGATGCACAAGGGCAATGGGTCCCAGTATCATCTTTAACACTATGGGCCCCTGTAAGGATGGCTTTAGTCTCATTATACACAGAAGAGCCTAAAAAGGGGAAGAAGGAGAAAACGTTACTTGCCGTATTGCCTCTCCTGGTGAATCAGGTGGCCAGGCAAAATATAACAGCTGATATGCTCCAGGGAAGGGGTCCTCATGCCGATGTGCAATAAAAACTAAATTTTGATCTCCAGGCTTATGCTGATGTCCCTCTGTGTGCTCTCAGGGCTTGGGACCAAATTCCTGAAAGCAGAATTCAGCAGGGATCTTTTGTAAATGTTTGACAAGGGCCTCAGGAGCCATTTGTTGAGTTTATCAATCAGTTAACCCAGGCAATTAAGAGACAAATTAGTCATGCCCAGGCCACTGATATCTTATCATTGCAACTGGTTTTTGAAAATGCTAATGTGGATCGCCAGCAGGCAATGCAGGCAATCAGAGGAAAGGCCACCACTGTTGGGGAGCTAATACCAGCATTTCAGCTGGTAGGAACTGAGATACACAAAGCCAAAATATTGGCTATGGCATTAAGGCCTCCTAAAGTGAAAAGGGAGAGAGATCAAAATTGTGTTTATGAGGAGAGTCAGGCCATATGTCAAGGGAATGTCCCCATAGTAAAGATCAAGGTAACTAAGGGAGAGAATCCACCTCTTTATGTCCCCGAAGTAGGAAGGGGAAGTATTGGGCAGATCAATGCAGGTCTAAATTTGATAAAAACAGCAACTCCATAAGAAACCATTCAGAAACTTCATGAGGGATCAGCTCCAGGCACCACTCCCAACTGGGGCAATGCCAGAAGCTTTCCTTGGTCAAATGGGAAGCCCATAGTCTTCTCTTTCAGAGCAGCCACAACTGGGAGCACAGGACTGGACTTACTCTGCCCCAGTGAATTAGTGCTAAAAGAAGAAGACTCTAAAAGTTTTGCAATTGGGATCTGGGGCCCGGTGCCTCTGGGAACAGTGGGGTTAGTCCTAGGGCAGTCTAGCCTACCCAGTCAAGGAATTAATGTGCCCAATGGGGTAACTGATAGTGATTATCAGGGTGAGATATTGGTTATGATGGAATGTAAAGGTCTGCATATTCCTCCCCCTGGATCAAAGATAGCTCAGTTACTGATTTTACCATACTGGGTCCTCAATGCCCATGGAAAGGAAAAGCGAAAGGGATGCTTTGGATGCACAGGAGCCATGAGAGTGTATTGGAATCAATTAATCACTGATCAGAGACCCATGATTACTTTTAAAAATTGGACATAAGAATTTTACTGGCTTATTGGGCACAGGAGTGAACATTTTAATCATTAGTGATCAGAACTGGCCAGAAACTTGGCCTTGGATCACTCAAAAACAGAAAATTTCTGCATCTACAAAGTGCACACAGCCAAGCAGAGCATGCTTCCCATAACATGCTGCGATTCTGAAGTAAGAACAACAGTTATACAACCTCTAATCATGCCCATCCTGTTAATCTTTTGGGGCAGGACCTATTAGCCCAGTGTGTGTGAGGAGATCACTCTGCATACCCCTTTATGACAATGGCCACTGTTGTTATTCCTCCTCTACCCCTGACATGTGTCTCTCAAGATCCGATTTGGGAAGAATAGTGGCCTCTGAAGTGAGACAAATGACAGAAGGCTCATGAATTAGTTGAAGAGAAATCGAAGGCTGGGCATATCAAATCTCTCACAGCCCCTGGAATTCACCCATTTTCGTCATTCCCAAAAAGTCTGGGAAATAGAGAATTTTGCATGACTTACATGCTATTAATGCTAATTTACAGCCTATTGGGCCCCTTCAACAGGGCCCCCCTTCCTCCACTTTGATTCCTCAAAATTTGCCTGTAATCATTATTGACTGAAAAGATTATTCTCATACAATTTCTCCAGGACAGAGAAAAAATTGTGTTTACCATATCAGCTATCAATAATGAAAAGCCAGCTTGTTGATTTCACTGGAAAGTGCTTCCCCAAGGAATGCTAAACTGTCCTACCTTGTGTCAGTATCATGTAAATCAAGCTTTGCTCCCTGGTAGAAGAGAGTTTTCTGATTGCAAGATTAATATTTTTATGGATGATATTCTACTTGCAGCCCCAATGGAGCCAATATTTTTAAATTTATATTACTCTGTCATAAAGCATACACAGCTAAGAGATTTAATCGTTCCACCTGAGAAAGGACAGATGTCTTCTCCTTGGAAATATCCTGGGTACATACTAACTTCCCTGTCAGTAAGATCTCAAAACATTAAATTAAATACTAGCAAGTTACACATCTTAAATGATTATCAAAAATTTCTGAGAGACATTAATTTGCACCACCCCACTTTGAAGATTTCTACTGATAAACTACAAAACCTATATTCTATCTTAAAGGGCAATCCAGCCCTAGATTATCCCAGATATTTAACCTCTGCAGCAAAAAGGGAAATCAAGGAACTAGAACTAGAACTACATCAAAAAGAGAAATCAAGGAAATAGAACTCGCCATCTCTCAGAGGCAGCTAGATCACATAGTCCCAGGCTTTATGGTACATGCTGTTTATCTTTCCCAGCAAACACTCCCCTAAAGGGTTAATAGGACAAATGGTCCCTGGGCTATTCTTCCTAGAATGGATTTTTTGCTCATATAATGGGACTAAAACACTATCTCCCTATATTTAGTTAATTACTAAAGTCATCTATTCAGGCTGCAAATGATGTAATAAGTGGCTAGGTTCTGATCCTGATGTCATCAGGATTCTTTTAACTAAAAAGCAATTTGAAGCAGTATTGCCATTATTGATAGATCTGCAAATAGCTTTCTCTGATTACACAGGACAAATAGAGCACATCCATCCTTCTGATCAACTCCTTCATTTATTATCTCATATGCTGGTAATTTTGCCCACAGAAAGAGGTCAATCCCCATACCTCATGCTTTAACACTGTTTACAGATGGGTCTGGTAAACATGGAAAAGCAGCAGTATGGTGGAGACCACACAATTCAATCACTTGATCTGGGTTTGCTAGCACTCAGAGAGCTTAGATTGGGGCTCTGCTACTGGCCTTGGAAACTTTTTGCACTCAGGCCATAAGTAGTGTACGTGACTGTGCATACTCTATTTACTACAAAACCTTGAGAGACCTTAATTAAGTCCACTCTGGGCCCAGACCTGTGTGCTCTTTTTCTTTGACTTTAGCAATTGCTTGATCAACATACATATCCTATTTTTATTACAAACCTTCGAGTCCACAGCTCACTGCCTGGCCCATTGACTTATGGCAATAATGAAGCAGACTTTCATGTTATGACATTACTGCTTAACCAAGCCACCCAATTGCATCAATTTTGCCACCAAAATTGGAGAAACTTATCTAAATAATTTCCACTTACTCACAGAGTGGTAAAAAAAATTATCCTACAATGCACAGATTGCCACCTCATAGGCACATTTCCTACTTCAACAAGTGTTAACCCTGGAGGACTAGAGCCTAATCAGTTATGGCAAACAGATGATACATACATCCCTGAATCTGGAAAACTAAGATATGTACATGTATCCATTGAGACCAACACGCATTTAATTAGTGCACATGCTCTGCCTGGAGAGTCAACTCAATATGTCATTAAACATATTCTTTTCACTTTTGCATTTATGGGCTGACCCACAAAAATTAACACTGATAATCTCCAGCTTATGTCAGCTCACAATTTCAACAATTTTGTCACACATGGAGCATCCAGTATTCCACCGGCAGGCATTCCATATAACCCCAAAGACAAGAAATAGTAAAACATGCCCACTCCTCCCTTAAAAATACGATCAAATAAAAGGGTGGGGGGAGTATGGGTAAAGACCCTTCAATGCTATTGGCATAAAACCTACAGTTTTATGGAAAGATGTAAACAGTAATGAATGGTGCAGTCCTAGGGAATTATTAACCTGGGGAAGAAGGTATGCTTGTGTCCACACCCCCTCAGGTCCTCTTTGGATTTCAGCATGACACATCAAACCATACCATGGCATGACTAGGACCCAACCCAGTATCAGGAATAAATGAGTGAATCCTGAAAGATCCACAGCCCCGGATGATGAAGTTAACATGAATGACACAAGTGCCAGACATTACCTGGGGGATGCTGAAGAGGACAACTCAGGTGGCTGAACAAATCCTCCTCCAGACATAGACACTATTTACTCCAGAAAATTTGTTTCTTGCCATGCGTTCTGTTTTTCATTGCAACTCATGTAGGATATTAATCCTTTTCATGCTCTCGCTTTGTCTGCAAACTGCACCTACTAAATTTATTGAGCTTATATCTTAAACCAGCCTTTTTTTCACCTGGGCAGACACTTCGTTTACAGCCTATAATAACATGACTCCTTCACTAGGAGGGATAGATTTACCCCCATGGCACCCCTCAATAATGGCACACATTGGACTAAGGTGCCAAATAATACTACATATCACTCCACTATCCTCCCACTGTGTGTAAGTTATAAAGGCCCTAACACTTACTGTGTACCTGCCCAAATACAAGTATGGCTACATCATGGCAAAAGAAATGCCTTAACATTCTTAGCTGCAGGAAGCCTTAATCCAGGCAATGCAATCAATGCCACTTTCCCAAACATTCCTTCCTGTACTAAAGAAAAAAGCCAGGAAAGTAATGGATTCCACTTTAGCTGGGAGGTCTGTCACAGGAAACAAGCCCATAGCTTCTGGTTAGGCAATTATAACATCCTAGACTTGAGCCCCCACCGCCTATTGCAGGGCAGTCTTACTAATGTCTTCTTCCATCATAGCAACAATCATAGTTTCATAACCATATATCTTTCCCCTATAATTTGGGCCAATGGGGGGATGGAATATTCCAGACCCCAAGTAAAGTCCATGACACCCCAAGTCACCTTATGGTGCCTGGTACATCTCAGCACCTCCCTTAACACTTGGCATGGTACCTATCATAATTCCAGTCGCAACCAGGTGCAGTGGCTCATGCTTGTAATCCCAGCACTTTGGGAGGCCAAGGAGGGTGGATCATGAGGTCAGGAGATTGAGACAACCCTGGTTAACATGGTGAAATCACGTCTCTACTAACAATACAAAAAAATTAGCCAGGCATGTTGGCAGGTGCCTTTAGTCCCAGATACTTGGGAGGCTGAGGCAGGAGAATGGCGTGAACCTGGCAGGCAGAGCTTACAGTGAGCTAAGATCATGCCACTGCACTCCAGCCTGGGCAACAGAGCGAGACTACATCTCATAATAATAATAATTATAATAATTCCAGTTGCAACTATACTATAACCTTTGTTCATAATTACACTGATTACTGCCTTTGTTCATAATCACACTGATTAGATATATTATGATCACCAATCACAATATATCTAATTTCAAAATTACTTGTTGTGGGAAGTCAGGGACCCCAAATGGAGGGATCTGCTGAAGCCATGGCAGAAGAACATGGATTGTGAAGATTTCATGGACATTTATTACTTCCCCAAATTAATACTTTTATAATTTCTTATGCCTGTCTTTACTGCAATCTCTAAACATAAACATAAATTCCAAAGATTTCATGGACAGTTATCACTTCCTTGATCAATACCCTTGTGATTTCCTATGCCTGTCTTTACTTTAATCTCTTAATCCTGTCAGCTGATGAGGGTATATGTCGCCTCAGGACCATGTGATAATTGCCTCAACTGCAAAAATTGTGAGCATGTGTGTTTGAACAATATGAAATCTGGCCATCCTGAAGAAAGAACAGGATAACAGCAATTGTTCAGGGAATAAGAGAGATAACCTTAAACTCTGACCACCAGTGAGCCAGGCAGAACAGAGCCATATTTCTCTTCTTTCAAAAGCAAATGGGAAAAATATTGCTGAATTCTTTTTCTCAGCAAGGAACATCCCTGGGAAAGAGAATATGCACCTGGAGGTATAGGCCTATAAATGGCCCCCTTAGGTGCTCCTGTCTCTTATGGTCAAGGCTGTAGGGGTGAAATAGACCCCAGTCTCCCATAGCACTCCCAGGCTTATTAGGAAGAGGAAATTACCACTTAATAAATTTTTGGTCAGACCATTTGCTCTCAAAACCCTGTCTCCTGATAAATTGCTGTCAATGACAATGGTGCCCGAAACTTTATTAACAATTTTAATTTCACCCTGGTCCTGTGGTCCTGTGATCTTGCCCTGCCTCCATTTGCCTTGTGATATTCTATTACCTTGTAAAGTACTTGATGTCTGTGACCCACACCTATTCGCACACTTCCTCCCCTTTTGAAAATCCCTCATAAAAACTTGCTGGTTTCTGTGGCTTGTGGGACATCACAGAACCTACCGACATGTGTTGTCTCCCCCAGATGCCCAGCTTTAAAATTTCTCTTTTTTGTACTCTGTCCCTTTATTTATCAAGCCAGCTGACACTTAAGGAAAATAGAAAAGAACCTACATGAATACTGGGGCAGGTTCCCCAATAATTACTAGTGTCATGGTATTAAGGAGACAATCTGAGGCATTCCTACCAGTCAATCTGACATGCAATTGGCAAAGTTCCTCTGCCATTTCCACCTTAGAATATGCTCTGTCCCAGGACAGACACAAAATGTTTACAGTTACACTTATGGCCTTTATATTCTCAGCCGTAGTTATCCTGGCAACTGCTAGCATTGCTGTTGCATCTATTACTGAGTCAGTAAAAATAGCTGCCTTTGTAGATAATCTGGCCAAAAATGTGTCTAATGAATTCTCTTTCAGCAAGATATAGATAAAAAAAATCCTTGCATGTCTGCGAGCCCTCAAGGCTACTTTAAAATATGCAGGGGAACGACAAGATCTACTGGCATTCTGAAAGCAATTAAGGGAACATAAACATCTCTATGTCACTTCTCTACCATGGACTTAATCTATACATTGCTGAGATGAGGTAGAACAGCATCTCTGGGGAACTTTTCATGACAATTTAACAGCAGTTTTAAGCCAACTTAAAACTAACATTTTAGAATCCCTTCACACCATAGACCTACACACACAACAAACAGCCACAAGGAAGGGTGTGCAAGATCATTTCTCCTAGTTAGACCCCCACTCCTGGGGGTCACACTTTGACTGGAAAAGAATGCTGCTAATTGTACTCATGATTGTTTTTTATTGTTTGCTAATTCTAAGATGCAAAGTTAGAATAAGAGTAATGACTGCCAGGACTGCCACACCTGACAGACTGGTTGCTGACATACCTATGCTCTCCAATTAAGAAAACCTGATGCAGAAAACAAAAAAGTGGGAGAGGTAGCAGATTGATCAAGATGGTGGGGACAATTATAAGCCACAAACCTTCTTGGAAAGCCTAAATATATTTGTAAAAGTCTGAGGATAAGGTTATGACTGAAGGCAACCTAATCCATACCTTGTGTAAATAGCTTAAAGTGGGTACAATGGAAGATAGAGTAGTTTACCTAACTAGCTTCTTTACTGGTGTGGTCCTAAGACTAACCTTTGATCTAATACTGCAGGTGCTTAATTGCTTTCTACTCAGAAACTCCACGATGTCAATTACCCTCTAGTGGTGTTTACTCATGAGCTTTGTCAATTAGTCTTTACTGAATAAGTACCAGTCTCATTAGCTGGTCAGGACTGTTTACAGCCCCTGGTCACAACTGTTTACAGCACTCTGCATGGAGTCTGTAAGTGGCCCAGATGCTCAGTCGAACTGGCAAAGCAGAATATCATGCATCAGTGTACTTTATTCATCTGTTGTTGGGTCAGGGTCTGTGGGACAGACCCCTGCAGAACTTGAGTCTAGTTATAGGTCTAGAAGTAAACAGAGGTGTCAGGGTGGATTCTGAGGAGAATCAACATTATAGTGCCCGGCAACTGACTCAGGGGAGGCCATCACTGTTGCCTCAGCTAGCTCAGGCTTTATATCTTCAGACAGAAATGGAAAGGCTGAAGGCAGCATGTACCTCTTTCTTTCTTGATGCAGAACAACAGCTTTAGTTCTGTTGAATGCCAGGGCTGAATGACCTGCAACACAAACAGGGATAAAACTTGCCCCTTGCTCATCACATTGTGGAAGACAAAGATAAGAGGAGAACGGTGACCTTTCAGACCTAAGGGCTGGCTGTGACACCTTCTTTGGGACTTTGCAGTTTCTGGAATCTCCATGCTTCTGGGCACCACTACATTTCCCAGTATCAGCTGTGGAAGCTGCTTACAGTATTCCTGTTCCAGCTGCAGCTTCTCCTTTCACTGGTACTTTTGTTGGCACCTAACACTTTCTGCCCTCTCACACCTGGCAAGCCTGGCTGTGTTTTGTGGCTGGAGCCCATGCTTGCTCATACACCACTCACCACACACTCATGCTTGCCCTTGGCTGGTGTTAAATCTTGGCCCATAATGGAAGCTGAGTGCAGCCCGTCAGGCAGACTGGGTAGAACAAGCTTAGCAGGTCTGAGCAAAACTCAGGCACAAGCACCATTGGCCATAAAGGATTTCATCTGGCAAAATGACTCCCCAAAAATTCCATGATAAAAGAAGCATAGCTAGTTGTGCCTTACTTCTCTTGGATCTTGAAATACAGATAATTCTGTGAACTACATTTTGGTAGTTTTAACCTTATTAGGAAATTATTATTACATTTCAAAATTTTTAAAAAATCAAATTTGAAAGTTGGCATTAGCATTGAACCACCTGATCCCTCTTACACAGAAATATATAATGTGAGAATATGTTTCTGAACTATATGGCATTGGGCTTCAAGTTAGCATCTTTCTAGGAGATTATGAAGCTTCTTGAGGAGACAGAATTTCTGATACCTGGACTTTGGCATTTTGTACTCATATAATTTTGTGGGGGAGAAGCTTTTGCTGTGCATTGTAGGATGATTAGCAGCCTGGGAAGCCTGAGCAGCCTTTCTGGCCTTTTCCACTAAGTGTAATAGTGACATCCTTTTTCTGTGGTTGAAATACTCAAATACGTTTGTGTCTTGTGGAAGCAGAACTGTTGACAGTTACAATTCTACAGAGTTCTGAAGAAGAAATTAAAAAAAAAAACACTTTAAAAATTTTTTCAATGGCTTCTCATGGTGGCTCACACCTGTAATTCCAGCACTTTCAGAGATCGAGGCAGGAGGATCACTTCAGATCAGGAGTTTCAAACCAGTCTGGCCAACATTGTTGAACCCCATCTCTACTAAAAATACAAAAATATACATAAAAATAAAAAAAACTTAGCTGGCACCTGTAATCCCAGCTACTTGGGAGGCTGAGGCAGGAGAATTGCTTGAACCCAGAAGACGGAGGTTAGAGTGAGCTAAAATTGCCCCACTGCACTTCAGCCTGGATGACAAGAACAAAACCCATCTCAAAAAAAGATGAAATTTTGCAGAAATTTTATGTGAGATCTCATTTTTCTCTTACTTTTACTAATTACTAGGGAAATGCAAATCAAAACTGCGATGAGGTATCATCTGAGGCCAGTCAAAATGATGATTACTAAAAACCCGAGAAACAATAGATGGTAGTAAAGCAGTGCAGTAATAGGAATGCTTTTACACTGTTGTTTACAGTGTAAATCAGTACAGACATTGTGGAAAAGTGTGTGATAATTCACCAAGTGTCTAGAACCAGAAATACCACTGGACTCAGCAATTTCATTACTGGGTATGTAGCACTCACACACACAAAAAAGTCATTCTATTTTAAGACTACATGCATGTGTACGGTTATTGCTTTACTGTAGCAAAGACATGGAATTTATTCAAATGCCCATCAATGACAGAATGGATAAAGAAAGTGTGACACATATACATCATGAAATTATATGCAGCCATAAAAAGGAAGGAGATCATGTCCTGTGCAGGGAGATGAATGAAGCTGGAAGCCATCATTTTCAGCAAACTAACACAGAAACAAAAAAACAAAGACTGCATTTCCACCTTCTTATGAGGGTCTGAAGTTTGAAGACACATAGACACAGGGAGGGGAATGCCACATATCTGGTTATGTCATGGGGCAGGATAAAAAAAGAGCTTCAGGACAAATAGCTAATTAATGTGGGGCTGAATACCTAAATGATGGATTAATAGGTGCAGCGAACAATCATGGACATGTTTATCTATGAAATAAACCAGCATGTCCTGCATATGTACCCTGGAACAATAATAAATAAAATTATAAAAAGCAAAATTAAATAAATTAACTAAAAATAAAAAGGCTTTCTTTTTGTACAGGTGATGTTGGAGTAACTTTGAAATGTGTGTCACACATAATTTAAGACATTTTGTTACTACAAGTCAGAGTTGTCACAAACTTAGTTAATTGAATTTCTTTTCTTTTATTTTTAGAATGGAATCTCACACTGTCCCTTCGGCTGGAGTGCAGTGGTGCAGTCTTGGCACACTGAAATCCCCTGGTTCCCAGGTTCAAGTCATTATTCTGCATCGCATCTTGATACCTGAGATTGCAGGAGTGCACCACCGCAGCTGATAGGGCCTATCACCATATTGGCCAAGCTTGTCTGAAGCTTCTGACCTTTCTTGGCCTTCAAATGCGCTGGAATTACAAGTGTGAGCCACCATGCTAGTCCCTTCATTGAATTTCTAATTGAGAAAAAATCCCTCTTGAAAACTTTAGTTTTTTTATATCATATTTTTGATGAGTTTCTTTATATGTTTCATAATTCAAGAAAAATAATATAATTTAAATTCATTTTCTTTTTATTGGAAATAAATTTATTTCAATTAATATATAGTTAACAGAGAAGATTAATTTAGAATGTTATTTTTCTTTTGGATAAAGTCAGATTTCAGAAATTTTAAAAAATCTAACTTGGGAAACTAATTACGTTTATTGATTATGGTCACTTTTTTTAGGATTGGCTTCTGTAAGAAAATTCAAAATTGTTTCAAGATATAATGAGATGTTTAATTTTGTCAAATAAACTTTAAATGTATTTTCTTTGAAAAAAACATATTTTCTTAACCTATGTTTTCTACTAATAAATGTGATAACTTTTTCTAACTCACTAGAAATTAATTAATGTTTTCATTTTCCCTGCATCAAAAATTTACTTGCAATATATAAGAAGTAAAGAACTGCCAGCAGAGCAGGTGGTTCTAGCATAGCTCACACGCTACGATCAATGCTGGTTTTCAGCTGCTTGTACCACGAGTTATTGGCTGTCTAAAAAAACCTCAAAAAGATAGTAGACTGACTGAAATACATTACATAGACAAAGCAATAACTAGTGGGTATTTTAAATTATAAAGCTGCTTTTGCTCACTAATAATAGTTTTGTTTAAAATTCTATTTTTTCATTTAGAAAAAATTAACTCACGGGTTTTTTGTTTTGATCAAGTTTAACATTCTGTAGCCATCAGGTATATAATTAAAACAATTTAAGTCAGAGAATATAAATTTTTTAAAAAATATGTATTTCTTAAATGCTCCCCTATATTTAGTTTTGGTAACTTGCCACAGTGAGTTTTATTTAATCATATGTGAAAAAAATATTGAAACTTTAGAGTAACAAGTGAACTTTAATGCTACAAAACTTTATATTTAAAGTGTATTCATTAAAAAGATCTTCTAAATCCAAACATTGAAGTTACTTAATGTTATTTTAGTTAAATTCTAAGAGAGGTATAGCTTTAAAAATCATAATGTGAGAAGAGAACCTTTGATTGCACTTTATTACTTCTAAATGTTCACATCAGTCTAACAAAGTGACTAGCAATGTTCAAATCTTACACAGAACTCAAAATCAGGGAGGGAGGTAATATAAGTAAATTAACAAATAATAACATACAATTTAGTTTATTTCAAGAGAAAACTGAGGGTTAAGAATATAATTAGCAGCATTCCTTACAGATTTTTAATTGGTAAATGTTAATTTTTTATATTTGTTTATT
This sequence comes from Homo sapiens, assembly GCF_000001405.40. Lineage (NCBI taxonomy): Eukaryota > Metazoa > Chordata > Mammalia > Primates > Hominidae > Homo > Homo sapiens. The sequence continues at coordinate 71,014 of NW_025791821.1, read as the reverse complement.
TTTTCTCTGAGTATATTTTCTAGCACATTGCTGTAGTTTCTAGCTGAACTCACTGCTTAAGAGGACAGATATTTATTTGTCTTGGGGGCTCTATGTAGACAGCAGAGTTTTCTGCTTGAAAACATCTTTTTTGTTAATTTATGTAACAATTGCATTGACATCATATATATATGAATGAATATATGTACATACATACACATATGTATATATACATACATATATACATATATACACACATATGTCTGTGTATATATCCACATATATGTGAAAAAATATATGTGTGAAAATGTGTGAAAAATATATATATGTGTAAAAATATATATGTGAAAAATATATATGTGTGAAAAATATATATGTGAAAATATATACATAAATATAAATTATATATATATATATATATATATATATATATATATTTTTTTTTTTTTTTTTTTTTTTTTTTTTTTTTTTTTTTGAGACAGAGTCTCACTCTGTTGCCCAGGCTGGAGTGCAGCGGCGCGATCTCGGCTCACTGCAAACTCTGCCTCCTGGGTTCACGCCATTCTCCTGCCTCAGCTTCCCGAGTAGCCGGGACTACAGGCGCCCGTCACCACTCCCGGCTAATTTTTTGTATCTTTAGTAGAGACAGGGTTTCACCGTATTAGCCAGGATGGTCTCGATCTCCTGACCTCGTGATCCGCACGCCTCGGCCTCCCAAAGTGCTGGGATTATAGGCATGAGCCACAGCGCCTGGCCATAAATATATATTTGAAAAAGAAATTTTTCTTAAACCACCATTCCTGTTGTTAAACTATTTAGTCAATGTTTTCTTGTGTTTAACATACATTTAAAAATGTACAAGAAGATGGCCGGTAGCGGTGGCTTACGCCTGTAATCCCAGCACTTTGGGAGGCCGAGAGGGGGTGGATCACGAGGTCAGGACAGCGAGACTATCCTGGCTAACGCGGTGAAACCCCGTCTCTACTAACAATACAAAAAATCAGCCAGCGTCGTGGCGTGGGCCAGCTGCTAGGGAGATTGAGAAAGGAGAATACCATGAACCCAGGAGGCAGAGCTTGCAGTGAGCCGAGATCACGCGACTGCACTCCAGCCTGGGCAACAGAGTGAGACTTCGTCTCAAAAAAAAAAAAAAAATATATATATACACACACACACACACACACACACACACATATATATGTGTATATATATGTATATATGTATATATATGTGTATATCTGTATATATATGTGTGTATATATGTATATATGTATATATATGTGTGTATATATACATAGACACACCCACACATATATATGAATGAAGATGTGTATTAAAAGTTATTGACTTGCAGCCGATATTATATTTCTTATGCACAGATTATTTCTGCATATATACTACTCCATACATATAGCTTCTTTAAAGAAAGAAGTATGCAATATAAAATATTGCTAAATTTGTTTTATACTTAGTCACTCACGTGTCAATATATGAAGATCCATTTGTTTTGTAGCTTGCAGTTCAATGTGCTCCAAAATATGCAGTACACCACTAAGATGGATTGATGTGTAAGTTGTATTCAGTTTTACACAGAGAAGCATTTACAGTTCTTACAGTGATTTTTAAATACACCATCTCAACGACTTCATCTCACAATAAAACTGTGAATATAGACAAAGCAATTTTCACTATTTGCTGAAGAAGAAAGCAGAAATGTATGTGAAGATTATAGTTTTTATGAGTCAGAAAAATAATTTTAAATGAAGTGCTCAATTAAAACAGAAAATTCTAATGTTTTATTTATGTAAAGTTCTGATGACAGTGTTTTGAATACACTTACAGTGCACAAGTTTTTATAACTAAATTAATGATTAAAGCTAAGTCTGCGTTTAACACATGAAAATTTAATATTATACCATCTTACATGATTCTAAGAAAATGGTTACAGAAGCAATGTCTTTAAAAATGTTTACTTAACAAGTCTGTAGTAAAGGGCCTGTATAGTGGCTCAAGTTGCTGATGTAAAAGTTTAAAGTACTCTTTCAAAATTTCTGTCTTAGCCTGATAGAATGAATTTACCCAGCCTGATTAAGAGAACAATGGACAGAATCATTATTTTTGTAGCATAAGCATTTTTTTTCTTATCTCATCTTGTGAATCACTCAGTGTGTAGGAGTATCTGTCCCCTGTTGGGCCCTACCCACTAAAAGGATTTGTGGGATTCAAGCTGGTACTACCTGTCACATTAATTCTGTGATCTAGCAACTATACATAATCACCCTTGTCACAAACAATATTTCTGTAACTGAAAACACAGGTAGTGATACAGACAATTATGGTTCAAAGATGAGAAACAAAATGTGAGGTAAAAATTATTTTAAAAATATTCTGATAGCAGATACAGTTGTTCATTCTGAGATTACTGTGTTTTCACGAGATTTTTTCAGAACTGCATTTTGATGATACGGCTAGAATGTCTGCAATACCATCACTGGCATGTTTATCGCTTTCATTATCTAACAACTTGACAATATAGTTGATAATATTTATCACTTTTTTTCTTTATTTTCAAAGCACAGTTGATATAATCACATATGTATGATACGGTAAATGCAATTCAGTATGTGAAGAATTAGAAATCTTTATTTTTAATAATCATACGCATCTTTTTTTAAGTATTCTGGGTTTTTTTTTAAACTTTTATCCCATCTGTGTTAAATAAGTTGTGCTTATTTTTAGGATTCTATGTATATTTTTCTAAAATTAGGGATTTCTCTGCTACAGAAAAAAATTTGCTTTTCTAATAATGCTACGTAGACCTGTTAGCAACATTATATAACAATTACAATTAGGCTGCTAAAAGTATAAAAGCATTTGGTTAAAAATAAAAAATATCTGTTGAAAATAAAGCAGCATGCCAGGTGCTGTGGCTCCCGCCTATAATCCCAGCACTTTGGGAGGCCGAGGCGGGCGGATCACGAGGTCAGGAGATTGAGACTATCCTAGGTAACAGAGTGAAACTCAATCTGTACTAAAAAAAAAATACAAAAAAAAAAAATTAGCTGTGTGTGGTGATGGGCTCCGGTAGTCCCAGCTACTCAGGAGGCTGAGGCAAGAGAATGGTGTGAACCTGGGAGGCGGAGCTTGCATTGAGCCGAGATTACGCCATTGCACTTTAGAATGGGCAACAGAGCAAGACTTTATCTCAAAAAAATAAATAAATTAAGTAAATAGTACATAAATAAAAATAAAGCAGCAAAAAGTCACGTTTTAGTGGCAGATCACATTTTTAAGATATAGCTATTAAATAGGTGAATATAGAAAACTTGAATTTTGGAAATGTTTACACTCAAGTTGTTTACCATTCATTTATATTTTTCTATAGATATTGATAGAAATTAAATAGAGAAATTTGAATAATTAAACTGTAGTAAATGAGTCTTAAATTTCTACATTTCTTTCCCTCAGTGGTTAGAAATAGTTTGCCTTTCAAATAACATCTCAGCACTTTTCATTTATGAAGACTATAAAAAACACTGCCTTACTAGATTGAATAGATTACACCACGCAGTAATTACAACCTGGGAAGCATTCCTTTTACTAGAATCTCCATATGGGATGTTCGTTAATACTTGGTTAACAGAAACTATTGGACAAAAAAGTAGAATGTAAGTCCTGATACTGAAGCCCCTTTTACCCCTCTGGTTCTGAATTTAAAATAGATAGAGATTGCTAATTATACTGACAAGAAGTGAATGAGGCAGATAGAGTATAAAATTCAAATTAAGTCCCGTACCTTTGTGCTTGTTTGGTTGCTTTTGCTTTATGTTGTCTCAGCACTTTACTGTGGCATGCGTGTCTGCCTAGTTGCTTTTTCTATGGGATGAACTTCCTCAGGCTATGAACTGGATATTGTTTATTTCTGTATCAGAAGCCTCAGAAGAGCAAAGCATGTAGAAACATGTTAGATATCTGTAAAACAACTATATTTTGCTCTGTAGCTACAAGAAAATTATGACCTTTGGAGCTTCTGTGTAAGTGTTTCTTCCACAACTACTCTTAATAGCCATATTTATTGAGTTGTAATAACTCTAAATACATCACATAAATTATATAATCTGCAAAAATGCATTATGCTCACAAGAAGACACTGAATTCTTGGAGAACGAAGTAACTTATTCCTCATAAGTTATTTATGAGAGACCACAGATTAGACTTTAATCTTTAATGAATTGCAGGTTATAATTGCTATTATTCTATTATTTCTAATGATAACTTTTCTGTGAACTCTTTATGATGGTCCATCTGTGAAATAAGTACTAATACTAAATATTAAAACCAATAAGTTTTTTGAAAATAGTATGAAAAAATGCATATAATTTTATTAACCAACTTTTGGTGTTTATTTCAACTTCTTTCATTATACATTTAACGTTAGATTAGTGCCTCACTAATGTCTTCCGGTCTCTGGAGATCTCCAAGATGATGTGTTTAGATATCATTATAAATTTGAAGAGAAACCAGCACTAAACAAGACAGAAGATAGGAAAGTGTACAATATTGATCTCCTAAGACAATTTCAGGTCATCTTTTACATTTAGCTGCTTTCTGACTACAATATTGTACCCAGAAGTTTTTGGAAACAGTTTATGTAAATTATGGGTAAGATATGATAAAGTCATCTGTACACTAACTAAAATGTTTAAATATATCTTAAAATACATAATTTATTAGGTGTTTAATATTTAAACAGTAATATTCTAGCTGTTTCTCTTGGTCATTTTTATTAGTATTGTCCCAATTGAGAGAGGTTAAAATTTTCACAGCAAAGACAGACAGTGTATTTTTTATATCTCATGATATAATTAACTTCTTATTATTAGATTTATAAATTATATATAAGCAAAATACTGAAATGTAGTCATCTCATTGATTTAACAGTTCTCTAATAAAGCAAATGCCAAGTATATTGTTTTATTTGTATAGATATTTTAATGCATCTCTAAAGTTTAAATTTAAGAAGATGGCCATGGTGCTATTATCACACATAATAAAAACTACTTTATAAGCTTGGGCAATGTGGCAAAACACTGTCTCTAAAAAAAATACAAGAATTATTCTGCTGTGGTGGTATGAACCTGTAGTCTCAAGTACTTGGGAAGATAACATGCCATTTTATTCACTACCTGTTGGTATTTGTTTAAACTTCCTTTATCATACTTTTAAAGTTAGATTAGTGAATCAATTATGTCTTTTAGCTTCTAGAGTAATATTTACGCTTGATATTATGTATAATAATCACCTCAAAGATCAACATTACTCATCATCAAATAGACGTTTTTATTATCAAATGAACATTTTCATCACTGACAGGAAACTACCTCTTCCTAGCCATGTAAGAAAAAGAAATAATATACTTATATATAAATATACAACATATAACTTTATATAATATACATAATTTTGCAAGCTTGTAAAGTAATCATATAGTTTTTGAGCCACGTACAAAAGTGACCAGTAATATTTGGTCCATTTTTACATTTGAAAAAGCTCATTTAGGCCAGGCACTATCACTCACACTGGTAGTCTTGGCACTTTGTGAAGCCAAGGTAGGCAGATTACCGGATTATAGGAGTTCATACCCAGTCTGGGCAACATGGTGATATCCCGTCTCTATTAAGATTCAAAAAATTAGCCGAGTGTAATGGTCTGCATCAGTAGTCCCAGCTACCTGGGACAATGAGGGGAAAACATTGCCTGAGCTGTGATTGTGCTGCTGCACTTCATCCTGAGCAATGAAGAGAAGTCACCCCCCGACCCCCAACACACAGCTTCATAACATCTTGATTTTGTTTTCTTTGTTTCACTCATTTTATCAAGGCCTAATTTGTGGCACGTATGATAATAAACACTGTCACACAACTTTTAATCATATACCGTAGTATATAGCTCTTTCTAGTTTGTAAAAAAAAAAGCTGCACTCCCTCATAAGAGTTTAGTGTTCTTTCAAAAAAGTGCTTACTAGATAGATCAGAGGTAGGAAGCAAAAGAGATATTCTGATTTCTGGGCTGCCTTCTGTTTCACTCACAGCCCCTCCCCTTCCATTTATTAGTGTATCACTTAGATTTCTTTTAAAAGTCTGTATCACACCTATAATGCACTGACTCCCCATTATATCTCTCAGTTTAATTTTCTAGATTCCATAGCTAAACTGTAAGCCTAGGTTATAAGTATGATTTGCATATATAGTTCTTATTTACCTATTTTAGTTCTATAGCCTCACATGTGACTTCCTCTTCTTTTCAAGTATGTTAACAATTTATTTTTATCAGCGTTCTCTACTTGAAATATTGTTTTCTGCAATCTAGGCCATATTCTGTTCTTGTTCTTTCAAATTATTATAACACTTTGAGTTTAGTCTTCAAAACTTTTACTCAAGTATTTATGTGTGTGTGCATCTATGTGTGATCGTTTGGAACAATTTGGCACCAGGGACTGTTTTTGTGAAGGATAATTTTTTTTTCCATTCATATTTTACTGTCACAACCCATTTTTAAAATACAAGTTACATCTGTTCTATTTGGTAAATACTGCCTTAAGTACACTGCTTTAAAATTGTGTGCAAAACACAACTTTGCCTATTGAATACTCTTTGCCATTAATTTCTCCCATAAACAGCCAAGCAGTCAGGCACTTTTTTTTTTTTGACATCGAGTTTCACTATTGTTGCCCAGGCTGGAGTGCAATGGTGCAATCTCGGCTCACTGCAACCTCCGCCTCCCAGGTTCAAGAAATTCTCCTGCCTCGGCCTCCCAAGTAGCTGGGATTACAGGCATGTACCACTATGCCTAGTAGAGATGGTGTTTTACCATGTTGGTCAGGCTGGTCTTGAACTCCTGACCTCAAGTTATCGGCCCACCTTGGCCTCCCAAAGCGTTGAGATTACAGGCGTGAGCCATTGTGCCTGGCTGTCACTTCTTTTTTTTTTTATTATACTTTAAGTTTTAGGGTACATGTGCACATTGTGCAGGTTAGTTACATATGTATACACGTGCCATGCTGGTGCGCTGCACCCACTAACTCGTCATCTAGCATTAGGTATATCCCCCATTGCCATCCCTCCCCCCTCCCCCCATCCCACAACAGTCCCCAGAGTGTGATATTCCCCTTCCTGTGTCCATGTGATCTCATTGTTCAATTCCCACCTATGAGTGAGAATATGTGGTGTTTGGTTTTTTGTTCTTGCGATAGTTTACTGAGAATGATGATTTCCAATTTCATCCATGTCCCTACAAAGGACATGAATTCCTCATTTTTTACAGCTGCACAGTATTCCATGGTGTATATGTGCCACATTTTCTTAATCCAGTCTATCATTGTTGGACATTTGGGTTGGTTCCAAGTCTTTGCTATTGTGAATAATGCTGCAATAAACATACGTGTGCATGTGTCTTTATAGCAGCATGATTTATAGTCCTTTGGATATATACCCAGTAATGGGATGGCTGGGTCAAATGGTATTTCTAGTTCTAGATTCCTGAGGAATCGCCACACTGATTTCCACAATGGTTGAACTACTTTACAGTCCCACCAACAGTGTAAAAGTGTTCCTATTTCTCCACATCCTCTCCAGCACCTGTTGTTTCCTGACTTTTTAATGATTGCCATTCTAACTGGTGTGAGATGGTATCTCATTGTGGTTTTGATTTGCATTTCTCTGATGGCCAGTGATGATGAGCATTGTTTCATGTGTTTTTTGGCTGCATAAATGTCTTCTTTTGAGAAGTGTCTGTTCATGTCCTTCGTCCACTTTTTGATGGGGTTGTTTGTTTTTTTCTTGTAAATTTGTTTCAGTTCATTGTAGATTCTGGATATTAGCCCTTTGTCAGATGAGTAGGTTGTGAAAATTTTCTCCCATTTTGTAGGTTGCCTGTTCACTCTGATGGTAGTTTCTTTTGCTGTGCAGAAGCGCTTTAGTTTAATTAGATCCTATTTGTCAATTTTGTCTTTTATTGCCATTGCTTTTGGTGTTTTAGACATGAAGTCCTTGCCCATACCTATGTCCTGAATGGTAATGCCTAGGTTTTTTCTAGGGTCTTTATGGTTTTAGGTCTAACGTTTAAGTCTTTAATCCATCTTGAATTGATTTTTGTATAAGGTGTAAGGAAGAGATCCAGTTTCAGCTTTCTACATATGGCTAGCCAGTTTTCCCAGCACCATTTATTAAATAGGGAATCCTTTCCCCATTGCTTGTTTTTCTCAGGTTTGTCAAAGATCAGATAGTTGTAGGTATGCGGCGTTATTTCTGAGGGCTCTGTTCTCAATAAAATACTGGCAAAACAAATCCAGCAGCACATCACAAAGCTTATCCACCATGATCAAGTGGGCTTCATCCCTGGGATGCAAGGCTGGTTCAATATACGCAAATCAATAAATGTAATCCAGCATATAAACAGAGCCAAAGGCAAAAACCACATGATTATCTCAATAGATGCAGAAAAAGCCTTTGACAAAATTCAACAACCCTTCATGCTAAAAACTCTCAATAAATTAGGTATTGATGGGATGTATTTCAAAATAATAAGAGCTATCTATGACAAACCCACAGCCAATATCATACTGAATGGGCAAACCTGGAAGCATTCCCTTTGAAAACTGGCACAAGACAGGGATGCCCTCTCTCACCACTCCTATTCCACATAGTGTTGGAAGTTCTGGCCAGGGCAATTAGGCAGGAGAAGGAAATAAAGGGTATTCAATTAGGAAAAGAGGAAATCAAATTGTCCCTGATTGCAGACGACATGATTGTATATCTAGAAAACCCCATTGTCTCAGCCCAAAATCTCCTTAAGCTGATAAGCAACTTCAGCAAAGTCTCAGGATACAAAATCAATGTACAAAAATCACAAGCTTTCTTATACACCAACAACAGACAAACAGAGAGCCAAATCATGAGTGAACTCCCATTCACAATTGCTTCAAAGAGAATAAAATACTTAGGAATCCAACTTACAAGGGATGTGAAGGACCTCTTCAAGGAGAACTACAAACCACTGCTCAAGGAAATAAAAGAGGATACAAATAAATGGAAGAACATTCCATGCTCATGGGTAGGAAGAATCAATATCGTGAAAATGGCCATACTGCCCAAGGTAATTTACAGATTCAATGCCATCACCATCAAGCTACCAATGCCTTTCTTCACAGAATTGGAAAAAAATACTTTAAAGTTCATATGGAACCAACAAAGAGCCCGCATCACCAAGTCAATCCTCAGCCTAAAGAACAAAGCTGGAGGCATCACACTACATGACTTCAAACTATACTACAAGGCTACAGTAACCAAAACAGCATGGTACTGGTACCAAAACAGAGATATAGATCAATGGAACAGAAGTGAAGGACAATTTTTTAAGACTGTGGTTGCAGGGACAGTTTGGGGAAGACTCAAGTGCCCTACATTTATTATGCACTTTATTTCTATTATTATTACATTATAATATTTAATGAAATAATTATACAACTCACCATCATGTAGAATCAGTAGGAGCCCTGAACTTACTATCCTGCAGCTAGACGGTTCTATCTGGAGGTGATAGGAGACAGTTACAGGTGATAAGGCTTTAGATTCTTATAAAGAGTGCAAAACCTAGGTTTCTCACATGCACAGTAAATAGTAGTGTTCTAGCTACTATAAAAATCTAATTGATGCCAAGGATCTTATAGAAAGTGGAGTTCAGGTGGTAAGGTGAACCATAGGTAATGGTTTAACTAGAGATAAAGCTTCCGTGCTTGCCCACCAATCACCTGCTGATGTGTGACCCAGTTCCTAACAGGACACAGGTGGGTACTGCTTGGTGAACCCTACCTTAAGCCAAGGAGTTTGAGATCACAGTGAACTATAATTGTGCCACTGCACTGTAGCCTGGGTAACAAAAAAAAAAATAAAATAAACAAACAAATAAACTGTCTATACAGGGAAAATAATGTAAATAATACATTTTTAGAATTTGTTTCTTTAATAATATGTTTTGGTAAAATGTGAAGAATCATTTACAACTTTGAATGTGGACGTTAACAAACATAAAAATCTTCTTGATTATTTGGAACAGTATATGAAATGAAGGTGCAAATGTATATTATTGTAAAATGTGATATAAAGTATATTTTGTTCAGTTTTCAAAAAAATAATGATGTCATTGAACAGAATCAGAAGACATTAGAGTTGTTTGTGCTTATCCTCAAAATTAACATCTGCTTTTTCTTTACTGCTTTTCTCTTTACTGTTTTAGTGGTATCAGAGAGGTAATCAAGATGATAACGGGTTTAAAGGGAAAGAATATTGACAAAATACAGTGACTGACTAGAAAAAAATCAGCCTTATTAGGTGAATAATTTTAGATATAAAAGGATCTCAAAGATTGTTTTCATCTCTACTCTAAAATAAATTGCAATTTAGTGATTGAATCATGAGGAGTTAATAGAATAAAACATTTTTTTTCTACTGTAGATACCTCAGAAGTAAAAAAGTTTCTTAACTTAATGTGGTTACAACAGATTTTAACACCCACTTGTAGTTTCACAAACAGATTTTAATCTCTAGGCCTAACCAGCTGATTTTATCTCTGCACAAATTGATTGGGAGAGGAAATGGTAAAATGTCCTTGAAGATGTTATATGTTAAGTAACACATATGTCTTTCTTCACTTTCATAACTTCTCACCTCCAAGCTTTCTGCATTGTTTTGAATTTAGCTGCCATTTAGATTGTGGTTTGTTTATAAAGTCATCCTTCCTTCTATTCACACCTCTGAGACTTGGAACAGTTTATTTTTACCCTTTCTACCACTTTTTTTTCCTTTCCTTTCCCTTTCCTTTCCTTTCCTTTCCTTTCCTTTCCTTTCCTTTCCTTTCCTTTCCTTTCCTTTCCTTTCCTTTCCTTTCCTTTCCTTTCTTTTCCCTTCCCTTCCCTTCCCTCCCCTCCCCTCCCCTCCCCTCCCTTCCCTTCCTTTCCCTTTCCTTTCCTTTCCTTTTCCGTTTTTTTGAGACAGAGTCTCGCTCTGTCGCCCTAGACTCTGTTGCCCAGGCTAGAATGCTGTGGCACAATCTCGGCCCATTGCAAGCTCGGCCTCCTGGGTTCATGTCATTCTCCTGCCTTGGCCTCCCGAGTTGCTGGGACTACAGGCACCTGCCCCAACACCTGGCTAATTTTTTGTATTTTTAGTAGAGAAGTGGTTACTCCATTTTTAGCCAGGATGGTCTCGATCTCCCAACCTCCTGAGCCACCTGCCTCGGCCTCCCAAAGTGCTGGGATTACAGGTGTGAGCCATGCACCCTGCCCTTTCTGCCACTCTAAATCCACACATTTAAAATAATTATATATAGTTATTACCTTTTTATAATTAGTGAGACCAGCCTGGCCAACAGGGTGAATCCCCATCTCTACCCAAAATATGAAAATTAGCCAGGCATGGTGGCAGATGCCTGTAATACTAGCTACTGGGGAGGCTGAGACAGGTGAATCGCTTGAATCCTGGAGGCACAGGTTGCAGTGAGCTGAGATCCTGCCATTGCACTCCAGCGTAGGTGAAAAGAGTGAAACTCCATCTCAAAAAAAAAAAAAAAAGACAGTGAGGATTAAATTTATTAATATGTGTGCAGCTCTTAGTGTATTACCTGGTCTTTAAGTGCTATAAATATTAGCTGCTATTATTATTGCTTATCATATATCTTCAGTTTACTCACACCAAATTCTAATTAATAGCATAAAAGAAAGCATTAGAGGAATAAAACAGATAGTAGTGGCTATATGGAACCACATAGCCATCAGGGTCTGTGTCAGTAATGTTTTCCAATTTGCAACACATAAGTGACCTTTTACATCCACAGGTTCTGCAAACACAGATTTCTCTAAACATGTATTAAAATGTCCAAAAACAAAAAATAACAATACAATAAAAACTAGCAAATTTAAAAGCAATTACAATATAATTGTCTACTTAACATTTACATTTTATTAATTATTTAAGTTATTTAGAGATAAGTAAACTATACAGAAGGATGTGTGTATGTTATATTTACGTACTGCACCACTGTTCATTAGAAACTTGAGCAGACACAAATTATAGTAATCATGGGGATCCTGTAGCCAATCCCCTACAGATGCCAAAGGATTACTATATATAAACATTTTAAGCTTTGGTAAGTAAGCATTGCTTAAGTTAGTTATGACATAATTACCCTGCTGGTGTTAACTATCATTTACTCGTCTGTATAAACTAGATGAGAAAGACTATAATTTTTTTTGAGACGGAGTCTCGCTCTGTTGCCCAGGCTGCAGTGCAATGGCACAATTTCAGCTCACTGAAACCTCTGGCTCTCAGGTTCTAGCAATTCTGCCTCAGCCTCCTGAGTAGCTGGGATTACACGTTTGCACAACCATACCCTGCAATTTTTTTTTTTTTTTTTTAGTTGAGACTGGGTTTCACCACATTGGCCAGGATGGCCTCAATCTCTTGACCTCGTGATCTGCCGGCCTTAGCCTTCCAAATTACTGAGATTACCGGAGTGAGCCTCCGCGCCCAGCTCAAAAGATTATAAACTTTAAAATTCTCATTACATTGTTTTAATGTCTGCGCAGGTAACAAGAGAATATTTGTTTATATTCTTTGTTTATGGTATGTTAACACAGGAAAGCACTTGCTATTTAAAATATTCCCTTTTGGTTTTGCAGCCAACTCAAACAATTTTAATATGTCTGGGAAAATGTACAATTATATTCAGTGATTATTTTTAATTTCTCTGGGACCTGGATATGGGACCTTACACAGTAGCAATGCTGATCAAGCAAGTAGTGGGAATTATTATTATTTTATTTATTTATTTTGAGACAATAGTCTTGCTCTGTAGCACAGGCTGGAGTACAGTGGTGCAATCTTGGCTCACTGCAAGCTCCACATCCCAGATTCATGCCATTCTCCTGTGTCAGCCTCCAGAGTAGCTGGGACTACAGACACCTGCCACCAAGCCGGCTAATTTTTTGTATTTTTAGTAGAGATGGCGTTTCACCATGTTAGCCAGGATGGTCTGGATCTCCTAACCTGGTGATCTGCCCGCCTGGGTCTCCCAAAGTACTGGGATTATAGGCATGAGCCACCGTGCCTGGCTTATTATTCTTGTATTATTCAAAGATGGTAGCCAATGACTCAGATCACTGGTATAAATTTGATGATGGAGATGTAACAGAATTGAAAATAGAAGATGATAAAGAAATTTAAAAAGTCAGTGTTTTGGTGGAGAGTACACAAATGTATTTGATTACACACTGAAGTGCATGTCATAGAGATGAGAGAAGAGATGGTGAAATGCTTGTGTACTTATTTTTAATAAGCAAATGGACATGATAGATGAAGGTGATGAGATGGTAAGATATATATTATGACTAACTTTTGCAATACCACATCACATCATTACATCACCAGCCATTGAGAGAAGTGTATAGAAACAAAATGTGAAATTTATCCATAATGGAATAAAAGTATTTACATTAATCGTGTTTATTTAAATCCTGCTCAAGGTAAGCTTTTAGATTAGCTTCTTACTAATAAAAAATAATTTGTGTTTGGCTTGCGTGATTCCTTACAAAGCATCAACATGTGTTTACTTTTTTTCTTTAGGCTTCATTTACCTTTTCTTATCGAATCATTAGCCTTAATTTATGTGAAAGTGTTTCTTTTTGGTTTAGTTATTTAAAGTGTAAAATGTAATATATCTGTACATTAGAATAGTGGTACTTAATATATGGATATATAAAAGAGCATTATTTATAATAATAATTATTACTTTCTACTCAAGCACTAGTTTGCAGTATGGGTTAGTGAAGTGGTAAGTAAATCACTAAGAATTAGTGTTAACTAACAAAAATTTTATTTAGAAAGTGCTTGAAAATACAAATGTTTTTGACTGTATATGTATTTTTATTTGAAGAGTAGAATTACTTTTCTGCCTAAAGCACAAGAAATTACTATGATTAGTATACAAATTGCTGGTATATTCCACATCACCACTGGATTTCACACCAAAAAAAATAGTTTGTGGTCCTGCCAGTGACTTGTACATGGCTTTGCATTTCATTCGTAGAGTTCTTACAATTGGTTTGGTTCTCTATTATACTGCTTTACATTTTCCTAACCATAAAAATATTATTTCAAATTTTAAATACACAATAAACATTTTTGTAGTAATTGTGAGAGAATTCTTAGTAAACTTAAAAATCTCTAATCTAAATGTGCATTTATTATTTAAAAATTGGCTCACATACCAATAAATTTGTATCACATCATGTTCTACTTTATCATTACATAAGAAGCTTTATCTCTACCAGATAAAATTTTAACTTATAGTTAAAAATGTAGATCATTTTTAGACCAGGTTTTGTGGCTTATATTTGTAATTCCAAAAATAGTAAAGGTCAAGGCAAAAATAACCTTGAGGGCAGGTGTTTGTAACCTGGTTTGGCAAAATAGTGAAGTACCATCTCTACAAAAAGTTTTTAAGAATTAGCTAGATATGGTGGATCACACCAGTAAACTTAGCACTATATGATGCCAAGGTGGATGGATTACCTTAAGCCTAGATTTTGAGGCCTGCCTCAGCAACATTTCAAAATTCCGTCTCTAACAAAAAAATTAAAATAAATAAACAAATTAAATAATTAGCTGAGCCTACTGTCCTCTTCCTGTAGACCCAGCTCATTGGGAGGCTAAGGCAGCAGGATAACATGAGCCCATACGTTTGAAGCCGCAGTTAGCTATAATTGCACCACTGCATTCATTCCAGCTGTAGCAATAGAGACTTTGTCTCTTAAAACAATTAAAATGACTGTAGTCTTAGCTTAGCAATAATTATAAAAGTATAGAGTACATTATAACTTGATTTAACAACTCTTTCAGCATTATGTTAAAATATGTTAATAAAGTGTTACTGAACTAGAAAAAGGTTGATAAGAATTTTCAGAGACCTACACACAATTGTATTTGATTTACATCTTTGACTTGACTGTGAAATTAAAGTCACAGAGCTTTATCAGTCAATCTGATATTTGTACTGTCTTAGTCCATTTTCAAGCTAAAGACATATGCTAGACTGGGCGATTTATAAAAGAAAGAGAGGTTTAATGAACTGACAGTTCCACATGACTGGGGAGGCCTCAGAATCATGATAGAAGGGAAAGAGGAGCAATTAACATCTTACACAGATGGCAGCAGGCAAAGCGAGAGCTTCTGCAAGGAAACTGATGTTTCAAGCCATCATATATAATGAGACTTACTCACTGTCACAAGAACAGCACAAAAAACATCTGCCCCCATGATTCAATTACTCCCCATCTCATTCCTCCCACCACATGTAAAAATTCAAGTGGGGTGGGGACACAGTCAAACCATATCATTCCAACCCTGGCCCCTCCCAAATCTCATTTCCTCACATTTCAAAACCAGTCATGCTTTTCCAATAGTCCTGCAATGCCTCAACTCATTGCAGCACTAACTCAATAGTCAAAGTCCAATATCTCATCTGAGACAAGGCAGGTTCTTTCTCCCTATGAGCCTGTAAAATTGATAGCAAGTTTGTTACTTCTTAGATACAGTAGGGTACAGGCGTTGGAAAAGTACAGCCATTCCAAATGTGAGAAGCTGACTGGAATAAAGGGGCTACAGCCCCCATGCGAGTCTAAAATCCAAGGAGGCAGTACAATCTTAAAGCTTCAGAATGATCTTCAAGAGCTGGGTTCCCATGGTCTTGTGCACCTGCACCCATGAGGCTTTGCAGGGTACAGCCTTCCTCCCAACTGTTTCCACCAGCTGGCATTCAGTATCTGTGGCTTCTCCAGGAACAAAATTCAAGCTGTCAGTGGATCTACTATTCTGGGGTCTGGAAGATGGAGGCCCTCCTGTGTCCAGAATTGGTGGGTTCTTGGTCTCACTGACTTCAAGAATGAAGCCGCGGACCCTCGAGATGAGTGTGACAGTTCTTAACGGCGGCGTGTCCAGAGTTTGTTCCTTCTGATGTTCAGATGTATTTGGACTTTCTTACTTCTGGTGGGTTCATGGTCTCGCTGGCTCAGGAGTGAAGATGCAGACCTTGGCAGTGAGTGTCACAGCTCATAAAGGCAGTGTGGACCAAAAGAGTGAGCAGTAGGAAGACTTATTGCAAAGAGCGAAAGAACAAAGCTTCCACAGTGTGGAAGGGGACCCGAGCAGGTTGCCACTGCTGGCTCCAGCAGCCTGAGTTTATTCTCTTATCTGGCCCCACCCACATCTTGCTGACTGGTAGAGCCCAGTGGTCTGTTTTGACAGGGCACTGATTGGTGGGTTTATAATCCCTGAGCTAGACACAAAGGTTCTCCACATCCCCACTAGATTAGCTAGATACAGAGTGTGGACACAATCATGGACTTAGCCTTAATCATTACAAGTTTACTTACTATAAAACTTTTGGGCCTAAAATAAGTGTATTTAATTAATTGTCATCAGAACTTTATATAAATAAAACATTAGGGTTTTCTCACTTTTAATTGAGCACTTCATTTAAAGTTATTGTTGTGACTCATAAAACTGTAAGCTTCACATAAATATCTGCTTTATTCCTCAGTAACTAACAATAATTTCTTTGTCTTGCATATTTAAAATCACTGTAAGGACTATAAATTCTTCCCTACTTTCTGCAAAAGGTAATACAGCTTACACATCAATTCATCTTAGAGATGGATTGCATAAATTAGAGCACATTGAAAGGCAAGTTATGTAGCTACAAATCAGAATGAAACAGATCTTCATATACTGACAGGTGTTTGACTAAATACAAAACAAAGTTAATAATGCTGTATATTGTATATTTTCATTTGTGTAAAAAATAAACAAATAGTTACATGCATGGATTAGTGCACATACAGACATAATCTCTGGACCAGGAATATAATATTGGTGGCAAGTTAATAATTTGCAGTACATATCCTCTTATGTATTTGGAAATATATTTTAACCCCATAAAACTGTTAGCTAAATAGTTTAACAACAGCAGTGTTTGTTTAAAAAAACTCTTTTGAAAATATGTATTTACTATGTCAATACAATAGTTAAATAAATTAAGAAAAAGGTGTTTTTCAAAAGTAAACTCTTTCCTCTACAAAGAACCCACAAGACAAATAAAGATCTGACCTTTTAAGCAGTGAGTTTAGCTAGAAAATCCTACAATGTGCTAGAAAATATACTCCCACAGATAAAAATATAAATATAATTTCACATTTACTAATTAAAGGTCTATACTGAATGCTGCTGTTAATTATATATTTAACATTCAGTTTTCTCTTGAAATAAACTAAATTTTATGTTATTCTTTGTTAATTTACTTACATTACCTCAAACTTGTTTTAGTTCTGTGTAAGATTTCAACATTACTACCCTCTTTGTGGGACTGATGTGGTATTTAGAAGCAATAAAATGCACTCAAATGTTCTCTTCTCATATCATGATTTTTAAACCATAACTTTCTTAGAATTTAACTAAAATAACATTAAGCAACTTCAATTTGTGGGTTATGAAAAACTTTTTAATGCATACATTTTAAATATAAACTTTTTATAGTATTACATTTGATTCCTCATTACTCTAAAGTTTCAGTATTTTTTCACATGTGATTCAAACAACTCACTGTGTTAAGTTACCAAAGCCAACTATAGGGGAGCATTAAATAAATAGATATTAAATAAATTGTACTCTCCGACTAAAATTGTATTAATTATGTACCTGATGGCTACAGAATGTTAAAATAGTTGACAAAAAACCATGAGTTGGTTTTATCTAAATGAGAAAATAGAATTTCACACAAAACTATGATTAATGAACAAAAGCAGCTTTAATTTAAAATACTCACTAGCTATTGTTTTGTCTGTGTAATATATTTCAGCCAAACAGTCTACTGTCTTTTTAAGATTTTTTTACACAGCCAATAGCTGGTGTTACAAGTAGCTCAAAACCAGAATTGATGGTGTTTGGTGAGCGACAGACTGGAACAGCCAGCTCGGCTGGCAGTTGTTTACTTCTTAAATATTGCAGGTGAACTTTTTATGCAGGGAAGATGAAACAATCAATTAATTTCTAGTAAGTCAGAAAAAGTAATCACAGTATTATTTGTAGAAAATATAGGTAAAAAAATTCTTTTCAAAGAAAATATTTTAAGTTTATTTGACATAATTAAACATCTCATTGTATCTTGAAACAAATTTGAACTTTCTTACATAAGCAATTCCTAAAAAAAAACCAAGTAAAATCAATAAATGTAATTATTTTCCCAGAGTAGATTTTTAAAGAAATTTCTAAAGCCTGAGAAATTTACCCAAAAGAAAAATAACATTCTAAATTAACCTACTCTTTTAATTACATAAAAATGGAAATAAATTCATTTAAAATATAAAAAGGCATTAAAGCTTTATTATTTTTCATGAATTATGAGATATATAAACTCATAAAAATATGATATAAAAATAAATTTTTGCAAGATGTATGTTTTTCTCAATTATAAATTCAATCAAGTGCCAGGCACGGTGGTTCACATCTGTAGTCCCAGCATGTTCTGAGAATAAGGTAGGCAAATTACTTGAGGTCAGGAGTTAGAGAAGAGTCTGTAGAATATGGGGAAACCCCATCAGCTGTGGTTGTGTCCGCCAGTAATCTCAGCTAATCAAGGGGCTGAGGAAGATAAATCACTTGAAGCTGTGAGTCAGGTGGTTGCAGGGTGCCAAGATTGCACTCTGCACTCCAGGCAAAGGGGCAGTGTGAGATATCATTCTAAAAATAAAAGGGAAGAAATTCAATCAACTAAGAATTGAAATACACTATTTACTTTTCAATGCAGTTTGTCAAAAACTGATTTGTAATTATTTTTAAAAAAATATCTTAAGGCTCGGTGTGGTGCCATGCACAAGTAATTCAAGCTATTCAGGAAACTGAGGCAGGAGAATCACTTGAACCCAGGGGTCAGAGATTGCAGGGAGCCAAGATCGCACCACTTCACTCCAGTCTGGCAACAGAGAGAGACGCCATATTTAAAAAAAAAAAAAAGTCTTCAGTAAAGTGTGGCACATATTTAAAAGTTACTATAAACTCTACAAAAATAAAAGCCTTCTTATTTTTAATTTTATTTTATATTAAATTCCATGGTACACATGCAGGACATGCAGGTTTATTTCACAATTAACCACGTGCCATGGTTGTTGACTGCACATATCAACCCATAATATAGGTAGTAAGCCCCGCATGATTTAGTTATTTATCTGAGTCTCTTTTTTCCCCCCTGGCAGACCCAAGTATGTGTTCTTTCCCTCCCTGTGTGTATGTGTCTTCAATGTTCAGTTCCCATGCATGAGTGTGAACATGCAGTGTTTTTTTTGTGTGTGTGTTTTGTTTCCGTGTTAGCTTACTGAGGATATTGGCTTCCTGCTTCATACATGCCCCTTCACAGGACATAATTTCATTCCTTTTTATGGCTGCATATAATTTCATTGTGTATATGTACCACGCTTTCTTTATTCAGGCTGTCGTTGATAGGCATTTGGGTTAATTCCACGTTTTTGTTACTGTGAATAGTTCTGTAGTAAACATACATATGCATGTATCCTTGTAATAGAATAGCTTGTTTTTGGAAGAGTATATATCCAGTAATGTAATTGCTGAGGCCAGTGGTATTTCTGGTTCTAGATACTTGATGAATCATCACACACTTTTTCACAGTGTGTACTGATTTGCATTCTGAACAACAATATAAAAGTATTCCTATCATTGCACTGCCTCACTATCATCTGTTGTTTCTTGGCTTTTTAGTAATCACCATTTTGACTGGCCTCAGATGGTGTCTCATTGCAGTTTAGTTGTGCATTTCCCTAATAATTCATGATGGTGAGCTTTTTGAGATAAAGACCAATAACTCTTTTCTTACCCAAATGTGGCCTCTTATATCAGCTCTTCAACATCCATTTAACCTGTGTTTTTAACACTATCCTGCAAAAGGAAAAGTATTATAGGCTTAACTTACATGATGATGATAGAAAATTACAGGATGTTAGAACAGCAAAGACTTAGAGAAAAGTGAGATTTCATGTAAAATTTGCGCAAAATTTTTAAAAGCAAGTTCTTATTTCTTCTTTAGAACTCTGTAGAATAGTAAATTGCATCAGTTTTGTTTCCACAAGATACAAACATACTTGCGTATTTCCACCATGGAAAAAAAAATTTACTATCACACTTAGTCGAAGATGCCAGAAATGCTACTCATAATCCTACAGAATGCAGCAAAAAATCCTCACAGAAAGAAATTACATGAGTACAAAATGTCAAAACCAGGAATAAGAAATTCTGTTCCATCAGTAAACTTTATAATCCACCAGAAAAATGCCAATCTGAACACCAATGCCACATATTTTAGAAATATATTCTCACATAATAAAAAGAGTAAGAGAGTGTAAGTAAGAGAGATCAGGTGACTCAATGCAAATGCAAATCTTTCAAATTTAATTCCTAAAAAAATTGGAAATATAATAATTTCCAAATAAGGTTTAACAATATCAAACTGTGGCCAGATGAGGTACTTTATGTTTGTAATCCCAGTGCTTTGGGAGGCTGAGGTGGGTGGATCATGATGTCAGGAGTTTACCACCAGCCTGACCAAGATGCTGAAATCCCACCTCAACTAAAAATACAAAAATTAGCCAAGTGCGGTGGCAGATGCCTGTATTCCCAGCTACTTAGGAGGCTGAGGCAGGAGAATCACTTGAACCCAGGGGGCAGAAGTTGTGGTGAGCCGAGGTCACACCACTGCACACCAGCCTGAGTGACACAGTGAGACTCTGACACACACACACACACACACAGACATACACACACAATTTATCTACCTATCAATCTATCTATCTACGTATCTATATCTCACATTGTAAGACACTCAATTATCAATATTTCAAGATCCAGTAGATGTAAGGCATTTAAACACAAGTAGCTATGCTTCTTTTGTCTTGGAATTTTGGTGGAGTCACCTTGCCAGATGGAAACCCCTGTGGCCAGTAGTGCCTTTGCCTCAGTTTTGCTAAGGCCTGCTAAGCTTGTTATACGCACTCTGCCTGAGAGGCTGCCTTCCCCTTGCATTATAGGCATGGATTTAACACCTGCCAAGGGCAAATGTGGCATAGAGTGGCAAGGGGTGTATGAGCGAGTGTGGGCATCAGCCACTACACATAGCCAGGCATGCCAGCTGTGGCAGGGCAGGAAATTTTAGGTGCCAAGAGAAGTGCCATCTCACTGAGAAGCTGCAGCTGGATCAGGCATTCTGCAAGCAGCTTCCATAGCTTATACTAAGGAATGGAGTTGTGCCCAGAAGTTTGAAGATGCCAGAAACTTCAAAGCCCTAAAGATGTCACAGCCCTGGCTTTGAGAGTGCCTAGGTCTGTGCACCCTGAAGGGTCATAGCTCTCCTCTTATTTTTGTCTTCCACAATGTGATGAGCAAGGTATGTCTTTTTTCCCCCAGTTTGTGTTACAACTCTTTCAGCTTCACCATTCAGCTTATCTCAAATAATTGCTCTGCCTTCAGGAATAAAGACGTAGATGGACAATTAAAGAGTGTGCAATGTAAAGAGAAGCTGTACTGAATGAGAGAACACAGAAAAGCCCCTCACTGGGTAGCTCCTCCACACAAGCCAGATGTCCTGATGAGTGTCCAGCTCTCAGCAAAGAGAGTGGGTAGCTCCTCTCTAAAGGCAGGGTGTCAGTGATTACCATCCAGCTCTCAGCAGAGAGGAGAAACTGGAGCGGGTATCTTCTCCATCCAGCTAGTCATCTTGCCCAGTTTTAAGCTCCGTGCAGAGAGAAGGCTCTGCAGTGGGGAAATCCTCATATCTGGTGGTCCCAACATCTAAGCTTTCAGCATAGAAGAGATCTTGGAGTAGGTAGCTTATCCGTTTATCTAGCTGCTCCATTATCTCCCTAGCTCTCAGCAAAGCCTGTGGTGGGTAGCTCCAGTGTGCTGTTGAAAGTTCTGATGCCTCCTTAGCTCTCAGCAGAGAGAAGGCCCTTCAGTGTGTCGGTCCTCTCCACAGCTGCTTGGTAGTCTGTCAAGTCTTCCAGTGTGGCTGAATCCAGTAATTTTACATCGTTCAAAGAAAATAAAGTGCTTGCTGATTGGATTATTGGGCAGCAATTTCTTTAATAAAAGTAAATTTACTTTTTATTAATTTAAAAGTAAATTTAAATAAAAATTACTTTAAATTTAATTAAAAGTAAATTTACTTAATAAAGCAATTTACTTAATAAAAGTAAAATCATTTCCCATTCTTGTCCATCAGCCTATGCCCCAGACTTCAAGATGTCACTGCTTGAAGGTGGAGCTTCGGTGGGGAGCAACAAATTTATGCCCAGGAGCCTGTGATGGTTAATACTGAGTGTCAACTTAACTGGACTGAGACGTACAGAGTATTAATCCTGGGTGTGTCTGTGTGAGTGCTGCCCAAAACAGATTAACATTTGAGTCAGTGGGCTGGAGAAAGCAGATTCAACCTTAATCTGGAGGGCACAATCTATCCAGCTTCCAGTAAACATAAAACAGGAAAAAAACGTAAAAAGGTGAGATGGACTAACCTCTTGCCTACATCTTTCTCCTGTGCTGGATGCTGTCTGCCCTCACATGGCTGACTCCAGGTTGTTCAATTTTGGTACTCAGTTTGGCTATCGTTGATTCTCAGCTTGCTGACAGCCTATTGTGGGACATTGTGATCATGTAAGTTCATACTTAATAAACTCTTCTATAGATATTAGTTCTGTCCCTGTGAAAGAATCCTGACTAATAAAGATTTTGGTACCAGAAATGGTTCTAGAGGAACAGAACATTAAAAATAAAGTTCTTTCATTGGTTTTGGAGGTTCTGAAGTTGGCTGTTTAATATAATTTGATGCAAAAAGTCTGTGGACTCTGCTTCTAATAATATGGAGAACACTGATAGTCCTTGGTGGAAACCATTTAGAGACTTATGCAAAATAAATGAATTTGGCACTCCTGATTCACTGATTGTGAGAATCAAGGAGTTTAGTGGTTCTATACATAATACCTTTGACCATATGTGGAGAACCAAAGAACACAGTGAAGCTGCTTGGTAGCTCCTAAGTTCAGTGAACAATATGATGAAAGAAAATGATGAACTGAGGGATACTGTCTCCCAACTTCAGAAGCAGATACTGAGGCTCAAATCTGCCAATTTTGCCCTGAGTAAGAATCTTATCATTTGTAGAGCAAGAGCTGAAACTGGAAAAACAGACACAGGCTCTTATCATGTAAGTCACTGACCTGCAATAAAAGATGCATGCACAGCCTCACCAGGTGTCTACTGTTATAGTGAGGGCATGGATTGAAAAAGAAACGGACCCTGTAAATCACAATAGGGATGTGTAGAAGAACCCTGATGAATCTGGTGACAGTGAGTGGTTAACTCTGATGAACTTTTTTTTTTTTTGGTGCCAGAAAGAATGGCTTCCTCATCTCAAGAAGTGGCAACATCCCCTTTCTGATCCACACTTCCATCAGCCTTTCCAACTCTGTCTGAAGAAAGAAACCCTGCACTGGCTGAGACAACAGTGTTTTCCACCCCTGAGGCAGTTTCTAGGAAAGATAATATGATTTCTCCTCAGAAGCCATCCCCAACACCTCTGTTTGTTTCTAAACCTATAAGTAGATTAAAGTTCTGGTGGGCTCCTAGAGGTGAGGTGGAGAGTGTGACCCATGAAGTGGTGTGCTACACTCAAAAAGAACTGTTAGAGTTATCTCATTTATTTGAACAGAAATCTGGAGGACAGGCATGGGAATGAATATTAAGTGTAGGGGATAATGGGGGAAGAGGAATCATGGAATTGTATCAGACTGAATTTATTGAGTAGAGCCCACTAAGTAGGGAATTTGCATTTAATGTTGCTGCTCAGGTAGCTAAAAAAATTCTAATAGTTGATTTGCCTGGTTAGCTGAAATATGGATTAAAAGATGTCCCACTGTGAGTGAGCTGGAAATGCCTGGTCTTCGTTGGCTTAATGTAGAGAGAGAGATCTGGAGGCTTAGGGAAATTGGGATGGTGGAGTGGATTCATCTCCTTAGACTTTACTCATTCCACTTTGAAGGGTCCAGAAGAGATACCCTTTACCAATGCCTTGTGAAATAGATTTGTGAGGGAAGCACTTGCATCTGTGAATAGCCCTGTAATTTCTCTTCTGTGTATGTCAGATTTAATGGTGGGAAACACAATCACTCAACGGCAAAATTTAAATACGATGAGAAAAATTGGATCCCCAGGTGGCAGGGGCCAAGTGGCAGTACTCAACCATCAAAGGCAAGGTGGATGTAACTAAGGGAAGTGGCAATTACAATAATGTGACTCCTATGGAGCTCTGGCATTAACTAATTAATCAAGGTGTTCCTGGAAGTGAAATTGAGAGAAAGCCTACTGCATTCACACTTAAGTTAAACAAACAGATAACTTTTGGGTCAAATAAAAAAAAGATTACTTTAAATTATAAAAGCAGTGAATTGCAGCCCCCTCCCCAATCAGTTTCCAAACTACAGCCAGTTTAAAGACCAAGAACCCCTTGAAAGAAGGAGAGGCCAGTTTCCCTTGAGGAACGACCCCACTACATTACTGACAATATAAGTGTGATCCTACAATTAAAGTAGGAGCTTATGGAGGTCAGGTAATGAATGGAGATTTAGCTTAGGTTGGACTTACAGAGTGTCCTATGGGTCCCAGGACTCATCTTGGAGTCATTTTCCCAGTGCTAGAATGCATAATTAGCATAGACATACTTAGCAGCTGGCAGAACCCCACATTTGCTCCCTGATGTGTAGGGTGAGGGCTACTACACTGAAAAAGTTCAAATGGAAGCCAATAGAGCTGCCTATACATAAAAAATAGTAAATCAAAAACAATATCACATTCCTGAGAGGACTGCAAAGATTAGTGTCAACATCAAGGACTTCAAAGATGCAGCAGTGGTAATTACCAGCACCTTTTCCTTCAACGCTTTCATTTGGACTGTGTAGAAGACAGATGGATCTTCGATAACAACAGTGAATTATCAAAACTTAACTAAGTTATGACTCAAATTGCAGCTGCTTTACCAGATGTAGTTTTATTGTTTGAGCAAATGAATACATCTCCCGGTAACTGGTATGCACCCATTGACGTGGAAAATGCCTTTTTCTTTATTAATATCTATAAGGCCCAGCAGAAGAAATTTGCCTTCAGCTGACAAGGCCAGCAATATACTTTTACTGTCCTACCTCAGAGGTATATCAGCTCTCTGTCTTCATGTCAGAATCTTACTCAGAGAGAACTTGATTTCTTTTCATTTCTGTAAGATATCACACTGGTCCATATAATTAATGACATTATGCTGATTTGATCCAGTGAGCAAGAAGTAGCAAGAACACTGGACTTATTGGTGAGACATTTTTATACCAGAGGATGGAAAATGAATCTGACTAAAATTCAGAGACCTCCTACCTCAGTAATATTCCTAGGGGTCCAGTCTTGTGGAGCCTAACAAAATATTCCTTCTAAGGTAAAGAATAAGTTGTTGCATTAGGCACCTCCTACAACCAAGAAAGAGGCACAGTGCTTGGTAGGATTATTTGGATTTTGGATGCAACATATTTTTCATTTGGATGTGTCACTCTGGCCCACTTATCGAGTGACCCAAAGGCTGCCAGCTTCCAGTGGCATCCAGAACTGGAGAAGTCTCTGCAACAGGTGCAGTCTGCTGGGCAAGCTCCTCTGCTACTTGGGCCACATGACCCACATATCCAATGGTACTTGATGTGTCAGTGGCAGATAGGAATGCTGTTTGGAACCCTTGCCAGGCTTCCACAGGTGAATCACAGCACAGGCCTCTAGGATTTTGCAACAATGCCCTGCCATCTTCTGTAGATAAATATTCTGCTTTGGAGAGACAGCTCTTGGCCCATTACTGGGCTTTGGTGAAAACTGAACTTTTGACTATGGGTCATCAAGTCACTGTGTGAGCTGAACTGCCTATCATAAACTGTGTGCTTTTAAACTCATCTAGTCATAAAGTGGGTTGTGCAAAGCAGCATTTCATTATCAAATGGAAGTGGTATATATGTGACAAGGCTTGAGCAGGTCCTAAGGCACAAGTAAGTTACATGAGAAAGTGGCTCAAATGCCCATGGAGACCATGGCCCACTCTGGCCATGGCACCTTCTCTCCTCCATCCTGCACCGATGGCCTAACGGGAAGTTATTTATGATGAGTTGACAGAGGAACTAACACTGGGACCTGGTTCACAAGTGATTCTGCACAATATGCAGCCACCACCCAAAAGTGGACAGCTGAAGCACTACAGCTCCTTTCTAGGACATCCCTGAAGGACAGTGGTGAAGATACATCTTCCCAGAGGGTAAAACTTCAAGCAGTGAACCTGGTTGTGCACTTTGCATTGAAGGAGAAACAGCCAAATATGTGTTTATATACAGATTAATGGGCCTTAGTCAATGGTTTGTCTGGAGGTCTGGCACTTGGAAGAAGCATGATTAGAATATTGGCAACAAAGAAATTTGGGGAAAAGATAAGTGGATGGGTCATTCTGAGTGGTGAAAAACTGAAGATACTTCTATTTTATGTGAGTACTCACCAACGAGTTACCTCAGCAGAGAAAGTGTTTAGTAATCAAGCAGATAGAATGACCCATTTTGTGGACACCGCTCTGCCTCTTTCCCCAGCCTGGCATTGCCCAATGGGCCCATGAACAAGGCGGCCATGTTGGCAGGAATGGAGCCCATGGACTCAGCAACATGGGCTTCTACTCACTAAGGCTGACCTGGCTATGGCCTCTGCTGAGTGCCCAATTTGCCAGCAGCAGAGACCAACACTGAGCCCTTGTTATGGGACAATTTCTCGGGGTGATCAGCCAGCTACGTGATGGCAGGTTGAATATATTTAACTTCTTCCATCATGGAAAGGGCAAAGGTTTGTCCTCGCTGGAATAAATTTTTACATTTCTCATGGCTTTGCCTATTCTGCATGCAATGTGTCCACCAAGACTACCATCAGTGGACTCGCAAAATGCTTTATTCATCATCATGTTATTCCATGCAGCATTTCCTCTGACCAAGGCACTCACTTTAAAGCTAAAGAAGTGTGGCAGTTGGCTTCTCCTCATTAAATTCTCTGGTCTTGCCATGCTTTTTATCATCCTGAAGCAGCTAGATAAATAGAATGGTAAAATGGCCCTTTGAAGTTACAATTACAATGCCAATTATGAGAGAATACTTTGAAGGGCCTGTGGCAAAGTTCTCCAGAAGACCATGTGTGCTGTGAATCAGCATCCAATATATTGTACTGTTTCTCTCACAGCAAGAATTCATGGGTCCAAAAATCAAGGGTTGTAAGTAGAAATGTCACCACTCACCACCACCCCAAGAGATCCACTAGCAACATTTTTTGCTTTCTGTTTCCAAGACGTTAAGTTCTGTTGGCCTAGAGATCTTAGTTCTAGAGGGAGGAATGCTGCCACCAGAAGACACGGCCATGATTCCATTAAACTAGAAGTTAAGATTGACACCCAAACACTTTGGCCTTCTCCTACCTTTGAGTCAACAGTCTAAGAAGGAAGGCACAGTATTGACTGAGGTGATTGACCCAAACTATCAAGGAGGAAATCAGTCTACTGCTCCACAATTTAGGTAAGGAAGAGTATGAATGGAATAGAGAAGGTACATTAGGATGTGTCTTAGTATTACTATGACCTGCGATTAAGGTCAATAGGAAACTACAAGAGCCCAATCCTGGCAGGACTCCAAATGGTTCAGATCCTTCAGGAATTAAGGTTTGGGTCACAAACCAGGAAAAAAAAAATGACCTGCTGAATACCTTACTGAAGGCAAAGAAAACACACAATGGGGAGTAGAAGCCAGTCATCAATACCGCCTGAAAACACGTGACCAGCTGCAGAAATGACGACTTTAATTGTCTTAAGTATTTCCTCCTTCTTTTTTTTTTTTTTTTTTGAGACGGAGTCTTGCTCTGTCGCCCAGGCTGGAGTGCAGTGGCGCGATCTCGGCTCACTGCAAGCTCCGCCTCCCTGGTTCACGCCACTCTCCTGCCTCAGCCTCCCGAGTAGCTGGGACTACAGGCGCCCGCCACCACGCCCGGCTAATTTTTTGTATTTTTTTAGTAGAGACGGGGTTTCACCGTGTTAGCCAGGATGGTCTCGATCTTCTGACCTCGTGATCCGCCCGCCTCGGCCTCCCAAAGTGCTGGGATTACAGGCGTGAGCCACCGCGCCCGGCCGTATTTCCTCCTTCTTTTGCTAAAAAAGTTTGTGCATATATACACATGTAGTAAGAAAATATCTTCATTTTTTCTTTCCTTTTATTATGTGACATAAGATATATTGACTTCATATCATCATTTGAGTATACGTAACTTTACGTAATAGTGTTCGGGTTGGGGATTGGTGTGTTCCTGATTGTATGAAGGATAGTTCTATTATGTTACGTGTAAATATGACCTCATTTTTGTATTATGTTAGGTGTAACTATAACCTCATTTTTGTCTTTATTTTAAGAGTACGTATTATCTCAGGAGATGTGGATAGATTCAAGTTGAAAAGGGGTGAACATATGACATACTGTGTGTCAATTTCACTGGATTGAGGGATACAAAGTATTAATCTGGGGCATGTCTCTTGGTAGTTTCCCAAAAACAGATTAACATTTGAGACAGTGGGCTGGGGAAGACAAACCTACCGTAATTTGGTGGGCACAATCGAATCAGCTTCTAGCGAATGTAAAGCAGACAGAAACATGAGAAAAGGTGAGATGGGCCTAGCCTCCAAAGCCTCCATGTTTCTCCTGTGCTGGATGCTCCTTGCCCTCGGACACCAGACTCCAAGTACTTCAGTTTTGGGACTTGGATTTTTCTCCTTGTTCCTCAGCTAGCAAACAGCCTATTGTGATCATGTAAGTTAATATTTCATAACCTCCAATATATGTACATATGCACCCTTTGTTTGTGTGTGTGTATCTCTACATATATAGAGATACATATATATACACACATATATATGATACACACACATAAAGTGATGACAAAGTATACAATTTTTTGTATGTATTCTCAAAAAACATTCTTTGAATAAATACTAAAACTGTAAATCTTATTTTAATAAGTCAGCTGATTTGAGAGTCATAAAATGAACTAATTCTGTACAAAAAACTCACATATATACGTGTGTGTGTGTGTGTGTTTAAATGGTCCATAATGATCTCTGTAAACAAACACTCCAAAGGTACTCATGTTTCTATTTAGTTACTGTCAAGGCTCTAGAATCTACATCAGAGGAGTTGCTTAATAAATAGTTATGAATTAGTATATACTATTTATTTCTTTAAGAATAGAGGTATATTATGTCTTCTTAGAAAATGACAATTTAAACTTTCACACAGATTTAGGAAATACTGTTTCTGTAATCATGGTAAAATGTAACCATTTAAATCAGTTATAAAAGTAAGCAATCTATTACCTAACTGCCTCAGTGAAATAGCTTTTACAAATAATAATAACAATAATAATATTAAAGCAGTTCCAGCACTTTGACAAATTAGTGAGTAAAGCACAGTAAATATACCTCTTTTGCTGCAAGTTTTGCCTGAATAACTCTTTTCTACAAATAATGTCAGCTTCTGTATACTACTTAATATTGTCCGATGCCTTGATTTCATGCTGTCTGCATTTTTCCTAGAATGTGTCTAAATAGCATAGCTCTCCCTTAGTATATTAGGGAAAAAAATTTATGTCTTTTTACTTTAGGCATTGAGTAGCAATTTATTAATTTTGGAGGAAAAGCAAGCTCTATACGAGTAGAAGTTCTGCTAGTGGAGAAATCTCTATCTAGCATCAGTTACATAGCCAACAGGTCAGGTGCTAAATGAGAACAACTTGAGCATTATAAATGTGGATTACTACCATATTGCTACCTGCTAACGTTCTGAAACAAATTTCTGATTCAAACATAAAGATTTTACATTGCATGAATTCACCTCCTTTTTGGACTTACCTTAATATTTTCACATATTTTTCTTCTCACATTAATTTCCTCATTCATTTATCTTTATCTTATTGTCTAATATGCATTTTTGTGAACGCATTTATCTTTTATTATCTTAGAACAAGATGGAGGAGAAATAATTCTGATAAAAGATACCCACTGTGCAAACTTCTATAAAATATTTTTTAAGCAGTAGAAGATACTTGAGTATTTATTCTACTCAACAATTTTAGCAAAAGCGAAAATTCTCTAACCCCAGCTATAATCTTTGAAAGCTTGGTTTTTATTTGGCTTGCTTATTGTAATATCTTAGCAACTTTCATGTCATAAGACAATGTGTATGCACAATGTGAATGCATAACATAGTGTGCCAAAGCACAGGTGTGTCTGTGTTTTACGTATACCTTCAACCTCTAGTCAAGATTAGATCTATCCCAAAGGCCCTTGATTGAGTTTTCTCCCTTGGTACCCCTGAAATAGAGACTGCCTAGAGTTTTAATTTTCTATATTAGTGGTTTACAGAAATATTGAAAAAGCAATGGGAAAAAAGAAGAAAATAAGAAAATATGTGGTTTAGTTTGTAGTCATTTATTAACTAAACTGACTTCACTTTACTAATGCTTACCCTAACTTGAATGAACTAAACATTACATAAGCTTTTGAAAATCCTTCTGATATAAGAAACCAAAAATTGAGTTAAGAAATCTTCAAATGTGATATCAAATAATTCTAAATGTGTGTTTTAAAAATAATTTTCTTGAGAGATTGTTCAACACAGTTAATTTTTCAAAGGTGCCTAATACCCTAGGTTATAGGATATTTAGCAGCATTTCTAAACTCTCAGTACTAGATGCTAGTAACAAGCTTACCAATTCCACTTCCAGTCATAAACCAGGCTTAGAGTGAAATCTAACGTGAAATCTACTGACCTATAAAATCCCTAGACAATCACAGGGACTGTCTGTTACTTCTATGAGCTCATCATCTATAATGCTTTCCCTTCCACAGCCTGCTCCAGCAACAGGGACCTGGCTATTTTTTAAACAATTAAGCAGGCTTCTACCAGGGATCATCATACTGGTTGAACTTCCTGCATGTTTACATGATTATTTCCTTATTATTTTATTTAGATATTTACTTGAAAGTCACTTTTAAGCAAATTATTGTACATTTGTTTTATATAAAACCAAAATATACTTTATACCGATCTTGCCTCATATATTTTATATGGAATACAGAACTTCAATTAATAAAAAGCAAACAAAAAACTCTATAATATAACTACTAAAACAAAAATCTAACATCTAAAATCCAAAATTCGAGGTACAACACATAATTTAAGTATTTTAAACACAATTTTAGGAGAAAAAACATACGTCTCATAGATACAAATAAGCTACAAGAATAGAAAACAATCAATGTTTCATAGATAAAAATAAAAAGAAAAGTGCAAGGAAGGCAACTTCAAACCATTTAAAGAAAACTCATACCTTTCATAAGCAGCCTGGACCTTTGAAATAAATAGCTCATATTAGCCAAGTTAACATGTAATCAAGAGAGACAATTATAAAATTGTAAATTTTTTTGTGTATTACCATACTGCCTCCTAAGCACAGATGAAGGCTTATAAAAATTGAAATCCACAATTTTCCATGTGAGGCCCTGAATTCTGCTTCTGGAAGGAGTAAAGAAGCCCTTATATGGTAAATTATTGTGTTTTTTTCTAGTCTATCTAGGGTATATGTGAAGAATTGATGAAACACATTTATTTCTGTTTTGTCTAACATAGAATTCACTCTTGGTTGAAAATGCCAGAAATTGGTCATAAAACTTTAAGTTGCTGAGAACAAACCAGTTTTTATACAATAGACAAACTATAAAAAGGAGGAAAAGTTGAAGAGACCTTTATTTGCAAAAATCTGAATATTCAAAAGCAGTTTAATGTATTGAAAGATTTAGAAAATCACGCCCATGCTCACGACAGAAAACATTCTCAAAAAGTATATAAAACAATAGGTGTTAATTCTCAATTTTATCTATAGCTTCAATGTGAGAAGAAAATGAAGGCTAAGGCAGAATTATAAGCAATCCCCCTGAGAGTTAAAGAAGAATGTTAATACAGATCTAGTTTTTAAAAGTGATAGTTTTAACATTGCTCTTATTCAAAACACTAATGGAATGCAAGCTAAGGTTTTAATAACTAAGAAAATACCTTGGAGAAATGAAGAAAACCTAGAATTCAGAGTTAGCACATTTTGACTTTTTGAATATAGTTTTCTGCAAAATAGAAACATAAAAACCAATAGAAACACATGACTAATGTAAAGTAAATGCAGAAATTGAAAATATTCCAAATTTTATTGACAAAGAATTTAAAACAACAGTTTTAAGTTGTGTAAAAGAAAAATGACAGAACCGATGAAAGAAAATTATGAGAGCATCAGTGAGAAAAAATATGTAAAAAAAATGAAAAATTTGAGATAAAGAGTACAATGACCGAAAGAAAATCGACAATAAAGGAGTTTCGCAGCAGACTTGAGCTGGAAAATATTCAGTCAATTTTAAGCAATGAAAACTGAAATAACCCAGTCTGATAAATAAAAAAAAAATTAAGTGAAAAAATACTAAGAAGTTAATAGAACACTATGAGCTATATCAATACATGCAATATGGGCATCTCATAAATACAGAAAAAGAAGAGGCAAAAAAAAAATCTGAAAGCAAAGATGACTGAATATTTCCCAAACTTAATTAAAAATCAGAATCTAAAAGTTAAAGAAGGACAAAATCTTCAACCGTAATATAGTCAACGATAGCCACATCAAGAAACATTATAGTCAGTCAAGTGCTAAGACAAAGAAAATTGTAAAACCAGAAAGCGACAAGCAACTTGTTATGTTCAAGGGAATCTTGATTAAAATTAACAGATGATTGTTCAGCAGAAACCATAGAAGTCATAAGGTAGTAGGATATCAAAGTTTTACTAGAAAAAATGCTATCAAACCTGAAATCTGTAACAGGTAAAATGATACATGAGCAAAAATGCCTGGATAAAGGAAAGTTAAAAGAATTTGTTACTAACCTTCTCTAAAAGAGAAAATTATTATTATAACCCTGGCAAAGTTTTCTATTACTGAACACTCAGTGTTTACACATATAATCTGAGATAATAATATAAATTGAAAAGAATGGAAAAGCACAAAAGCAGCACATTTTTATATTGTTTAAATTAAACTTTAGGTTATTGAAACAAGTTAGTGTTATTAAAAGTAGGCTATTTTAAATTTACAATAGTAATTGAAGTCCCAAAATAACCAATTATAATATAAAAAATACAAATTTTTTTCTAAATTAACCACATTTTAAAAATAAAGGAGAATTAAGGATAAAATAAATAATAAAATATTGAAAACAAGTAAATCTCAGAGTAAGTAATGTTTTACTTGTAATAACTTTAAATATGAGTTCTTGCATAAAAAGTCAAAGACTGGCACAAATGCATCCTTAGATAAAAATTAATGTATATGATTTATCCGAAAGGCCAAAAGTAAGATGATACAAGCTTCTGAGAAAAGCATGACAAGTGACTACAGAGCACTATATATCTGTCTCTTCAACTACACTATAGGTGCAGTGTCAGAATTGGTATGATCCTATTATTTTGGAATTCCAGAGTCTACCTGAAGGTTTACAGCTTCCAAAACAAGATTTGTAAACAATAATTAAATTTTATCAATTTTATAGCATAGATGAAAAACAGCTATTTATTCTTTATTAACTACTGCTGTGGTATGCTGCCTCGAAAACACCTCTGGAGCAGCTTGCAAGAGGCATGATAACAGAAAGGACCCTGCCATTTAAATGTCAGAGGACTTGTGCACCTGTTGCTGCTTCTGATTATAGAAGTCCCAAGATAGATGAATAGCCGTTGTTTCATTTCTGAAAGCTTTTGCAGGCTTTTCCTCCTCCTACTCAAGCAACTTTCAGAATATTTAGAGAGCCAGAATATTTTTCCTCATTTTACTTTTTTTCCTTTTAAGAGGTCAGACATTTATGTACAAAAACATTCAAAAGTAAATATATATAAATAAAAACATAATAAATAAGTATGTTAACCATATCTTCCTCAGATGGTGCAGGCTCAAAAAAGACACAAGAAGTTCAATAGGACTGATTTCCAGGACAGAAAGAGCCTGCATTATAAATAAACAAAACCCTAGCCAATCATAGAGTAAGAAAATCTGATTTTAAAATTACAGCATTTTCATATGTAAATGCCCTTTTTCAGCGTTAACAAAATCACTAACCATAAAGTGAAATAGAAAATTAAGGCTCATTCTAAGAAAAAAAAAATAACTAACACAAGCTTTTCCTACACAGTCCAAATGGCAGGCTTACTAAAAATTATTTTTTTAAATTAATGATCTTAGGAAGGTAATAGAATAAACAAAAAAGCACAGAGAGTCATGAACAAATAAATTATTAATAAAGAGAGAGTAAAATTATTTTTAAAACTAAAAAAATTTCTAGATATGCAAAGTGAAACAACTGAAATAAAAATTCACTACAGACATTTAAAAGCAGACTTGAGCAGATAGAACATAATACCAGCAAACCTAAAGAAAGAGCAATTGAAATTATTAAGGAAGGAAGAGAAAATATATATAAAGAAATGTGAACAGAGCCTAAAACCTGTGGAACACCATCAAGCAGCCTTACTTACACATTTTGGAAGTTCAAAGAGAAGAGACAAAGAATCAGAGAGACTATTTTAAAAAATAGTGGCCAAGAATGTCACAAGTGTGAGGAAATAAATAAACATCCAAGAAGCTCAATAAACTCCAAGTAAGATAAACTCAAAGAAACACACTCCAACTTCCTTGATAATTCAATATTTCTAAACAAAGACAAAGAGAACCTTGAAAGCAGCAAAAGAAGTGACTAGTAATGTACAGAGGACCCTCAAAATTAAAAAGTGGATTTCTTATCTAAAAATTCGAGGCCAGAGAGCAATGGACTAATATATTCCAAGTGATGTAATAAAACAAATTCAAACAGAAATTTTATGTTCAAACTGTCCATCAAAACTGAGAGGGAAATTATGACATTTTCAGATAAAAGCTGATGTCTTTTACCACTGGACTACCCTTGAAGAAATGCTTTATGGGGTACTTCATGGCAAAATGAACACTAGGCAGGAGTATGAATAAATAAATATTAAGGTAAAGATAAATACATAAGCAATTAACAAAATATATATATAAAAATTAACAATGTGCACCTTCACAAGTGATTCTCCACATAATTTAAAACACACACAAACATACATGTGTGTGTATATATATAAATATAGATAATATAATACTATATATATTTTATATATATATTCACTAACTTGTGTTTTTGACATACAGTGCATAAAGGTATAATTTTGAGAACTCAGTAAGTAAAGTAATGGAGGCCAGTCTATACAGGAGTAGGGATTTTTATGTTATTGAATGTATATTAGCGTAACTTTAACAATGTTATAACTTTAGAATGTTTGATATAATGGTCAGAGCAACTGTAAAGGAAAGAGTAACAGGCAGGTAGAAAGCTTTCTGCACTACACCAGAGTAGGAGCGGTGGATTTAGCTTCTCTTATGTGAGAAGCAAGCTATCTTGGCACCCTGAGACCAAGCCCAAGCTCTCTCACCAGGGAGTAAGTGTGGAGAGCCTAAGGCACATACCATAGCTGCTCCTTCACACAACTTTTACTACACCAGTGGCAATGAAGTGGAAGAGACTCATCCATACTTAGTACCTGGTAAAGAACTGGAGGCAGAAAAATGTAACTATGGGAAGACCCTACTGAAATAAAGTTGGCACAGCAACTACCCCAAATCGGTCTCTTTCTTTACGGATTCCCAATAGTTAGAGGTTGAAACTTTTGTTTACACAAGAGAAGACAAAAAAGAGAAGACAGAGTATTTGGTTCAGTGGAAAGGTTATGACAAACAGGATGACACTTGGGAACCAGAGCAGCACATCGTGAACTGTGAAAAATGTTTCTATGTCTTTAACAGATGACAGACTGAAAAGCAGAAAACAAAGACACAGATCAAAACAAGTAGAACTTTTTCAAACAATGCCCCAAAAAAAGAACTTCCAGATCTACCAACACCAACTTTTCTAATAACTCTCCTAATATGTTATTAACTGGCAAACACCACAAGTTCTAAAACAGCCAGTGATTTGCTGCCAGCCACAATGTTAGGAAAAATGCAGCTTCACCTCTCTTTCACCCAAAGCATACGGAGATAGTAAATTCAACTATCAAGACACTTGCACATCAGAGCCCCTTTAACAGCAAGAACAGAGTGACTGACATTCAGGAACCTGAGACACTAAACCCTATTGCACCAGATTAGCAGGACACAGTGGTGTTCAACGTGGCAGTAGAGAAGCCTGTCAGAGCTTTATCAGATCCCAGTGCAGGACCAGCTGGAATAGAAAAAAGGCCACTGATACATGCACTATTGTCTCAGATGTCTGGCTCAGTTACTACTGCATCCATGGTCACAGGCTCAGCTAACAAGGAAGGTATATTGGTATTAATGGACTCATCAACAGCCAACAGAAGAACAAATATGCATACACCTATTACAAGAGTGAGAGGCGGGCAAAGAAAGGTTAATGATAATAACAGAGACCAGCCTTTTATGTAGAGGATGCATGTCACCAGAAGGCTAACAGAAAGTGCCAGCAGATACAGAGACATTGTAGTGAGGAAAGAGGATGGATTCACCTAGATATTGGTATCAACTAGATTGACAGGAGAAAACACACTGAATGCAGAAGTAATGAAAGAAATCATGAATGCTCTGAATATGGCTGCTCCAGATGATAGCAAACTTGTGCTGTTCAGCACAGTTGGCAGTGTCTTTTGCTGTGGTCTTGATTTTGGGTACTTCGTGAAGCATTTAACAAATGACAGAAAGAGAACAAGCATTGAAATGGTGGACAATATCAAGAATGTTTTTGACAATTTCATTCAATTTAAAAAGTCAACTGTTGTATCAGTCAATGGGCCAGCCATTGGACTGGGTGCATCCATACTGCCTCTTTGTCACTTGATTTGGGCTAATGACAGCTTTGGTTTCAAACCCCTTATACAACATTTGGACAGAGTTCAGATGGCTTTCTAGTGTTACATTTCCCAATGATGGGTGAAGCATCTGCCAATAAAATGTTGAGTGCTGTGTGAAAGCTGACAATACAGGAGGCATGTGCCAAAGACCTGGTTTCTCAGGTGTTTTGAACAGCAACTTTCACCCAAGATATTATGGTTCAAATTAATGAGCTTGCCTCATGTAATCCAGTTGTTCTGGAGGAATGTAAGGCCCTTGCTAGCTGTAATATTAAGATGGAGTTTGAACAAATGGCTGAGAAAGAATGTTAAATGCTGAAGAAAATCTGGGGTTCAGCCCATGGGATACAATATATGTTAGCGTAAGTGCAAAAAAAAAATGATGAGTTTTAATTGTCAGTCTGTCTGCTCAGGGCACAATAACTGAGCTGAGAAGAAGACATCATTAGCTGCAAGATGCCCTAATCCATCTGCATATCCCAAAACAATTCCCCCAATATCTAAGACTTGGAAACAGAACTGGAAATGTCGAAGCTATTTATTTAATATTATGAACGAAATTTTAAGTAGTGTAACTTTAAAATAAATAATGAAGCAGCTTCTTTGTCAAAATGTCATAATTTTATGCACATATAAGCCCAAATATAAAATCAGACTGGTGAGCACTTGGCTGTTCTTTCAAATTCTAGTTTTCATGCATGACTACTACTCTACAAAAAAACAAAATTGTGATTTATTAGATTTGAAATACAAAAAACTGTAATTTTTTTTTATTTTTTACTCTAGAATGCAGAATTTAATGGGTTATGAGGCAGCCTCTTCCCCTTTCCCCAAAATGGAGACACAGAAACATCTGAGATGGTGCTTTTGACTTTATAGTGGAACAAATACCACAGAGACACAAAATTCTAAATTAAAAGCCTAATATTTTAGGATAAACATTTCCAACACAAAACTCACTGATGATTTCTCTCCCAAACTGAAATAGGATGCAATTTATGCTGAGATTTCAATGGAATTTCTTCTTCTTTATAAATGTCTAGTTTTTACCCAGTTAACTTGAAGAAATCTTTATCTCTCTAAAACAAAACTTGTTGTACAATATTAGTGCATCATGAAATCATTTAGGTAGAATTATCCAAGTGTTAATGTTTAGAATATATGCTTTTGGGTTAACTTTGAGTATGTTCTATTTAATAAGTTAAAATTCTGGACACATTATTAAAGGCAGAAATTTCTTTCAAAGCAAAGAAAAGATACCTACACTATATCTGACATTTAAATTACTGGTGTTTGCTTTTATGTGCACACTATTTCTTAGACGCTCTACATGTTCAGCCATCGAGAAGCTCTGGCATCCTGTCCTCTTGGATTTTTATGGAGACTCCATTATGTAGGTATGATTGAATAATCCACTGGCTGATGGTGATCAATGTCACCTTTATCACAGGGACAGAGTTAGGTGAATGAGTGAGTGATGGTTGAGCACAGCCACTGCACACAGCTAGCCATATTGGCTATGATGGATGAGCAGTTCCAGGTGCTGGCACAGGGGCCAGCTCCCTAAAGGTCTTTGGCTGAATTTGGCATACCAAAAGCTGTTTCCTCTTCAGGGACTGGGAAATGCAGTGGAATCCAGAAGCTTAGAAATGCCAGAAATTGCACAGCCCCCAAGAGGGTGTCACAACACTGTCTTGCCAAAGCTCTGCTGTCCCTTTTTTTTTGTGGTAAGCAACAATGTGGCAACTTGGGGGTTGTGAGTTTCAGTCCTGTTTGTGTTACTAATTTTTCAGTTTTGCCATTCAGTCCTGAGTCCTTGTCTCATGTCCAGGAAAAATGAGGTATGTGAACAACTAAAAAATAATTAAGGTAAATATGTGCTTTATTGAGTGACAGTACAGTTTGCAGGGTATGTAAAGCGGGCAGCTCCTTTTTACAAGCAGGACCTACTTTCATCTGTGCAGCCCTCAGTGACAAGTAGAACCAGAGTGAGGAGCTCCAATCTGCAGGCAGTTCGTGCTGATATCTCTGCAGTCCTCAGTAAGGATGAGATGCAGAGTGGCAAGCTTTTATCTGCAGGAAGGTTGTTGAGATGTTGCTACAGCCCTTAACGGAGAGGAGACCTATCTAACTGCAGGCATGTAATGCCAGTAATTGCACAACTCTCAGTCGAGAGGAGACCGACAATGGTTAGCTCCAACTTGCAAGCAAGTTATCCATGATCTGCCTAACTCTGGAGTTCATATGGGCTTCAGTAGGCAGAAGTACTGTGCTGATTGGTCAGTGGTGCTATTGGTGGGCCCAGAAAGAGACATAATTTTTCATTCTCATCTCCAGAACATGCAGCCCAGCCCCCAGTCTTCAGAAAATCCATGGCTTGAAGATGGAGTTTTAATGAGAAACTGCTTCTTTCTGCCTAGATGCCTGTCTGTCTCCTGCTACAGTTAATGGTACCAAGGCTATTTTTGCAAAGACAAACCTCCAGGCCCATACCAAGCTGCCCTCAGCCCCTAACCAACTCCTTGAGTCTCCTATGCTCACTGAGGCCAAAAGACTAGAGAAAGCTAAGGTGGCATATGGTTTTTGTTTCAGTACAACCTCAAGTGTAAGCACTCCTGGTCAGATCATGACAGCACCTGGGCTCAGCCAAAAATTTTCTTCAACATTCAAGGGGACACTAGGATCTGGGAGAGGCCAGGCAATGGGATTTCAGAGGCTTTGTAGGAAGGATGGCTTTCCAGGCCCCAGAAAGCACAGGGATGCCTGAGTCTGCAGCATGGCTAGGCAGCTGCAACTGTGCCTGAGTAGGTGAGGTTTCTGCTAATTCCACTTGGATGTGGGTGTGGCTTCTCTCTGTTCTTGGTTCCCACCAGCTTCACAGAGTGAAGAGCCCTGGCTGCCCCTCCTTCACTACACCTGGCATCTTTTCTGCAGCCCCTCTAAATAGGCTGCTTCTGCCAGTACCCGCAGCAACTCTCCTATTCCAAAATAATGCAGGGTGATCCTGGGAGTCCCTGCACACTTATCAAGTCTTGTCTTTTTATTAACAAGCCCCAACCTGAAGCTGTCAGTTATTAGCATATAAAAAGACATCACTTTGGAGATTCCAAAGAACTCAGGATTTCTATGCCAGAAAACAGAGACAAACACCAAATATATTTCACAATCTTACAGCTACTTAAAAGAAACCCTAGGACTAGAGTCCTGGGTAGAATTCCACTGTCAAATTCTACCAAATGATCTAAGAATTAAAACAATTTATTCTCTTTTTCAAAGTCGTTTATTTTAAAAGAAGAAAGTGCAGGTTGAACATTGCTAACATAAAAACATTAAATGTACTCCAATGTGAAACTTGAGTGATGACATGACACAAGCGGAAAGCTCCACAGAATATTTCTTCACACAGCTTTGTTTTATGCACAAAACACATTAAATTTACCTTCATGATGTGGGAGAGAAAAAACAGGAAACTAGGAAGGGTTCTTGGTAAAACTCTTTTAAGCACAGAAACAGACTGAAAAGTTAAGTTGCAGGCAACTGTAAGAGAACTAGAAGAGGAGAGTAGCAAAAGACATGTTCACAGCTGCAATAATCAGAAAACAGGAAAGAACATGAAAATGCCTTTGCGTTTTTGCCTAAAACATATGCACAGCTGCACAGATAGGGGAGGAAGGCCACATGTAGAGATACCTTTGTCATTCATATAATCAGCAGGCTTCAAAAAAATAGACAATTCTGTCTTTGTGGGCATGATACCTAGTAGGCTCTAGTGGGCTCTGCTGGGACACTTTTCTACTTTGAATATGTTTTGACCTGTGAGCCAAGTGTTTCTGAATCATCCCTTCAGCTTCTGTGTTTTCCTGATGCAATGCCCCAAACAAAGCTTTTATTTCATCCTCTGATTTGTCCCAGGTCAGGTCCTGAACCAAGCTGATTACTGCTTTCTTCAAGATAGCCCACATGCAACTCAGAATATTTCTTTCTTTCCAGTTCACAAAAACCTCAGACCCAGCATTATAGTTGGAAAGTCTCATGGGTCCCTTCTTTAATGTGAACAGCTTTCTTCTTTTGATTATTAAACTTCTGTCTTATCTGAACTTTATGTGTAGTTTCATTAATTATCTTGGTCATGAAACAACACTTCAGCATGTTATTGGTCCCAGGCCAAGGTATCAGACCAAGCTTTCACTTTAGCTGCTGCTTGGTCCAGGGCAAAGGATGAAGGCCAAGCTAAGTTGTATCTATAAATCATTACTTAACCTCCTGATGAATCCCCAGCCAAAGTGCAGGGCCAAGCTGAGTAATGTTTCTCCAAGACCACTAAGCACATTTCTTTCATTTTCTGTCTTTATCAACCCTGAAGCCCAGCCTTATAGTAGGCAAACAACTTACACCCCACCTCCACTGTAAAGAGCTTTTTACTTTCACTTATAAAACTTTTGCTTCAACCTGTTTGCATCCATGCTCCTTAATTTTCTTGGCCATGAGACAAAGAGCTCTGCTTGACACCTCACAATGAGAGATTGCTACATTGTGGTGCATTAATGAGATGGCAATAAATGAAGTGTGGGAATTGAGATCTGGGATGCATTAGTCTACTGGACCATCTGGGAAACTGGCCCCACACTGTGATGAACACTCTTGGAGGCAGTCCAACATGTAGTAGTCACCAACACAGGATGGAAAGGGTCAAGGTAGCTACATTTTGATGCCTTAGCCATTCTTCCTAAGGTACCCTGGCTTACCTCACTGAGAGGAGTTTACAGGTGAATGTCAAGTATCTTGGATTTTATGGGCCTGTAATTGGGTCACTGGTCTTTGTCTTTATTTTGCATCATCTCTTTTTGCTGTGGCTGTTCCTGAGTCCTGTCATAAAAGATAGAGAAGGTTATGCCCACGAAGTTTCCCAAGGTAGTGTACAATTCCAGAGCCTTCCTCTGAAGTTTTCTTCTGATATTAGTAGGTGCCTGAGTAATAAACTTGCCTTTTAAGATTATCCATGTATTAATTGATTCAGGAGCTACAAAAGTGTGTTTCATGAACGTCCCTCTGCCTTTTCATAAAGGCTGAAAAATTTTTATCTGGTTTCTGATTCAATATGGTCCCTTTGAGTACCTTTTGTATTTTACGCTGGCTGTAGAAGACATGCAGTTGTCCCTGAATCTCTCTTGTTGCATGTAGGGCTGTCTGTTTCTCAGAAGCAGTTTGAGTTTGGCTGGTCCTAGGCCATGCTATTATTTTAGCTCTTGAATGGTCCAGGGCCAAGTTCCTGAGCCAAGCTGAATCACTTCTGAGTCACTACTTTAGCTCCTAATTTGTCCCACGTCAAAGTCCCTGGAAAAGTTCAGCAGTGCTTTCTTCAAGAATAGTTAGGACATTCTGTTTCTTCCCATTCCATAAAAAACATCAGACACTTCCTTATCGTGGGCAACTCACTTTCCTCCACAAGAAGTTAACTTATTAAACATTTGCTACAATCTCATCATTTTCATTCATGGCTTTTAATTTCTTGGCCTTTAGATTAAAAAAAATATATGTGACACCTCAGAATGAGAAACTGATACGCTGTGGTGTGTTGGGGGACAGCAACTACGTTTTTGGTGCATGAACTGGAAAAAGATTAATTAAAAAGTGACTAGGAGTGCACCTCCAAACTATTTACATTCATTTCTGAGGCTTGTTGTCCTCAGGGTTTTCTTTTTTAATTTCTCAAGAGCACACAAAACACTGGGCCAGTGTCAGTTAAAATCCAGTAAAATGGCTACCATCCTTACAAGGCTCAGGAGATAGGCCTGCTGGGAAACACTCTGGCAATCCCCCTTTACCCTTAGGTGTCAAAAATGTTGCCTCTGTTCCAATTCAGTTTTCTTTCATGGAGGACCTAGTCATCATGTGGGGCTGAAAGAAAATCTTGAAAAACTGAAGGTTTCTGGTTAAGACTACACCACGGTGTTACCCGAAAGCCTCGGGACTAACTACAGTTTCTGACAGCCCATAATTATGTTGCCACCAAAAATTCCAGAAATTTCTGTTGCATTTTTTTTCTTTTTGTGACTATTATATATTCTATTTCCTGTTTGTATGAATGTTGAAACCTGGAGATATAATCTTATGGGGTAATGTCAGCTGGTGTGTTAGTAATTAAAAATGTAATGAAAAGAGATGCTATTTTGTGATTTTTTTGGAACCAGAAAGAACTCAAATTGTACTCTAAAAATTTTTATTTGGTGAGTGTTTTTTTGTCCCCCAGTGACAGATATTCATGGCACTGTATGGAAAGATATACATTCAGAAGAAAGTTTTTGTTTTTGTTGGTTATTTCTCTGTAAAAAGCTCAGCATTGCCATATAAATCTAAACAGTTTCTTTATGAGACACATTAATCTTTTTTTCTCCAGAGACACGAACTGTGGGGACAACCTATAGAGTTTTCCCCTTCTTTTTCTAACTTTTGGCTACAAAAATCTTGGAGTCAGAGTTTTCATCTAACATTTTAGATCTTACCATGTCACCTAGTGTGATGAAATTTTTCTCTGTAGGAAGACTTGTCAGTACTTTGCCCAAAACCCTGAGGTTTTCAACTCCTCTCTCTCCTGTGTCTCTCTAACAGTAATAAGACTCCATGCCCTATCTGTAAACAGAAAATCTCTACTTTCAATAGTTGGCAGAAAGTTGCCTTTGAGAGACATATTCTAGCTCCGGGCTTTTCTCTCTCTCTCTGTTTTGAGATGGAGTCTCATTCTGTTGCCTAGGCTATAGCACAGTCATGCAATCTCGGCTATTGTAATCTCCACCTTCTGAGTTCAAGTGATTCTCCTGCCTCAGCCTCCTGAGTAGCAGTGATTACAGGTGCACACGACCATGCCCAGCTAATTTTTGTAATTTTTGTATAGATGAGGTTTCACCATATTGGTCAGGCTGATCTCGAACTTCTGACCTCATGACCTGCCCACCTCTGCCTCCCAAAGTGCTGGGATTACAGGCATGAGCCACCGCACTTGGCCACTTAGGGCTATTTTAAGAAGACCAGCCATTCAAGCCCTACATTTTTGGAGGTATGTATTCTGCTTCCAGCAGCAAGTGGCATTTAAACTAAAAGAGAATTTTATGTTTCAAAGTCAATCGATCTCATTTTCTAGAATTTCAAGATTTTACTAGGGCAACAGCAAAGAAAGACAGAAATAGTATTGAACATCTCCCTGTGCAAAAGGTCCTTGCTCAAATCAAACTACCCATAATCTTTCTTAGGTTGCCAAGTTACCTTTGGAATCTTCTGGGTTGAGTATGCTTAGGAGACCAACAAAGGATCACTAGTGGAGAGCTAACGCCTTGTGCAGGTGAACATTACTTCTCCTTCTTACTAGCTCCTCTGGAACCATGGGTGAAGATTATGATTGTATCCATGGAGGACACCTATGATAGTTGCCAGATCCATAAAAGACAAGAAAAATGAAAAAACAATGAACACA
Organism: Homo sapiens; assembly: GCF_000001405.40. NCBI lineage: Eukaryota > Metazoa > Chordata > Mammalia > Primates > Hominidae > Homo > Homo sapiens. Next base: position 26,291 of record NW_025791821.1, on the reverse strand, counting down.
CTTTAGATCTTCCTTTTCACTCAGGGTTTTTCAAAAAGAGGAAGGAGACTGTGGGATTCTTTCTCTTTCTATATATTTTGAAAGGTCACAAACCTTCTGCATTCTGGACTTCTCTAGGTTGCATTCAGAAACACTGGAATTTATTTGACCATGTGACTCTGAAAAAAAGTGGTTTTGTTTGTTTGTTTTGGCAAAAGGGCATGGCTATCTTACCAGCTCCAGACAGGCAGGCCTGGCTTCCTGAGGGAAGTGTTCATTTTAATACTGTTCAACAACTAGATCTTTTCTTGAGATGGGAAAAAAAACACTTTGAAATTTTCTATGTATAAGCTTACTTTGATTTTGGAGACAACCCAGATCGTCATAAACATTGTAAAATTGACTGCCCTCTTGGCAGTCACATCAGGCAAGTTTAAAACAATAATTTATTAAAGTCAGAGACAAACCCCTCAGGAACCCTCAAATGTGACTTCTAAATGCCCTACCTGCCACCCTTATGCAGGCCCTCCAACAGCCATTTCATCAGCTTTTCTTCTTGTGCCACCAAGGAAACTTCCAACTTCACTGCTGCCCCTGCAGGAAATAATCGATAGATGTGGTGCTACTAGAGTTCAAGTTTTCTTCTCATTTCAGGGCCTTACACAAATAGCAGGAAACAAGCAAGTCCTCTGATGACCCTGATTCATATACAGAGGCATTTCAAAGCATAACCCAAGTGTTCAATCTTACTTGTAAAATACTACATTACTCCTAAAGCAATCCCTAAATGTTACAGTAAAGCAGGCAGCTTTATAGATAGCAGAATTTTTTATAGAGGAAATGTGTGTTTCTTACAGCCAGCCAAAATTCAAGAAGAAGGGAGGGTGAAAGGGGAAAAAAAAGTTAAACAAATAGCAAAATGTTTATTTCTAATAAGAAAGGAAACAGCGTTTCTTGAAAACCCAATTGACATCTTGGTGATCTTGTAGATGAGTGAAAAAAAAAATCTAATTAGCATACTGGAAGGTTGATGAGAGAACAGGGCCATACTTCTTAATTACTCTAAGGTACTGATAACAGATTAAAACTAGATGAAAATTATTTAGCCTTTACCTCCAGAATTACTTGGATCCTCTGTATCACAATGGCTGTAGAGCCTGGGACCCATTATTCCTGCTGAACAATCAGGGGAAAACACATTTGATTGGTGACAAATGTCACTGGGGTCATTTTTACTTTCACTGGTCTCCACCACAGGCTGGACAAAGTTAAGTATATTCTTCTTGCTGCCTGTGCAATCCCTTTGAAAGTGTCCTGGCTTGTCACACCAGTAGAAATTAGCAGGTGCACCTTGGTAATTCTGCAACTTGTAGGCCTGTAATGTAGCCGTAGTACCTCTTTCATTCTCTTATGACCCCCCTGGATTTTCTGGGACTCCTTGTTCCAGGTCTTCTTGTAAAAGACTGAAAAATCCACCCCAGGAGGCTGTCCACAGTGCTGAGTCATCCCATGGCCTGCTTTTGTAGTTTTCTTCTGATATTAGGGGCTGTCTGAGAAATAAACATGTATTTTAACATAATCTGTCTGTTGATGGATTTAGGAGGTAGAGAGGTATGTTTCACTAAAGCTTCTCTCAGACTTTCCAAAGAGCCTAAGAGATTTTTATCTGGCTTGTGATTCAACAATGGTAGTTTAGATTATTTAAGAGGTTTTGTTCTAGTTCTTTGGAAGCCTGCTAATATGCACGTAAGAAAGTGTTTTCTTATCCACTTATCCATGGGATCACTCAGACATCAATTAGGGTTTTCAAAAAGCACTGTTTTTGTATGTATTGGAAATAGTAATTCATCTCTTTTTTACTAATTTTTTTCCTTCAACTGTGTTTCTTTCCTGACTATAGGGTACTAGTTGTTCATCTTCAAAATTCTTTGCTCCCTGCAATGCTGCCTGTTTTTCAGCAGCAGCAGCAGCAGCAGTTAAAATTTGGCCTAAAAGTCTCACAACATTTCTGCACATTAGATTAAACACTTGGTTTAAATTTTGAAAAGCCTGTGTATGTCTATCAGGGTCATCAGAGAACTTGCCTGAGTCCTGCTTTATTGGTTTAATGTTACTGCAATGATAAGGAAATTTAAATTAGTTCCACCATGTTCATTGGGCATTTGCTATACAGGCAACAGCAAAGTTGGAGGTTTCTTAAGGTAGCACAATCAGAGGAGTTTCTATATGGCTATTGGCAGCCCCAGATAAAGAAGGCAGATAGGGCACTAGAAATAGCATCTGAGGGTTCTCCAGAGATTTCTCTCTCTGACTTTTGAAAATTATGTATTGTACATTTGCTTTGTATGGCTAATAAAAAGGCAAAGTAAATTCCACAATGCTTACAAAATTCAAATTTTCTTGAAGGGCAAAAGAGCCTTAGTTGCCAGATAGTATTGAAACTATTCTTCTTTGAGAAGGCCAGGCCTTCTCTTTGTAAAATGGCCACTTTGTTGTCAGCAGAATATAAGCTGTTTTTTAAATGTATATGTATATGTATATTTACATTTATTTGTATTTTGAAATAGAGTCTCATTCTGTTGACCAAGCTTTAGTGCAATGGCACAATCTTGTCTCAGTGCAACATCTGCCTCTGGGGTTCAAGGGATTCTCCTGGCTCAGCTTCCTGAGTATCTTGGAGTAAAGACACCTGCCACCACATCCATCTAATTTTTGTATTTGTAGCAGAGATGGGATTTTACCATGCTGACCAGTCAATCTGCCCACCTTGCCCTCCCAGAATGTTGGGACTACAGGTGTGAGCCACAACACCTGGCTTAAGCTTCTTTTTTTTTAATTCAGAGTCTCAGGGTTGATGGAATTCCAGTGTTTCCAAATGCATATCATTGGAATGCACTCTGCAGATGCATCGTTGCCATCTAGAAACAGAGGGGAGACAAGGTGTCCTTGAGACCTGTTCCTGCTTTTGTTGTGATGCAGGGTAAATAGAAAATGTTACGGTACCCTTCTTCTACTTCCCCTGTCTCATCTGGGTCTGAAAATCTACCATACATGCTTCCCATAAATGAAACAACAACCTTTACTCAAGGATTTGGGGAGAGCTAGTCAGCTTACTAGCCGTGCTTACCTGCATGAAGCATCTACTCCGTTTTTAGGGAGACGTTATTTAGTAGGAGAATTTGTGCAAGACTTTTTAATGGAGAAAATGTCCTCATACTAACTTGCTTTTCCTAACTATGTTCCCAGAGAAACATCAGAATCTCAGAGAATGAGAGAGATTGACTTTCAAACATTTTAAATCCCAAATTAAGAAAATGGAGAATAGGTGCCTCAAAAGAGTGCAAAAGCTGAATGGCTGGTCCTTCATTAGACGGGGACAGCAAAGAGGTTAAAATCTGCCCTTCAACAGTGTCTTCCTCCCAACAGTTAAAGTGGAGGCTGCCTGCTTACAGATAGAACATGGGGCCTAATCACTGCTAGAGGAATATCATTGGGAAAATAATTAGGAAACCATAAGTTTTGGACAATGACTTGCCAAAGCTTTCAATAGAAAAGAAATCTCACTTCACTAGGAGGTATTGTAAGGCTAGAAATGCTAGGTTAAAAATCCTGACTCCTGGCCAGACATGGTGGCTCACAACTGTAATCCCAGCACTTTGGGAGGTCAAGGCAGGTGAATCACCTGAGGACAAAAGTTTAAGACCAGCCTGACCAACATGGTAAAAACCCATCTGTACTAAAAATACAAAAAAATCCAGGCATGGTGGTGGGCACCTTTAATCACAGCTACTCAGAAGGCTGAGGCAGGAGAACCACTTGTACCTGGGAGGTGGAGGTTGTAGTAGTAGGCCAAGATCCCACCATTGCACTGCATCCTGGATGCCAAGAGCAAAAACTCCATCCAAAAAAAAAAAAAAGAAAAAAGAAAGAACAATAATTCTGACTCCAAACTCACTTCAGCCAAAAGTTAGAAAGACAGTTCAGGGTTTGATCAGTTGTCTCCAGTGTATACCCCCAATCAGGCAAAATTTAACTTGTCTCATGATATAACTGTTCTATGGAAAACAATAATATCTCTTAAAAATCTAAATTAAAAAAAGAGTATTCACTTTGGGTAAAATATCCTCCCATACAGTGCCATAAAACTCTATCATTGTTGGACAGAAAGGCCCTTAATAGGTAAATGTTTATACTGAATTCTTGAATTCCCCTTGTTTCAGGGAAATCACAAAAACAAACCTTTCTGAATTACATTCCTGCTTAGTCATTGAGTGACTCTACTCAGCAAAATTTTATACCTAGGCTGTAAAAATGCCTAGAGCATTCCATACCAAAAAAATGGATAAAAGACATAATAGCTGTGAGAAGAAAAATGGTAAATTTAATAGACAAAAACTGGAAGTCCTTGTGCTAACAGCCTGATGAGCTGTTAGGGACTGGAACTAGTCTAAGGGCAATCAGATTACAGAGTTGTAACCTCAGTGAGAAACTTGCAGTTTCCCTAGGATCTCCTTTACATCCCATGTGGTAGCCAGGCTCTTCATGAAAGAAAACTAGATTGAAAAAAACAAACACGTTTTTGAAATGAATGTAAAAGATTAAAGATCCATTCTTACCCTCTTATGAATTATTTGTTTCTCAGCCCATGCATCAATATATGTTGTAGTCCCACCAATGCACCAAGATATAGTAGTATCCCTTCATATGATATTATACCCAAAGACTTTTGTATTACATCCAAAAAAAAATTAAGAAGCTATGGCACCAACGATGAGATTAAAACAAAAGAGATGAGTAAAAGAAAAAGCTCTCTTCTAGTAAAAAGAGAGGCCCAACTGTGTTTTCTACTATGAGGCTGGGTTTCAGGGTTATAATAAAGTGGGAAGACAAAGAAATGTGCTTAGTCAGTGGGCTGTTTGGAAGAACATGTGATTCAGCTTGGCCCAGGGTCTTTGCCTGAGATTAATTAAAAAGCTTAGCCCAGGAGGCTTGCACAGAAATAATCAGGGACTGAAGTCATAATTTATAGTGGATGTTCAGCTTATCCCATGACCTATCAGGAGCTGATGTTAAAGCTTGGCCCAAGAATTTGGCCCAGGCCTAATTAATAACTAAAATAATGATTCATAGAGGCCCAGCTCACAGTCCAAAAAGAAAAAATCAGTGCCAACCAGAACCCACTCTGTTTATGTTTCCAAATGAAGAAGAAACTGCTTCCTGAGAGCCCACTGATTATAAAAAGGACAAGGATATTTTTATGCCAGGCCTAGTTTTGTTATTTGAGTGAATCAGAATTTGTGAAAGATTTTTATCTGAATGGATTGAAGGTTCTTCTGCCTGTAAACACACAGGTGCCTCTCTAGGTACAACACCCATGTGTTAGTTATCTTATTGAAGTCTGCAATCTGATTTATTTTTCAGGCTGCTTAGTGTAGTATGTATAAATGATGCAGTGACCTCTAGGCTGGGGGTTTCCCAGGAACAATTCCTTGCTGTCCCCCTAAGTCAAGCTAGCTTTCTCCTCTCAGAAACATTCTAGAGAACCCCTGAATGTGGCTACTTCAGACTTACAATAGGGAACAAAAACAAGCATAGCAGAATAAGAGAAAAGAAAAGAAAAGAACAGAGACTCTAAAGACCACAATACAGGTCTATAAAATGTGGGTCCCTGAGGGCACCTGATAACTGTTATCAGTTTGGCAAGACAGGACACTTAACAAGAAATGCTGAGACAACAAAGGAAACCAACTTAACACTGTCCAACTTGTTGTGGTAACCACTGAAAGGAGTGCTGTTTCCAGAGGCATACATCACTAGGCCCAGGATCAGTCTCACAAATGCTCTAGCAGGATTAATAATTCCTAGATATCAATTCCTCAGCTCTAAGAGCTGCCATACTCCTCAAGGGCCATACTCCTTAGGAGCCTTGAGTGATTCTTGAGGTGGGAGGGAGGAAGGTAGAATTCCTTCTGGAAGCTGGAGCAGGTCTTTTTGTTCTCCTCTCCAATGTAGGTCTTCTATCCTTCCATTATGTGACAAATGATTGATGTGTCAGCAAAGAACTTTACCCAATATTTTCTCAGCTCACAGTTATAGTTGGAACGACCTTCTATTTACTCATGCCAATTTAGTCATTTCTGAAAGTTTCACTTTATTACTAGGTAGAGATATTCTGGCCTATACAGGAGGCATCATCTTAATGGCTCCAGGACAAATGCTTTGTCTCCCCTTAGTGGAAATCAATATTAACTAGGTAGAGATATTTTGGCCCATATAGAAGCCACCATCTTAATGGCTCTGGACAAAATCTTTTTCTCCCCTTAGCGGAAATCAGTATTAATGAAAAGGTGTGGGATATCAAGAAAAAACTTACTGAACTACAGCCACTACATGCATCAATATTTACCTTAAGGATCCCACTATTCTTTCTAGCCAGATGCATTATTTCCCAAAGCCATAAAGTAGAAAAATGCTAGAAGACATTATAAATAAGCTATAGGAGAAAGGCCTCCTTAGACCCCACATCAGTCTTTAAAAAACTGCAAATATTAGGAGTAGAGAAACTCAATTAGGATTGGAGGCTAGTTAAGAACACTTGTCTCACTATTGAGGCAGTTTTTCCACTCTATGTGGTTGTTCTTAATTCTTGTACTTTGCTAACTCAAATTCCCAAGAGAACTGAATGATTTAAAGTTTTAGACCTGAAGGATGCCTTTTTTATTTTTATGATTGCACCCTGGTTTCCAATACCTCTTTTCCTTTGAGAATCTGTCCAAACAGGATACACAGTTAACACGGAAAGTATTGCCACAGGGGTTTAAGAAAGCCTCCATCTGTTTTAGTAGACATTATCAAGAGACCTCTCTGAGTTATCTCATCCTCAGGTTAAAGTTTTACAATATGACATTCTCCTCTGTGCCCCAACTGAGAAGGCTTCTCAATTATCTAGCAAGCAGAGGTTATGAAGAATCACAATGTAAGGCTCAGCTTTGTCATACCTCAGTGAAATACTTAGGCCTGGTCCTATCAGAAGAAACTAGAGCATTAGTCAAGGTGAGGATTTATCCCATTTCCTCTTTTTCTTTTCCCCCATCTCTAAAATTAAGAGGATTTGGGGGCATTATCAATTTTTGCAGATTGTGGATACCGACCTATGGTAAACTAGGTAACCCTTTATATCACGTTATAAAATAAACTCAAGAAGCTATGGCTAACTTTCTAATCTGGGCACTTGAAGCTCAAAATACCTTTAAGCAGCTAAAACAAGCCTTACTGAAAGCACGTACCTTCAGTTTTCCTATAAAGTTGACATTTAAATTTTATGCTTCAGAAAAGAAATGGATGGCCTTGAGAGTTTCAACTCAGGCCCATGGTCGAGACAAGCAGTTGGTAAGTTACCTAAGCCAAGATCTCAACTTGCTGCCTGAAGAATAAACAGACTGCCTCCAAGCAGTTGAGTAGCAGTGTTGGACATGCTGCTGTGGGAAGCCACAAAGTTAACGATGGGGAATAATTTTACTGTTTACACCCACATAATTTAGGAGAACTGCTATCCTCTAAAGAATGTTTTTGGATAATAGACAATCTTTTCCTAAAATATCAAGCTTTGCTGCTGAAAAGTTTGTAGTTTGGTTAACAACCTGACTTTGCTTGAACCCAGGAAATTTTTTCCCAGAAATAACTGAAGAACCTGTATATGATTGTGTTGGGAACAAGCCCCCCAAAATCTGGCCAAAAACTGGCCCCAAAACTGGCCACAAACAAAATCTCTGCAGCATTGTGACATGTTCATGATGGCCATAAAGCCAACTCTGGAAGTTTGTGGGTTTACAGGAATGAGGGCAAGGAATACCTCACCTGCCCAGTATGGAAATCCACTTAAAGGCATTCTTAAGTCACAAACAATAGCATGCATGATCTGTGCATTAAGGACATGCGACTGCTGCATTTATGTAGCCCAACCTATTCCTTTAATTCTGCCCATCCCTATGTTTCCCATAAGGGAGACTTTTAGTTAATTTAATATCCATAGAAACAATGCTAATGACTGGCTTGCTGTTAATAAATATGTGGGTAAATCTTTGTTTGTGGCTCTCAGCTCTGAAGGCTGTGAGACCCCAATTTCCCAATTCACACCTCTACATTTCTGTGTGTGTGTCCTTAATTCCTCTAGCACCACTGGGTTAGGGGTTCCCTGACTGAGCTGGTCTTGGCAAGTGGCGTCCATCATGGGGGCTTGAATCCAGGTTGAAGCATCACCAGAGTGATGGTTTGAGAAGGTGGAACTAGCTGGAGGACACCCGAGTACTCTTAAAACAATCCCCGTGGTGAGTAATAAGGGGAGCTCAGAAGCATCAGGGTAACAATGGGAGAAGTGTGAGGTGTGTTTCGTTCCACCTTGGAACTTTTTCGTACTGATGATGAGGAGGAAGGAGAATATAGGGAAGTAACAGAAGAGGTTACAGAGCATGTTTATTTGCCAGCTAAAGCTAAAGCGGCAAAGGAAGGAGAGGTTCATCCCTATACTTCTGCACACCCTCATTATTATTATGAAGAAAAAGACCCTCCATATCTTTCTTTTCTGGAGGACACTGGGCAAAAAGCATTTGCCCCCATGACTGTTCAAGCAGCACCTTGAGTGACCACTCTTAGTTCTATTCAGGCAGGAATTCAACAAACTAGATGGGAGGGTGATTTAGAGGCTTGGAAGTTCCCTGTTAGAATACACCACCGAGGTCAACAGGGAAATATTATAGCTACATTTGAGCCTTTTCCTTTTAAATTACTCAAATAATTTAAACAAGCTATAAATCAGTATGGACCAGGTTCTCCTTTTGTAATGGGACTGTTAAAGAATGTTGCTGTTTCCAGTCGGATGATTCCTACTGACTGAGATGCTCTTACTCGAGCTTGTCTAACTCCTGCTTAGTTCCTACAATTTAAAACTTGGTGGGCAGATGAAGCTTCCATTCAGGCTGCTCACAATACCCATGCCCAACCTTAAATTAATATAACTGCAGACCAACTTTGGGGGTTGGCGGCTGGGCTGGTTAAGATGCACAACTGGTCATGCAGGATGATGACATAGAACAGCTTAGAGGAGTGTGCATTAGAGCTCGGGAAAAAAATCACTTCATGTGGAGAACAATATCTTTCCTTTACTGCTATAAAACAGGGACCTAAAGAACCCATACACTGATTTTATAGCTCTGTTACAGGAGTCTCTTAAAAAGATGACTGCAGATTTGGCTGCTCAGCATATAGTGTTGCAGTTATTAGCTTTCAGCAATGCTAATCCTGATTGCCAGGCTGCTCTGTGACCTATCACAGGGAAAGCACATTTAGTTGATTATATCAAGGCCTGTTATGGTATCAGAAGCAATCTGCATAAAGCTACTTTGTTGGCACAGGCAATGGCAGGACTGAGAGTGGATAAAGGAAATACTCCATTTCCTGGAGCTTCTTTAAACTGTGGGAAGCATGGTCATACTAAAAAAGAATGTAGAAAAAATCAGGGAGTCAGGCCACCAGATAGGAGAAAAAAGATAACTGCTGAGCATGAAATATGTCCAAAATGTATAAAAGGACAACATTGTACTAATCAGTGTCACTCTAAGTTTGATAAAGAAGGGAACGCAATTTCAGGAAATGCCATGGGGTGCCCATCCTGGGCCCTCTTCTAAACTGGGGCATTTCTAGCTCAGGCTCTTCCCTCACCTCTGTACAATGTCTGTCCACTGCCACAGCTGGTAGTGCCCCAGTAGATTTATGCTGCACAAAAGCTGTGAGGCTTCTGCCTGGGGAACTGCCACAAAAGTCCCAACAGGAGTCTGTGGACCCTTGCCAGCAGGGACAATAGGATTACTTCTAGGCAGCTCTTGTTTAAGTTTAAAAGGGGTATAAATACATACAGGAGTCATTGATTCAGATTATAATGGGGAAATTGAAATTGTTATATCTACTTCTGTTCCCTGAAAAGCAGAGCCAGGAGAGTGTATAGCACAGCTCCTGATTGTGCTGTATATGGGAATGGGAAAATGTGAAATTAAATGAACAGGAGGACTTGGAAGCACAAATAAACAAGGCAAAGCACCTTATTGGGTAAATCAAATTACTGATAAACATCTTACCTGTGAAATAACTATTGAGGGAAAGAAATTTAAAGGTTTGGTAGATACAGTAGCAGACATTTCAATCATTTCTCTACAGCACTGGCCATCCAGATGGCCAATTCAACCCGCTCATTTTAACAGAGTTGGAGTTGGTAAAGCCCCTGAAGTATATCAAAGTAGTTCTATTTTGCTTTGTGAAGGGCCTGATGGACAACCTGGGACTATTCCACCAATTATAACTTCGGTACCTATAAATTTATGGGGAGGAGATTTATTAAAACAATGGGGAGCACAAGTTCTAATTCCAGGACAATTATATAGCCCTCAAAGTCCACATATGGTGCATGAAATGGGGTATGTTCCTGGTATGAGACTATAAAAAAATTGCAAGGGTTGAAACAAAATCTTCAAGTGGAAAGACAAATTCTCGCCAAAGATTAGGAAACAGTTTTTCATGGCGGCCATTGTTAAGCCTCCAGAAGCTATATCTTTAAAATGGTTAAGAGATAAGCCAATTTGGATAGAACAATGGCTGCTAAGTAAAGAGAAACTGGAGGCTCTAGAGAAATTAGTTACTGAACAATTAGAAAATGGGCACATAGCTCCAACATTTTCCCCTTGGAATTCTCCAGTTTTCATAATTAAGAAAAAAATCAGGTAAATGGAGAATGTTAACTGACTTAAGAGCTATCAATTCAGTTATAAAACCTATGGGAGCATTACAGCCAGGATTGCCTTCTCCTGCTATAATTCCAAAAAGAATTGGCCTTTAGTAGTCATAGATTTAAAAGACTATTTATTAACTGTCCCCTTAGGTGAGCACGACTGTGAATGGTTTGCATTTACAATCCCTGCGGTAAACAATCTGCAGCCTGCTAAGCATTTTCATTGTTTTATAGATGGGTCTGATAATGGTAAAGCTTCCTATTCTTGGTCAAAAAGTAAAGTTTTTCAGAAGCCCTATACTTCAGCTCAAAAAGAGGAACTTGTAGCTGTAATTGAAGTATTTACTGCTCTGATATGCCTATTAATGTGATTTCTGATTCTTCATAGGTGTTTCATTCCACACAGTTAATTGAAAAGGCTCAGTTATGATTTCATGCAGATGAACAACTGATGCCTTTATTTACCCAACTGCAAACAGCAGTTAGAAGTAGCATGTACCCTTTTTACATCACTCACACTCATACACCTCTTACAGGACCTTTGACTGAAGGGAATCAAATGGCTGATCACCTAGTTGCTAATGCAGTATCTAATGCTAGCCACTTTCACAATTTAACCCATGTTAATGCCTTGTCTCAAATGCAGATACAGCATTACCTGGAAATAAGTTAAGCTATTATCCAGTGATGCCCAAGTTGCCAAATGGTACATTCCTCATCTTTTATAGGAGGAGTTAATCCTCGAAGATTGGAACCTAACTCTCTTTGGCAAATGAATATCACACTTGTTTCCTCATTTGGGAGACTAGCCTATGTACATGTATGTGTGGACACCTTTTCTCACTTTGTCTGGGCCACATGCCAATCAGGAAAGCCTTCTGCCTGTGTTAAGCATCACCTTTTGCAGTGTTTTGTGGTGATGGGCATTCCAGCTTCTACTAAAACAGATAATGCCCCAGGCTGTACTATCCAAACTCTAGCTACATTTTTCTCTATGTGGAATATTAAACACATTACTGGTATCCCATACAATTCTCAAGGACAAGCCATAGTGGAAAGAATGAATCTTTCCCTAAAACAGCAGTTGCAAAGGAGAAAGGGGGAAATGGAGAATATGGAACCCCATAGATGCAATTGAATCTAGCATTATTAGCTTTAATTTTTTTGAGCCTGTCCAAAGGCCAGATGTTATCAGCAGCTGAACAGCATCTCCAGAAACCACCTGCAAAGACAGAAGCAGAACAACTGATTTGGTGGAGAGATCCAATAACGAAATTGGGAAATAGGTAAAATAATAACTTGCTGTAGAGGTTATGCTTGTGTTTCTCCAGGCCAAAATCAACAACCGATTTGGACACCATCAAGACACCTGAAACCTTATCCTGAGCCAGATGCCAAGGAAGAGACTCCGTGAGGATCCCGAGGATCCCCCAGTTGCAGCCACATCAAGGCTGCCGCTGAGGAACACCCTAACTGTCATGAGCAACACCCATTGAACACAGCCACTGACCTGGGGACAGATCAAGAAGCTGTCAAAAGTGGCAGAAGAAAACCTGAGGAAAGCAGTACAACCAGTCACAATGAGTAATTTAATGGTAGCTATCATAGCAGTTATCACCACTGCTGTGAGTATTCCTTCAACAAGGGCTGACACACGAACAATTATGCTTATTGGGCATATTTATCAATCCTGTCTGGTAATAATGCCTGGATATAGTCACTTTATGCCACAGTTACACATGCCTTCTGATCTCAGTATTTTACATAATAAATCTTCTCCTATAATTGAGGCATATTGCCCTCAAAAACCTATTTGTATACAAAATAGAACCTGGACAGAAATAATGAATGTAATTGTTTAGGAAAATTTCTTTGCAGAACAGGCAGAGGTGCTGCACAATGATTCCTACGGAATCATTATTGATTGATCCCCTAAGGGGATGTTTCTCTTGAATTGAACCTCTCAGTCTGCATGCCATGGCCACATTATGTTCAGCTTCTCTGAACAAAATGTTAGGATGGTAGAAATGATAAGAAGTATGGCAAGAGTTCCTATTATCTGGAACCGTGGCGGTATAGTTACACCTCAACCTCAAATGATATGGCCTGCTGTAGGAGCTAAACATAAGGATTTGTGGAAACCATTAACACCTCTTAATAAGATCAAAATCTGTGAAAGAATGAAAAAGCATATATTGCAAAATTAAAAGAACAAATATTTAAAGCATCCCAGGCACACCCGACCTTAATGCCAGGAACTGGAGTGCTTAAAGGAGCTGCAGACAGATTAGCAGCTGGTAACCCATTAAAATGGATCAAAACACTTGGAAGCTCTGTGATTTCAGTGATGGTTGTGCTTTTAATCTGTGTTGTTTTTGTTTGTATAGTCTGCAGATGTGGATTCCTGACTCCTGCAAGAAGTAGCTCACCATGACAAAGCTGCCTTTGTTTTTATCAATTTGAAAATTAAAGAAGGGAGCATGTTGAGAACAAGCCCCCCACAAATCTGGCCATAAACTGGACCCAAAACTGGCCATAAACAAAATCTCTCCAGCACTGACATGTGCATGATGGCCATAAAGCCAACACTGGAAGGTTATGGGTTTATGGGAATGAGGGCAAGGAACACCTTGCCTGCCCAGTGCAGAAAACCACTTAAAGGCATTCTTAAACACAAACAATAGCATTCATGATCTGTACCTTAAGGACATGATCCTGCTGCAGTTAACTAGCTCAACCTATTCCTTTAATTTGGCCCATCCTTTCATTACCCATAAGGGATACTTTTAGTTAATTTGATATCTATAGAAACAATGCTAATGACTGGCTTGCTGTTAATAAATATGTGAGTAAATATCTGTTTGAGGCTCTCAGCTCTGAAGGCTGTGAGGCCTCTGATTTCCCACTTCACACCTCTTTATTTCTGTGTGTGTGTTTAATTCCACTACTGCCACTGGGTTAGGGTCTCACCAACTGAGCTGGTCTCAGCATGATTGTTAACAGAGAGTAGTAAAAACTTACACAGCCAGAGAGGACCTCAAAGCAACTCCCTTAGTAAATGTAGAAATGGAGCTCTTTCCTAAAACAAGAAACACCAAAGTTAGGGTATGCAGTAGTCCCTTTGAATTATATTACTGAGAATATGCCTCTCTTACCAGGCACCAGAGTTCAAATCACTGAGTTACTTGCCCTTGTGAGAACACTCAAATGAAGCAAAAAATAAAAAAGAAATGTTTATAATATTTATACTCATTTTAAATATGCTTTTCTGATCATCTATGACCATGCCACTTTGTGGAAAGAAATACATTTTCTGACAGTCACTCATTAAGTATCATCAGGATATACATAGATTTTTCTCCTCTTTTTCTTTCGTGGAAAGTAGTAGTACTACATTGTAGAGGACACAAGTAGGGGACTGATAAAGCAGCCAAGAAAAATAGATTGAGAAACCAGAGAGCCAAGCAAACAAATAACAACAACAACAACAAAAAAAACAGACAATTTTGCAATATACTGGAAGTCTCTCTTGCCTTAGAAAGCTTCATTAAAGAAATAAAGCCTCAGTATTCCCATGCAAAGATAGAATGGACCACTTTTGAAAGATACATTTTTCAGCACTCTAAATATTTATAATTGCATTATGAGCCTTCAGTCAGTGAAATGTTTTTAATGTCCTCCACCAAGTTTTGACTTATAAAACAACAAGAAAAAAAACTACTGAAAAGAGTCAAACAGATTCTTAATACTTTTGAAACCTGCCTTAAAAATAATCTTCTTAGGCCAGGTGCAGTGGTTCATGCCTGTAACCCCAACACTTTGGGAAGCCAAGGCGGGCAGATCACAAGGGCTGGAGATTGAGACCATCCTGGCTAACATGGTGAAAACCCATGTCTACTAAAAATACACACACACAAAAAAATAGCTGGGCATGGTAGTATGTACCTGTAGTCCCAGTTATTCAGGAGGCTGAGGCAGGAGAATCACTTGAACCCAGGAGGCAGGAGTTGCAGTGAGCCCAGTTTGCACCACTGCACTCCAGCCTGGCAGACAGAGCATGACTCCATCTCAAAAATAATAATAATCTCAAAAGACAGTTTCTATCCCTGCTGCTCAATATCTGAAAAGCTATCTAGGGAAAGATAGAGAGAAGAACTTCATTTATATGACAGATAAAGTGTGCATTTATTACGTCCTGATATGTATTAAAAACCCACAAAATATTGCAGACTTGTGGTGAGTAAAGAATGTCACTTGCTAACAGGCCCAGGATTTTCATGTTTTTGGACCTCAAGAAGAGTAAAGTTTGCCCAACTCATAGGTATTTGAAAGTAAAACCCATAGTTCTTCTTGGCTTTAAGAGTTCTTATCAGAGGTTCCTCCTGAAGAACAGTTTCGTAAAAGCCAATTTAGAGAGACTATTTAAAAATAATTATTTTTGCTGCACTTTATGCAAATACTTAGGTTAAATATAAAATTATAGTTCATTTTACTATTTTCAACTCAGGCCTAACATACTTTGTTTATTTACAGTAATAAGAAATGAAGAGAGAAAAATTATGTTTAAATCTTTTCTTTTTTCTTTTTTTTTGTGATGAAGTTTCACTCTTGTTTACCAGAGTGGAGGGCCAATGGCACTATCTCGGCTCACCACAACCTCTGCCTCTTGAGTTCACATGATTCTCATGACTCAGCCTCCCAAGTAGCTGCGATTACAGGCATGTGACACCATGCCTGGATAATTTTGTATTTTTAGTAGAGACGGTGTTTCTACGTGTTGGTCAGGCTGATCTTGATCTTGAAGTGCTGGGATTACAGGTGTGAGCTACCTCAACTAGCCTACATGTTTCAAATCTTATCATATGTTTGCCATTATATTCTCATCTCATTAGTTGTCTTTAATATTTGCCTATATTTCAGGCTATCCCTGTTGATTCCTGTGAGCCAGCCAGAAATCTCTAGCTGCAGCTAGGTTGAAAATATAAAAAGATTAATATTGAAAAATATGTTAACAATATATTTGTTGTGGGCAATTACTCTACAAATCTTGCCAGGTAATGAGAGTATATAGTGGACTCATAATTGAGGTGGTTTTGTGTTTTGGGGGATAAGACCAAGGAAGCTAAGCCAAGCCAAGCCCCATGCACCCAAAACTTGTTAAGCATATCTATAGCTATTAGTTATAAGGGCATGTCAGCAGCCTCAGAATTTTTAAGCTATCCTTTTCCTCACCTCGTCTCATTTTAACACTTTATATTTTGATAACCGAGATTGTTTCATCTCACATAGAGGCAATCAAACAAATTGTACTGCAAACGAAACCACTTATGTAAACACCGTGGTTTTGAAAAACCTTACCCTAACCTCAGTGTGAACTCCAGCTGTTGTATTTCCTTACAAGATGCCCTTCCTAGCAAAAAGTAGCTAGAAAGATCAATCCTCAATCTCCCTAACAGCAAGTAGTGTTTTCACACCTGCAGGGGACAATGAGAGAGAAACTTAGTAGGTGTCATTGGTAAAACTTCTTTAAACAGAGATGCAGCCTAGAAATGTACAGTGTTTCCAATGTACAATCTTCCGTTGCCTTGGTAGATAACCCAGATCTTTGTAAGCATTGTAAAACTGTCTCTGAGCTTTGGCTGTCATATAAAGCAGGCATACAGAAGATAATGCCCCAAAGTCAGAGACACAAACCCTTGGTAAACCCTTAAATGCTACTTCTAAATGCCCTACCCGCACCTCTTTTATAGGCTTTCTAATGCCCATGTCATCAGTTTCTCTCCCTGTTCCACCCTGTAAACCATCAATTTCAATGTGGGCCCTGTAGAAAATGCCAAAAAAACGTGGTACTACTAGATTTCAAGTTCTCTTTTCATTGCAGGGCCTTAGAAAAATAAATGTAAATCTAGTCGAGTTCTCTGATGACTCTAATAGATATATAGAGGCATTCCAAAATCTAACACAGGTATTTCATTGTATGTGGAGACATGCTATGTTAATCCTAAACCAAAGCTGCAGAAAATTTGGCAGCTTTACTAGCAGCAAAAGCATTTGAAGATGAACAACATATTTACTATACCCAGCCTAAAAGTATAAAGGGAAATAAATCTAGAAAAAGGGATGCTGAAAGACAAAACTAAGGTGAACAGATAGCATAATCTTTATTCCCAACAGGAAAAAAGACAGTGCTCTTTGAAAACATAATTGGAATCCCCGTCATTTGATAGAGGAGTGGAAAAGAATAAAAATTTAGAATGCATGTACAGGAACGCTAGTAAAAGAACAGTGCCAACGAAGAAGGTGGTGTTGAGGTTGCGGTCTGTTAGTAGTATAGTGATGCCAGCAGCTAGGACTGGGACCAAACCTCTTAATTACTCTAAGATAAACATAATAGATTAAAACTTGATGAGAATCCCTCAATCTTTATGGAAAGGCTGAGAGAGGGTGAGTAAAACACACCTCTGTATTTTCTGACTCAATTGAGCACCAGTTAATCTTAAGAAAGAGGTTTATTTTTCAGGCAGTCCTGATTAAAAAAAAAAAAAGCTACAAAGCAGGTCACATGTTCGGATAATGTACTAGTTTTACCAGTGCAACAAGATGTAACAATTCTTTTTTGTTTTAGATATTGCTCAGAGCAACACATACACATATGTACTACTCAGTATATGTAAGTGTATATATACAGTCTGGTTTGTGTATATAGATATATGTATAAATACACATAGCATATGTGTGTGTGTATATATATATGTATATGCACACACACATATATACACACACACACACACCTACACAGACACACAATTTAGAAGATTAAGGAGCATGAACACATGGGTAAAGTTTGAGGAAAACTTCAATATGCAAAAGAAGAGACCATTTCACCATCAGAAATATGGGCCCACATGAGTTGCAAACTATGAGGCAAGTGTTTAAAATTTTTATAAACTGAAAAGAGAAAGGGATGTTCTTAGTTTGTCAGCTATCTTATACAATGTGTCTTAGCCTTGGTCTTGGACCAATAAGAAAGCATAGCCTAAGACCTTGGTCTGGGACCAATCGGAGGCTGAAGTGATAATTCATAGAGACTGCTCAGGATAGCCCAAGAAGACTTAAAAATGCAAATGAAAGACTGGCTTGTGAGTTTGGCCCAGGATCAGTCAGGAGCTTAAATGATAATTCTTAGAAGCTGGACTTACTGTCTGAACAATAACAACCAATACAGCCAGTGAGAACCCACTGAATCTTGCTGAATTTATGCCTGTGAAAGGAGAATAAAATTTTCTTGTTGTGGGTGTGGGGCACTGAGTATACAAAAGACAAAAATATTCTATGCCACACCTCTTTCTTTTGTCTGTGTAAGCCTGAGTTTTGTGCAAGTTTTTTTTTTTTTCCCAGAATGGACTGGAGGTTCTTCTGTCTGTGTAGCTGCAGGAATATGTTCAGGCAGTAGCCACTGTGTTAGGTCCTGTATCAGTGGTTTCAGCTTAATTTCTTTTAAGGCTGATTTTTGTGTTCTGTTTGGTTGAGGCACTGACATATCTGCTTGGGGCTCTCTGGAAACCCTTGCCTTGCTTTTTACCTAAGGGAAGCTAGCTAACTTTTCTCAGTCTCCCCTCAGAAATAAAGAACCTAACTGCTTTAGGGAGATTAAGTGTTGATCTTTCCGGCTACTCTCTGCTGCAGAGGGGTGTTTGTAAAAAACAGCAGTTAGAATTTATTTCAGACATTGTTTCAGAGTCCTCAGAAGATAGGTGATTTTATGTGTGGTCTTACTTGCATTATTACTATTTGGAGTTGACAGCCTCAAGGAAAAAAAAAATAGAGTTACTAAAGGACATGTATTGAAACAAGACAAGTTGGCTAAGGACAGCTTAAGTGTCCCAAGCCTGGTGACACACCCTTATAACTGATGGCTACAGTTATGCCTGCTAAGATTTAGGTATATGGAATTCAGCTTTAATTAAAAAAATACAAACAAGCCTCTGTATTATGGGAACCATATTTATTTTCATCAACTGGCAGGATTTGTAGGATTTTTGCCAAGAATTATATATAATATTGTAACAAATTTTTTAATTACACATTACTTTCTGTTTACTTTGATCTAAAGTCAAAGATTATTAATTGGCTCATGGGATTCAGCAGGGTTAGTTTAAAATGTAGGCAACAACTTAAAAACAACTTATGAGAACTTATGAGACTATGCATTGATGACAGAAGTACAATAAGTTTTGAAACACATTATTTCTCTTCAGTTCATATTTTTGTAAAAAAAAATCATGATAGAACTAAATTGTTTGGAAAATAGATGTCAGTCTTCCACTTGGCCTAGTTTTATAAAGTGAAGCCAAGAATAATTACCTTTACATTTTTTTTTCAGTTGGCTTTCATGGAACTCCGTTCTGCAAGGAATCTCAGGAAGTTTTAACGCTGAGACCAGCCATGAGCTTGTACCCTTAAATACCTAAGCTGGGTAAACTCCTCTCTTATTGAGTTACCAAAAGCATGGGGTGTTTTGAGGCTTTTGAGAAAGTGATATTCTCTACTTACCACAGGTTCAGAACCCTGAATGGGAACTGTGTAGACAAGGTTTAAAGCCATTTTTTTTCCTTAAGGGACTTATGTTGTTTATTGAAGTCAAGCTTTATTCTTTTTTTTTTTTTTCAGAGGAAGTCTTGCTCTTGTCACCTAGGCTGGAATGCAATGGTGTGATTTCAGCTCACTGCAACCTCTGCCTCTCAGGTTCAAGTGATTCTCCTGCCTCAGCCTCCCAAGTAGACGGGGTTACATGTGCTCACCACCACGCCAGGCTAATTTTTTTTTTTTTTTTGTATTTTTAGTAGAGATGGGGTTTCACCATGTTGGTCAGGCTGGTCTTGAACTACTGACCTCAGGCAATCCACCCCCACCTTGGCATCCCAAAGTGCTGGGATTACAGGTGTGAGCCACCATGCCCGGCCTCAAGCTTTATTCTTTAAAGAGAAACATATCCTTTCAGTCAAAGCCTCAGTAAAATAACCAGTTTTTTTCCAGTTTTGTTTTGTTAAAACAAATTTTTTTTGCACTGATGCAAACAACTATATTGCTGTAAGTTAAGAAAAGCAAAAATTAGTTACCAAGTGTTAGAGAAAACAGGGAGGGAAAAATAAAATATTTTTATATTTTTTACAATAGTATACTTTAATCAGTTGTTGAACACTGTTGCCTGCACAAAAAAGTTCCCTTAACCCTGAAAAACAAAATACACAGAAATATTTGAAGTCAATGTTGAAAAAATGGCTTCAGTGTTTTTAGTCCATTTTCTTAAGCTTTTCATGAGTTTTGTTAATATCTAATTATAAACCTGCATTTGAGAGCAGCTGTTAAAGTCCTACAGCTAATTATAAACCATTTTTAGAAAAGGATTAAAACAAGACAATTGTCTGTAAATGACAGAATGCCTAAAGTGGTTACAGACACTCGTTGACAAAAAATGGCTATTTTTATGGTTTACAATGGCTAAACATAATAATTTTGATTAAGCTTGATAGCCTTTTTAGACCTTAGAACTTTGACACCCCATATGGCTACAAAACTTATGTTAATATTATTTACTAAAATGTAACCTGAAGAAAATTAAAATTAACTTGGTAACCACATGTATTTAAACAACTTAAATGCATAAGGTTGTTAAATACTTTTAAAAATACATGTTAAAGATGTGTTTGAAACAGGAGCCCTCTGTAGCATTTAAAATCGAGGACTCAGAAAGGACAACTCTGTAACAAAAATTTGTTTTTGAAATGCCTGCCGAATATGTACGAAATTTAAAACATTTACTGTTATAAAATATAAAGATTATCATAAGTCATTTGTTTTGCCAAAATAAATTAAAAAATTTGAAGTAACAAAAACCTACTGTTATTAGCCTTTATATTACATGAAAATCTCATTCTAGAGTGGAAACAGATTTTACTGTTGCATTAGTCCACTATTAAATTTACCGCTATTCTTTTTTTTCCTTTGTTTGTTTGAGATAGAGGCTCACTCTATCGCCCAGCCTGGAGTGGCAAAATCTCAGCTCACTGCAAGCTCCACCTCCCAGGTTCAGGCCATTCTCCTTCATCAGCCTCCATCTCTTGACCTCATGATCTGCCTGCCTCAGGCTCCCAAAGTGCTGGGATTACAGGCGTGAGCCACTGTGCCAGGCCAATTTACTGCTATTTTTAAATTAAACTTTATAGACAATTTTATCTTAATCAGTTTAACAACAGGTGAGGTTTCCATAAACTTTTAAAAACCCTTTGACAACTCTTTACAAATTTTGCTAAAGAGCAGATTAGCATCTCAAGAAAACCGTGCTGCACTTTTATTTCAATGCTTCATTTATAGAGTAACCATATAATATATCCCTTTTTATTTAATGTGTTCAGACAGCATATTCTTTTGCAAGATTAACATGTACAGTTGTTCTTCCATCTGCTTAAATCTTTAGCTTTATGTGATTTGATTTGAGAAGTCTTTATCTCTAAGACAAATGAGCATTTACATGCCATTTTATAAATTTTACTAAAAACATAGTTTACTTTTCTTATACACCTTACATGAAAATTTAATTTTAATAGTCTCAATCACATGTTATAATGGTAACATTTTGTAATTTTTCACTTGAATGTAAAACATGGTAAGTTGTTTTAATTGTGTGCTAGGTGCAGATAAAGGCTGACTCTCTCAGCATACTTAGAGGTGTGATTACTTTTATATGTCCCCAGGCTATACCAATAGTGAAGCAGGCAAGTCTATGGTTTTCAAAGGACAAAGAAGTAGTTTACATCCTTCAAACAATTAGGAAACTTACATTTTTTACCTGCATAATATAGACCACATATTAACATCTGGAAGACATTTGCATTTTATCAATAATCTTGGAGGCTGCTTTTTTTTTTTTCAAACAGAGCCTCGCTGTGTTGCCAGGCTGGAGTGCAGTGGCATGATCTTGGCTCATTGCACTGCCTCAGCCTCCCAAGTAGCTAGAATTACAGGTGCCAACCACCATGCCTGGCTAATTTTTGTATTTTTAGGAGACACAGGATTTCACCACATTGGCCAGTCTGGACTTGAACTCCTGACCTCGTGATCCACCTGCCTTGGCCTCCTGAAGTTCTGTGATTACAGGTATGAGCCACCATGCCTGGCAGAGGGTGCTTTATTTTTAAAAAGTTAAAGTCACACGAACTGAAAGCTACCACAGCCTTTATTTTTCCTTTTTATAATATTTTGGTCAAGTGGCTATCTTTTCTTAAGCTAATGAATTAGAGATCTTTTAATAAAAATAATGTATACATAACCAAACAAACCAACAGAAAATATACTAGTTATACAATTTTTTGTTTTCCATTTTTCTCATCAGATTATTCACCTATGGAGGGGTGTGTGTGTGTCTGTGTGTGTGTGTGTGTGTTTTGAGATGGAGTCTTGCTCTGTCACCGAGGCTGGAGTACAATGGTAGAATCTTGGCTCATTGCAACCTCTGCCTCCTGGGCTCAATTAATTTTCCTGCCTCTGCCTCCCAAGTAGCTGAGACTACAGGCTCCCACCCAGATAATTTTTGTATTTTTAGTACAGATGGGGTTTCACCATGTTGCCCAGCCTGGTCTTGAACTCCTGACCTTAAGTGAACTACTTGCCTTAGGATACCAAAGTACTGGGGGTGAGGCCTTTTAAGGACAAGGTTACTAATGCAGTTATCAGGGCTTAATAAACAAGCATAGCTTTAAGATAAACACAGATTATGAGAGGGGCTTATTCACCTCTTATTCCAGGGTCTTTATAAACTAAGAAGGGGAAGGAATGTGCTTATTCTGCAGGCTGTCTTGGAGAATGTGTGATTCACCTTGGCTTGGGAATTTGGCTTGAGATCAATCAGAAACCTTTCCCCAAAATGTTGGTCCAGTAGCAATCAGAGCTGATGTGATGATTACTGGAGGCTGTTCAGCTTGTCATAAAATCTATACGCAGCTAAAATGAAAGTTTGGCCCACAACTTTAAAGCAGCACAAATCAAGGGACGAAATACTTAATAGAAGACAAATCAGAATTAAGAAACAAACAAACAAACAAGCAAACAACAACAACAACAACAACAACAAAATAGTGACTGCCCGGAAACCACTGGATCCCACTGTGTTAATGTCCACAAACAGAAGAAATTCTTTTTATGGAGCCCATTGATTATGCAAAAGTCAAAGTCATTTTTATGTCAGGCCTAGTTCCCTTAGACGTGTGAGCCAGAGTTTCTGCAAGTTTTTATTTAAGTGGGTGAAAGATTCTCTTACCTTTGGAGCCATGGGCTTATCTGCAATAATAACTCCATGTACTAATTTTTATTGGTGCCTGCAGCTTATTTTTCAAAACTGGTTTTATGTGTTTTTGAAAATAAGGCACTGACCCATTAGCTGGGATTTTATGGGAAACTTTCCTTTGCTGTTTATCTAGAGCAAATCAGCTAAATTCCTTCACTGTATGAATAAGTAAGGCCTGGATTGGAGAGGAGAACAAAATGATTCATTGCAACGTTTAGAAGAAAGTTTGCTTTTTTTTTTTCCTCTAGCCACCCAAATTACTTGGGACTCCTAAATAACAATGGTAGTTAGAGCCATAGAAGCTCAAAAATTGAGAACCAGCACAGATGAGTTCTGCCTGATCATCTGAAGACTGGTCCTGGATATGGTGACCTATGTCTCTAAACAAAGGGAGTCTTTCAGTGGTCTCCATCAAAAGCTGGACAGGGTTAAGACAGCTTCTTCCAAATGCCTGGACAAGCCTTTGTCAAGTGTTCCAGCTTGCCACACTGGTAGTAATTTGCAAGTGTATTTAGGGATTATAGATCAACTGTCCTATAAAGTGTCCACTAATGCCTCTTTTGTTCTTTTTTTTTCTTTTTTTTTATTATACTTTAAGTTTTAGGGTACATGTGCACATTGTGCAGGTTAGTTACATATGTATACACGTGCCATGCTGGTGCGCTGCACCCACTAACTCGTCATCTAGCATTAGGTATATCCCCCATTGCCATCCCTCCCCCCTCCCCCCATCCCACCACAGTCCCCAGAGTGTGATATTCCCCTTCCTGTGTCCATGTGATCTCATTGTTCAATTCCCACCTATGAGTGAGAATATGTGGTGTTTGGTTTTTTGTTCTTGCGATAGTTTACTGAGAATGATGATTTCCAGTTTCATCCATGTCCCTACAAAGGACACAAACTCATCATTTTTTATGGCTGCATAGTACTCCATGGTGTATATGTGCCACATTTTCTTAATCCAGTCTATCATTGTTGGACATTTGGGTTGGTTCCAAGTCTTTGCTATTGTGAATAATGCCGCAATAAACATACGTGTGCATGTGTCTTTATAGCAGCATGATTTATAGTCCTTTGGGTATATACCCAGTAATGGGATGGCTGGGTCAAATGGTATTTCTAGTTCTAGATCCCTGAGGAATCGCCACACTGACTTCCACAATGGTTGAACTACTTTACAGTCCCACCAACAGTGTAAAAGTGTTCCTATTTCTCCACATCCTCTCCAGCACCCGTTGTTTCCTGACTTTTTAATGATTGCCATTCTAACTGGTGTGAGATGGTATCTCATTGTGGTTTTGATTTGCATTTCTCTGATGGCCAGTGATGATGAGCATTTTTTCATGTGTTTTTTGGCTGCATAAATGTCTTCTTTTGAGAAGTGTCTCTTCATGTCCTTCGCCCACTTTTTGATGGGGTTGTTTGTTTTTTCTTGTAAATTTGTTTGAGTTCATTGTAGATTCTGGATATTAGCCCTTTGTCAGATGAGTAGGTTGCGAAAATTTTCTCCCATTCTGTAGGTTGCCTGTTCACTCTGATGGTAGTTTCTTTTGCTGTGCAGAAGCTCTTTAGTTTAATTAGATCCCATTTGTCAATTTTGTCTTTTGTTGCCATTGCTTTTGGTGTTTTGGACATGAAGTCCTTGCCCATGCCTATGTCCTGAATGGTAATGCCTAGGTTTTCTTCTAGGGTTTTTATGGTTTTAGGTCTAACGTTTAAATCTTTAATACATCAATAAATGTAATCCAGCATATAAACAGAGCCAAAGACAAAAACCACATGATTATCTCAATAGATGCAGAAAAAGGCTTTGAAAAAATTCAA
The DNA here is from genome assembly GCF_000001405.40 of Homo sapiens. NCBI lineage: Eukaryota > Metazoa > Chordata > Mammalia > Primates > Hominidae > Homo > Homo sapiens. The sequence goes on along the minus strand of NW_025791821.1, from coordinate 1,368 downwards.
CAACCCTTCATGCTAAAAACTCTCAATAAATTAGGTATTGATGGGACGTATTTCAAAATAATAAGAGCTACCTATGACAAACCCACAGCCAATATCATACTGAACGGGCAAAAACTGGAAGCATTCCCTTTGAAAACTGGCACAAGACAGGGATGTCCTCTCTCACCACTCCTATTCAACATAGTGTTGGAAGTTCTGGCCAGGGCAATTAGGCAGGAGAAGGAAATAAATGGTATTCAATTAGGAAAAGAGGAAGTCAAATTGTCCCTGTTTGCAGAGGACATGACTGTATATCTAGAAAACCCCATTTTCTCAGCCCCAAATCTCCTTAAGCTGATAAGCAACTTCAGCAAAGTCTCAGGATACAAAATCAATGTACAAAAATCACAAGCATTCTTATACACCAACAACAGACAAACAGAGAGCCAAATCATGAGTGAACTCCCATTCACAATTGCTTCAAAGAGAATAAAATACTCTTTTGTTCTCTTGTGCCTCTACTCATTTTCCTGGCCTCTTTCTCCTGTTTCTCGTTGTGGCATACGGAGGAAGTAAATCCAAGAAGGTTTTCCATTGTACTCTCTGATTCTACAGACTACTTTGTAGTTTTCCTCTAAAATTAACAGCTGCTTGATAAATAACTTTGTCTTTTAAGATTATCTGTGTCTCAGTTGAATTAGAGAAATAAAAAGATGTGTTTCACTAAAGTTTTCTCAACCTTTCCAAAAAGGATGATAAATTTTTATCTTGTTTCTGATTCAACAAGAACGTTTTAGAGTAATTAAAATGTTTATTTCTGGTATTTTGCAAGTCTTTTAATATGCACATTAAAAAGTGTTTTTTTTTTTTTTTTCATTTACCTTAGCACCACTAGGGCTCCAATTCAGATTTTCAAAAATCATTGTTTCTCTTCCAATTGGAAATGGGGTCACAGTTTCTATTTTACTATTTTGTTTAATCTTGACTTTTTTTTAAATTTGACTGGTTGCAGAATACTTCTTGTTCATTTCCAAATCTCTCTACTGCCTTTAGCACTGCCTGTTTCTTGACAAAAGTTAGGATATAGCTTTAAAGTAGTGTAGCACTACTACACATAAGATGAAACACTTGGGTTGATTTTTAGAAGCCTCATACACTTATTAATGTCATCAGATAACTTCCTTAAGTCTTTTTTATTTAATTTATTTAATGTCCTTTTGTGAGAAAAAAAATTTGAATGTTAGTAGCATGAAGTTCATTGAGCATTTTCTGCCCCACTGAAGTTGTAAACTTTTTGGGTGACACAACTGAAGAAACTGATAATATGGGTGCTGGGGGTCTTTTATAAGGGAGGCAGATAGAGCACCCAAAAGTTGCATTTGAGAATTC